>NC_000006.12:36120606-36423636 GCF_000001405.40 Homo sapiens
TGTTTTCGCGTTTTCACTAAATTGATGGCTATGGGATTACCGGATTAACAAGGTGCACATTTTGACACTTTGGCAGCATTGCCAAATGGTTCTAAAAGCTTGCCCCAGTTGACACTCCCACCTGCCGACGACAGTGTTGTCACTGTTTCCTGTTGCCGCCCTCACTAGGGTAGGAGCTTCTCAAGCACAGGAACTGTGACATTTGTCCGTGTATTCTCAATGTCTTGAGAGGTGCCTGGCAAAATTTGGTTGAATGGATTAAGGCTTTACCTTAATCACCAGGTAGGTAAGGAGGATAGAGAAAAATAAGACACTCGTGCCCTCAAGAACTTACAATTTAGGTTTGTTTGAAAGTTAACTGAGAATTCCAAGTCTAAGGGTGCTGGTGAGAGTGGCCTGGCAAAGCCAGCCCAGGAAGAGCTGCTGAGCAGGTTGTAAGGAACGAGGATGCCCCACCCCCCCTCCTTGGCAAAGCAGAGGATGGTATTCCAGACAGGTCACAAACAGCTCAAGCAAAGACGTGGTGACAGGGATGAGGAAGGCACGCTTGCGGATCGCTAGAATGGAGGTTGCCTGGGCACAGACACCTTGGAGGATCCGATTAGCAAGAAAGGCAGGGCCTGTCCGGATGGGGGCAAGCCTTGCCCAACAGACTAAGAAGTTTAATCTTTATCCTAGAGGCCACTGAGAGCTACCGGGGGTGGGGCGTTATGGGGAGGCAGGGCTGCTCTGAAACAGGAAGATTAATCACAGCTGGGCTGCCTGCCGCTGGCTGCCTGTCACATGGGAGCTGTGCTGCCCTCAAGCTGCCCAGCTGGAGCACCCTCTTTCCAGGTGACCAAAGCTGGATCCGGGTGCCCCCTGGCTTAGGAAGGGCAGCCCTGGGCAAGTGTGAGGGAGTGAAGACCAGGCCTGAGAAGCAGGGAGAAGCTGTTTGTCAGGGAAGTGTAGTCACCAGGATCAGGGTGGCTTCCCCTCCACAGCCCCTTACTCATCCCTGTTGCCACACCTGTGCTCGGGCTGACAGTGACAGTGGTGTCCTGGAGCTCTCTGTGACTCTTATTTTTTTAGAGACAGGGTCTTGCAATGTTCTTTCTACTTAATTTTATTTCTTACAAAAGATTGGCCTTTCACAAGCATCATCCAGCGCAGCTAAGCATAGTGGTTACTAGCACTGACCCTGGGCAAGACTACCTGGTCTTCACTCCCAGCTCTAGTGCTTACTAGCTGTGTGTCCTTGGGCAAGTCACTTCACCTCTCTGTGTCTCATTGTTATACATAAAATGGGGGATACTGTTAACCCATCTCATAGAGTCCTCAGGAGGATTAAGTTACATGTATGTAAAGCTCTTATAACAACTTTTGGGAAGTAATTAGTGCTCTTTCCATGTTTATTAAATGCATATAATAGAAAATGAATGTATCCAGAGAGGCAGTCTGACTTACCTAAGGTCACACAGCAAATTAGAGACAGAGCTAGAATCAGAGCCCAAACCTCTGCCATGGCAGGTAGCCCTGCTAGTCTTGTTTGGGGTTATTTGCCCCTGACCAAGGTCCATAGGGCTTCTGGGGAGGATCTATGTGTCCTGACATTGGATAGTTTACTTAGAAGGGGTGGAGCAAGGAGACCCTGTGGCCTCTGCCCTGGACAGGCAGGTTGTGGAGGTGGCCTCCAGGGTGCACAGCTTCTCCTGCCTGAGGCAGGCTGCACACAGGAGTCCAGGCAGGACCTGACTCCATTACTGCGGTTTGTCAGGTCAGCACAGCAGAGACTGCCCCAGGCACGAAGGTGAGTTGGGCCTGCATATCAGCTGCACACAGACAGAGATGCAGCGATAACAAGGCTGCTGGGGATAAGGCCCTGCTACATCCCTGCCATTCGGCCAGTCACCGGCTGCCAGGCACTCTTCCAGGTACGTGGAATTCAGTGATGAACAAAATAGACAAAGCCCCTACCCTCGCCAACCTCAAGACATTCTATTAGAGGGGGGCAGACAATAAACAGGTACACAGGGCTTGAAGAACACGAGGCCAGGTAAGGCAGGTGAGCATGGCTTGTAATGAGGTCAGGGGGACCTCGGAGGAGGTGACACATGAGCAGTCCTGAAGGACCAGAGGGAGCACCATGCACAATGCCTGCAACCTGGCATGTGTTGCTTCAGTAAACCCTCCTGGTGTCCCTGGCTATGCAAGTGACATTCTCCCATCTTACTGATGAGGAAGCTCCACCTGTAGCTACAAATGGAGGCACGAGATTCAGACTCAGCCCTGTCTCCCAGAACTCAGCTACCTCTCTACTGGCTCACAGGAGTACAAGCACGCTTCAAGAATGTGGACGTCACAAAGCCTGTGGAGGGGGAAGCGGGTGGTGTGCAGTGGGGGTCTTGGGGAGAGGGATATGCACAGGGTTAGTGGGGTGAGTGGATCTAGAGTTCACTCGGGAACACCTCCTTGTAGATGTGAGTTTAGAGTTAGGCTTGGAAAGAAGGAAGGGAGGGAGAGAGGGAGGGAGGGAAGGAAAGAGGAAGGAAGGAAAGGTGGACAATTCCATAGGGAGAGGATCTGGCTCATGCAGAGCTTCAGTGGGAGTGGTGAGGAGGGCTGTCCACAGGGAGGAACCTGCTTTGGAGTGGATGGTGCAAATTCGTGGCAAGAGAAGAGGCCTCAGATTCAGGTTGTACACTCTGGTTCTTTCACCACCATACGAAGGTCCAGCCTCATGCTAGGACCTTGGGGGCCCCACAAGGATGAGGCCTCTAGGCCTTCCCTCAGGGAGCAAGGGAAGAACAGCAAAATCAGAAACATCCTAGGACAGATTGTATCAGACTGAACAGTGACCACACATCCCAGATCCCACCCTGTGGTAGGCTAGCCAAGCATATTCCCCTACTATTGCTTACTCGGTCCCACCATTTGGGTCTTCAAGCCACATCTTCCTCCTATGGGTAGTACCCAGAAGAGACACAAAACTCCTTGGTTGGTTCAGTCACTAAGTCTTTACTGAGCAGCTACAATGGGCCAGGCACAGTGCCAGGGGGCTCAGCAGTGGCCAGAATACTGCCCTCGCCCTTACAGAGTCATTGTCCAGAGGTGGAGAGGGACATGTCACAGGAGACAATGCAGATTAATATTATGCTGAATGCTACCAAGGACAAGGCCGAGATCAAACAGAGCGGAGGCCTGGGCACCAGACCTTACCCCAGCCACATCTTTGTAGGGTGGAGTGGAGGGTGACATGTGGGCTGGGTGCAGGGAGGCAGGCCTTAGGGGTGGAGTGGAACGGGGAGTGTGGACCGGATGGTGTGGGGAGGGAGGTGTGAAGAGGGGAAGCCTGTCATCCCGAACCCAGAAGGCTGGCTGAGAGGTGCCCGACTCACAGAGCTGTCCCCACCCCCGTCTTCCACCAGGGGGTGCTAAAGCTGAAGGAGGGGAGAGAGGAGGAGGTGGAGGAGGTGCAGGGGAGTGGGGGAGGGTGCCTTTTCTTTCTTGTCTCTCTTTCTCTCTCTCTCTCTCCTCCCTCCCTCCCTCCCTCCCTCCCTCCCTCCCTTCCTTCCTTCCTTCCTTCCTTCCTGCCTTCCTTTCGTTCTTTTTGAAATGCAGTTTCACTCTTGTTGCCCAGGCTGGGGTGCAGTGGCACGATCTCGGCTCACTGCAACCTCTGCGTCCTGGGTTCAAGTGATTCTCCTGCTTCAGCCTCCCAAGTAGCTGGGATTACAAGCAAGCACCACCATGCCCGGCTAATTTTTGTATTTTTAGTAGAGATAGGGTTTCACCTTGTTGGCCAGGCAGGTCTCGAACTCCTGACCTCAGGTGATCTGCCTGCCTCGGCCTCCCAAAGTGTTGGGATTACAAGCATGAGCCACCGCACCTGGCTGATGGTGCCTTATCTTTTGCTGCTGGGATGGATGTTCTGCTTGAGCCCTAAGTCTGCTGACCAGCCCTTGCCCCTGAGAAGGGGAAGAGGTAATGGGGAGACAAGGTTGGGGAGATGGCCTTGCAGGAGGAGCCCAGCACCCCATCAAGTTTCCAGAGGCTGGCTAGGCTCGGTGGCTCATGCCTGTAATCCTAGCACTTTGGGAGGCCGAGGCGGGCGGATCACCTGAGTTCAGGAGTTCGAGACCAGCCTGGCCAACATGGTGAAACCCTGTCTCTACTAAAAATACAAAAATTAGCTGGCCATGCCTATAATCCCAGCTGCTCAGGAGGCTGAGGCAGGAGAATTGCTTGAACCTGGGAGGCGGAGGTTGCAGTGAGCCGAGATCGCGCCATTGCACTCCAGCCTGAGTGACAGAGCAAGACTGTCTCAAAAAAAAAAAAAAAAGTTTCCGGAGGTCAGTAAGGTGTCCCAGGTGCTCTAAGCTGTTCCCCTGAGGGACTTACCAGAGGCTGCTGGAGTAGGGAAGTAATGGGCACAGGAGGAATGAGGCTGGGTGCCTGGTCTGCAGGGTCAAGTGTCCCCTGAGGGGTTTGGGAGGCAGGCACCTGCTCTTTCCCCAGATGTCCGCTGGGCTCACTCCCAGACCCACTCAAGGGTTGCTCAAATGTTGCCTCCGTAGAGAGACCTTCCCTGATCAAATAGTACTCACTAGTCCTTTAGATCCTTACTCTGCCTTATTTTCTTCATAGCACTTAATACCACCTGCCACTACATTTAGTTGAACCATAGAGAAGTATTAAATACCAGCATTTTAAATTACTTGTTTATTGAGACAAGGTCTCGCTCTGTTGCCCAGGCTGAAGTGCAGCTCAGTGCAGCCTCGACCTCCCAGGCTCAAGTAATCCTCCCACCCCAGCCTCCTGAGTAGCTGGGACCACAGGCGTGTGCCACCATGCTTGGCTAATTTTTATTATTATTGTTAGTAGAAACAGGGTTTCACCATGTTGTCCAGGCTGGTCTCAAACTCCTGGGTTCAAGTGATCCTCCCACCCCAGCCTCCCAAAGTGCTGGGATACAGCCATGAGCTACCACGCCCAGCCAACAAATAAATGTTGAATGAATGGGTCAATGAATCCTTGGGCTGAGTATCTGGCAAAAAACTTAATAGAGGAGTTGGACGTGAGTTGGAGCCGACTCTCACTGAGGGGACACCTTCTGGGGCAGGGACTGGACAGCCAAAGGGCAGGGGCTGGGGTTGGGCAGCTGGAGTACCCGGGCAGAGCTGACACAGTCCATTGGGGAAGGAGCCTCTGGCGAGACCTACTGTGTGCCAGGCACTGAATTGGACACTTTTCTAGTCATCTCGTTTAGTCTTCACAACAGCCCTGTAACATGGGTCTTATCACCCACTCTCGTTTTACAAATGAGAAAACAGGCTTAGAGGAGCCAACTAACTTGTCTAAGATCACACAGCTTACCACGCCACAGAGCAGCCCACATCTGCAGTCTTTCTTCTGCATCTCCCTGCCTCCTTGTAATTTTGCTTGTTTCATGGAGTCTTGAAAGCCCCAGAAGAGCATGGGACTCTCTAGAGCTGGGGCCAGAGCTCTAGGGCTCCCTGGCCTGTCCCACCCTCACAGGACCCCAGATGTGTCATGCTTTCTCATTTCTGTGGAGGTCTCATGGTGAGGATGTTCCTGCTGGCCCATCCTCATTATGGTGAGGAGGTTCATGCTGGTCCTGCCATATGGGACAGACAGGGTGGCTGCTGTGCTCGTGGGGCAAGATAGGGTCTGGGTGGCCAGGATAGGGGACATGACAGTCTCATAGTTATGTGGGGCTTTTGTCTCGATCTCTAAGAAACCAGTCACCAATTCCCACACCATGTCTCTGCCTCCAGAGGCTCACAGGCTAGCTAGGAAGACAATGCAACAACAGCAGCCACTTCTCAGGCACTTGCTGGGCACCAGGAATTCTAGTTGACAGTTAAATGTGCAGACTTAGGAGCCAGATGCCAGGTATGAAGATCATGTTCACCACTTTCTTAGTTATGTGCGACCTTGGGCAAATTACATAACCTCTCCGGGCCTCAGTCTCTCCATCTGTACCAGGGGAATAATTATATTGGAATAGACTAGACCAAAGCAGCCCTGACATCTGGGAGCTGCCTGGTCCTATCAGCCAGGACTTGGTTGCTCAGAGCTGTCCAGCCTGGTGCAATTCGGTCTTGCTGTGCTGAACATAGACGATTTCACAGACATCAGCATAGAACAAGGCCATCCGCGACCAGGGCAGACTAAGACAAAAATGAAACTACTCCTTAATCATATCTGAACACAGACAAAACATGAATATTGTCAAATCACAGAAATGACCCAAATCCCCCTGTAGAGCTAAGCTGAGTGGAGGCTGCTGGTTTACCAGCTGTAGCTTCAGCCTTGCTCTAGTCTGCTTTCCTTCTAGGCAAGATGTATTAAGACTCCCAATCATAGTGTTAGCTCCACTTCCTGACAGCATCAACCCAGAACAAAGCCTCACTTCCTTAACCTCTCCCCAATCACCTAACACAACTCCAAACATTAGACTAAGTCCTTTCTAACGCCCCCTTCCTGGGACGCCCCATGATCCCCATGGTGCATGCTCTCCCTTGTTGCAACGAGTCATCAGCTCAGCTTGTTCACCCACACGTGTGTTTCTGGTGATCTCTGGTTGGAGGCATTGAAAGTTCCTACCTCATTGGGTTGTCGTGAGGAATATGTACTTGAAATGATACAATCCTAAGGCTCTTTCAATATGCTTGTCATACTTTATTATTATCCCCATTTCACAAGGAGGACACTGAAGCTCAGAGAGAGGGCCAGACTTTGCCCAAGGTCACACAGCTGGTAATGACAGAGAAAGGATGTAAATTCAGGCCTCATTCCAAAGCTAGTTTCCTGAATCCCTGCCTCCATGCTCCATGCTCATAGGGCAGAAACCAACAAGACAACTTGGGTTGGTGTTTGGAGAGGAGAAGAGCAAAGGGCCCTTGGAACTCAAAAGAGAGCCTCAGGCTGGAGAAGCAGGGTATCCAGGATGACCTGAGTGACCCTCTCCTCCTCCCCTCCCTTTCATGACTCCCCAACTGGATCCTCCAAGGGCTCCCTCCCAGACTGCCTGGCTGCTGAGTAATGCAGAGCCAGTCAGGCCCAGAGTAGGGGTCAGTGTCAGCAGAGTCGGAGGCCTGAGTCACTTCCTGACCCTTGCTCAAGAGCATCCGGAGCTACAGCCAGAGTGGCCACTCGTGCTCTCAGAAGATCGCACCCACTTGGGCGATGAGCATGTCCTTGGTATCCCCACCTTCCTGGGCTCACCTCTGCCCCACTCAGGTGTTTAAGACGTGCAGCAGAGAGGCGCCATCCTGACCTGGTGCCACATCCTAGCCCCTTTCCTTACTGGATCCTCAAACCAGAAGAAAACCTGAATCTCTGAGGTCAGTTACTCTCTTTTGCCTGCGTCTAGCCTAAAATCTGGCTTCCAGGACCCCACCCCAACTTCAGAATCAAGGTACCTTGCACTGGTGCCACTGATCCCAAAGGTCCAAAACTCCTGCAGCACTCACAGGCAAGCGACCCCGTTCCTTAGGCTCTCATGGGGTCTCAGGGCCAGAGTAGGGGGTGGGGGAGGGAAAAGGCTGGGGAAAATATCAGATACCCCAGGGCAGGATGGACTGAGGGAGACATGGTTGGATCAGTAGACATGTCCTTATGATGTGGGCAAGGCCATTTCCTTTGAGGAGCAATTCTGTCAACTCTAGGCCACCGCATAGCCTCGCAGCCAAGAGCAGGGACTCTAGAATCAGGCTGTACTTGCTTTCACCCAGCTCTGCCCTTACCAGCTGTGTTACCTTGGGCAAATTACTTAGCCTCTCTGTACCTCGGGTTCCTCATCTCTAAAATGAGGATAATCATATTACTGACTCACAGGCCTCTTACCAGGATTAAGTGAGTTATATAAAACACTTAATGACGGGCACATGGCAAACACAAGTGTGTATTAAATGACTCTTTTACATCTAATGGGCTGACTCCTCCATTCATTCTCCACACATTTGCTGTTATATTGCCATGTGCCAGAAATGAAAAAGACAGATTGCCTGACTGAAATAATGGCAGGTGTTGTTGTGTGATGATGGCACCCCACCCTCATCTCAGAATGATCTTCCAGGCTGTGCCTGAGGCTGCAGGACTGCCCGGGAGGGCTTGGGGCACAGAGTTTGGGGGCTGCAGACTCCCTAGTGTGGGCCCCCGGCTTGCTGTAAGCCCCTAGCAAATTTCTTTCCTTGTTCAATAGACCTTCTTTTTGACAAAGTGAAGCAGGTGGTCCCCGCCCCTTCCACAGCCCCATGCCTGGGCAAGAGAGGGGTTGGACAAGTCAGGCTGGGCATCCAGAGCCCTTGCAGCCATCTCCTCCCCCCACCTGCCCACCTTGCTCCTCAGAGGCCTTTGTGGTTTGAGCAAAGAATCTCCATCAGGCTGCACAGGCCACCAGACAGGTGGCAAGGGCCCCAATTAGTCATTGTCCTCATAGAGCCTTAGGAAGTCCACAGAAACTGTGTTCAAAACTGCACATTTGGGCCAGGTGCGGTGGCTCACTTCTGTAATCCAAACACTTTGGGAGGCTGAGGTGGGCGGACCACCTGAGGTCAGGAGTTGAAGACCAGCCTGGCCAACATGGTGAAACCCCGTCTCTACTAAAAATACAAAAATTAGCTAGGAGTGGTGGTGTGCACCTGTAGTCCCAGCTACTCAGGAGGCTGAGGCAAGAGAATTGCTTGAACCTGGGAGGCGGAGGTTGCAGTGAGCTGAGATGGCGCCACTGCACTCCAGCCTAGGCAATAGAGTGAGACTCCATGTCAAAAACAAACAAAAATCCTGCACATTTGAACCTGCGTGGATATTTGGTATTATAGAATTAGTGCTATTAATTTTAGGTTTAAGAATGTATTGTGGGCCAGGCGCGGTGGCTCACGCCTGTAATCCCAACACTTTCGGAGGCCGAGGCGGGTGGTTCACGAGGTCAGGAGTTCAAGACCAGCCTGGCCAAGATGGTGAAACCCCATCTCTATTAAAAATACAAAAATTAGCCGGGTTTGGTGGCAGGCACCTACAATCCTAGCTAATCGGGAGGCGGAGGCAGAGAATTGCTTGAACCCGGGAGGCGGAGGTTGCAGTGAGCCGAGATGGCAACTGCACTCCGACAGAGTCTCAAAAAATATATATATATAGTATTGTGGATACGTACTTTTAAAAATCCTTACGTTTTAGAGATACAAAAATATTTATGAATAAAATGATATGACGCCTGGGTTTTGCTTCAAAACGATGGTGGGAGAGGAATGTGGATGAAATAAAATTGATTATGAGTTGTGGTTGCTGGGGAATTGGGGTCACGGGGGTTCATTAGAACCTCCTATCAGATGTGGTTCAGAAGCCTCAGACCTGGGAGCTGGCTAGAAATGCAGAATCTCGGCTCCACCCCAAACCTACTGAGTCAGGATCTGTATTTTAATCAAATAAAATGCCCAGGGGATTCCTGAGCACACTGAAGTGTGAGAAGCGCTGGCTTACTCTGTTCAATTCTTTCCTGCATGTTTGACATTTTCCATAATGAAGAGGTTGTGGGGTTTTGTTCTGCTTTCCTGTGTGTTCACAGTCACAGGGAGCTCTTCCTACGGAGACCGGGGCTGGAGGGAACTGGGAAGCACTGCCTCCCCGCTCCTGCTTGGACCCACCAGCCCCGCCGCTGGCCCGCGCTCGGCTGGGAGGCACCGGGGTCCCGCTGGGCAGCCCCGACCCCGTGCCTGGGCCGCACCTGCCGCAGTGGCTCCGTCGGGCCGGGCGGAAGCGCGGGAGCGCAGGGCTGGACAGGCCCGGGCGTGGCGGCCCCGGCGCACCTGGGCGAGCCGGCAGGTGGGAGCGTAGCAGCCCGGGGCCCCCGCCCTCGCGCGGGGGAGGAGCGGGCGGCGCGGGGCGGGCGCAGCGGGGGTCGGGGCGCTGGGAGCCCGTTGGGCCGCGAACGCAGCCGCCACGCTGGGGCCGCCGAGATCGGGTGCCCGGGATGAGCCTCATCCGGAAAAAGGGCTTCTACAAGCAGGACGTCAACAAGACAGCCTGGGAGCTGCCCAAGACCTACGTGTCCCCGACGCACGTCGGCAGCGGGGCCTATGGCTCCGTGTGGTGAGACCCCTGGGCCGCTGGGGGGCGGGGGGCGGGCGCCAGGCTCTCCCCTTTCCGCCCAGCCCGCCCTGGGCTGGCCCCTCGCCAGCGCCACCTTGACCGCGGACCTCAAGGCCCAGCGCCCTCCCCGGGGCCACCCAGCGGCCATCTCCCTTTTCTCACCGAGTGGCTGAGTGAGGTCTCTGGGGGTTGAGTTGGGACTGGGCCTGGTTCTCCAGGACTGTACACTTGCAAGACCCCAGAGTTCATCGGGCAGATCCTCACTGTTACAGACGAGTACACCGAGGCCCCAAGAGGGGGAGGTGGCTCGCCAAGTTGCAGACAGAGTGAGACTCCCGCCCTGCCGTGGATCCCGTCGCAATGAGACGTTGCTGCCCCTGGCGCTGTGCCCCTCTCTCAGCTCCTGCCTGGCTTCCTACTCCCTGCCCTGCGTCCCGCGGCTCCCCCATATTCTAGGTGGTGGGCCTAGTCCCCTCTCAGCCCAGCTGCCCAGTGGGAGGGGTCAGGGCGGTCTGGGAGATACGGCCCAGGAGGAGAGCCTCGCCTGCTGACCGGCCTGTGCCCGACAGCTCGGCCATCGACAAGCGGTCAGGGGAGAAGGTGGCCATCAAGAAGCTGAGCCGACCCTTTCAGTCCGAGATCTTCGCCAAGCGCGCCTACCGGGAGCTGCTGCTGCTGAAGCACATGCAGCATGAGAACGTAGGTGGTGGCTGCCCCGGGGAGGGGGTGGGGGCTGCCCTGGGGAGTCAGGGGCAGGCGCAGGCGGGGCCTCCCGGTATGGAGAGCTCGGGACAGTCTCCTCCCTGCTCCCCTGACGGTGCCTCTCGCCTCACTATTGAAAGGAGGGGGTGCCGAGACCTTCCCTGCCCACTTTCCAGGAAGAGGTCAAAGGGTATTTTTGGCAGAATGCACTTTGTGAGGTACAGACTGTGTTATCCTACAGAGGAAATTGGCACAGGGGAACTTTGTAATTGGTTCCATGTCTGAGAGCTTGTGGCCAGCTGGGACTAGAATCCTAGTTAGCGTTGTGTCCACGTGACCCTGATAACAATAGCAATATACACATATTGAGCACTTCCTATGTTCTAAGAGCTCTGCATACACTAACTTGTCTAGTCCTCATGATATATGAGTACTACTGCCCCCATGTCACAGACAGGAAACTAAAGCACAGCAAGGCTCACAGATTAGATGGTTAGTCAGTAGCAGAGCTGGGGTTTCAATCTCGGCAGCGAGGCTCCCGGTCTGAGCACATGACCATCAGATTGTCTTGTCTGATAGAAGCAGCTGGGAAAACCAGGGGCCCAGCTCAGGGCCTGGCAGCCAGGCTTTGCTGCAGGATACCTAGATTGGAGGGCAGACATTTCAAAGAATGATTTCAAAATGTTATGTACATTTTAAGCCCATCCTTCTCCAGCAAACCCCTCCCCTATGGCCTCCAGCCAGGGTGATCTTGCCCTTGGCTCTGAACCAGCCCTGTGGCAGGCAAGGATGGATGTGGCTGGAGACCCAAGGTCAGGGGCAGGGAGTTTGCTGGCTGAAAAGCTCCTTCTCTGTTCCCTCCTTTTTCCCTTCCACCCTCCCCTTATGCTTTCCTGCTGCCTAGGTGAGTTGAGAGTGGGTTTGTGTTGCTTGCCCTGACACCAGACTTGACAGCAATGAGCACACATCATTCTCCCCACCTTCCCTTCTCCCCAGCCTGACTCTCTGTCATGATTTATTGCAAACTCCCTCCAAATCCAGGGGATTCCTCTAGGCCTCTGCCCTTTTTACTGCTTCCAAGAAGGTTGGAGACATGCCTCCTGCTGGAGGTGGTGTATTAGGAAAGGGTGGATGGCCCTGTGCATGGCCAGGGCCCAGGAGGAGGTGGGAGGAGAAGGTAGCGTCTGTCTAGCCCTCACAGGTGACTTCTTCCCCAGGTCATTGGGCTCCTGGATGTCTTCACCCCAGCCTCCTCCCTGCGCAACTTCTATGACTTGTGAGTTGGGCTGCACTGGGTTCTGGGGCATTTGCAGGCCTTACATGCCGCTGGGGAGCAAGGTGGGGGAGGGTCTAGGGTTTCTATTCCGGGTGTGGCGGGGAGAGCCTCCTTCCCTGGCAGTCCTGTGCCTTTGCCTGTCAAGTGTGATTCTCTCTGGAAAGATGCTTTTAGCCAAAGGCAGGCAGGAAGAGGCAGGAAGGACTTTGTGGGGTGCTTGCCTGGCAGGGGGCAGTCTGCACAGCTGCTTTGCTTTTTACCCAGCTTTAACACCATGAAGACACATCTGCCAGTCCTCACAGGGTTAGCACCAACTCACCTTTCCTGGGGACACAGATGTGAGTCTGGACCTTGGAGCTCTTTCTAGCATGAAGCAAGGATTAAGAAGCCTTGGCTGCCTCTGGCTGATGGGGGTGTTTGACAGAATGGCAGAAAACCAGAATATTTAGCTGCAAAATGTATAGCTTTGCCTGTGCAGTGTCTGAATGAGACTGGACTATTTGGACAAGATGGAGAAGTCAGTGTGGCACGTGGAGGCCAGCAGCTGGCTTGGTCAAGCTGAATCTGGACTGACCCTACAGGCAGCCTCAAGACCTGGGGACTTTGAGCCGGGAGGTGATATGTTCAGATGGGATTTGGGGGATGCACACTGGCAGCAGCAAGAAAGGAGTAGGAAGCAGCTCGGAGGCAGAGGGGGAGAGCCTGGAGGTCAGTGTTAGTGATCTAAAGTAGGGATCTAAAGCAGAGGTGATGGGATGCCAAGAGCAGACTTGAGGCCCCATTTGGGAGGCAGGGCCGACACAATGTTCCATCTGTTGGGGTGCAGTAGCTGAGTGAGGTGGCAGAGGTGGAGGAATGGGCAGGTTCCTGCTTGAAATACACGGTAGAGGAAGAACAGATCTTGGGGGAAAGATAACGAACTCCATTTTGGACACTTTACTTTTAAAGAAACTGTGAACATTCCAATGTTTAATCACAGTTGCAAATAAATATGAACCTCAGGAGACGAAGGTCTGGGCTAGGGATGTGGATTTGTGCTGGAATAATCACCGATGGGTTATAGCTGACACCCGGGAACAGATAATTGTAGAATGTGGTAAGATAGTATTGATTCAGATATCAACATGAAAGAGAAGATCCAAGAGGATGAGCAGATGGAAGAAGCTGAGAGGGCCTGATAGGAGGCAGAGGAGAGTCAGCAAAGAATTGAGAGGGAGTTTCAGACTTGGTGAAAGGTTAGATCAGAAGAAAAGGGAGTCATGGTGTGTTTGTCGGGTGTTCACTGGTGACCTTGAGCTGAGCAGTCTGGCAGTAGGAGGGAAGCAGAAACCAGGTTAACTCAGGACTGGGAGGTAAGGCAGTGGGATCCAGGAGTGTGGACCGCCCTTTCTAGAAGTTTGGTGGTGAGAGAGGGAGAAGGGGTGGTCAGTTGAAGAAGCAAAGTCAAGGGAATGTGGTTCTAGCACAGAGAGGCTTCAGGAAGCATGTTGCCAAGATGAAAGAACCAGTGCCCGAGTGGAGGGGAAAGACACAGGAGGGGACTGGGCATGGAGAGGCCCCCAAGGGAGGTGTGTGGTCCGGCAGGAGAGGGCTGCCAAAATCCAGAGTCTCCTGGAGATGCCTCCAGCATGTCCTTTCAAAAACAACAACAACAACAACAACAAAAAACACAACCTATTACATAATTGTTTAAGGTAACATTCATTTTAAAAAAGTTTTAAATTTATTATATTCTAGAGATAGGGCTGGGTTGCCCAGACTGGAGTGCAGTGGCACAAACACAGTTCACTGCAGCCTCCAACTCCTAGGCTCAAGCCATCCTCCCGCCTCAGCCCCCCAAGTAGGTGGGACTACAGATGCATGCCACCATGTCCAGCTTTTTGTTTTGTTTTAATTTTTATAGATATGGGGTCTCACTATGTTACTCATCCTGATCTCGAATTCCCGGCCTCAAGTGATCCTCCCACCTCAGCCTCTTGAGTAGCTAAGACTAAAGGTGCATGCCACCACACCTGGCTAATTTTTTTTTTTTTTTCTGAAAGGTGGGGTCCAGGCCGGGCATGGTGGCTCACGCCTGTAATCCCAGCACTTTGGGAAGCCGAGGCAGGCAGATCACCTGAGGTCAGGAGTTCGAGACCAGCCTGGCCAACATGGCAAAACCCCGTCTCTACTAAGAATACAAAAATTAGCTGGGCGTTCTGGCGTGCACCTGTAGTTGTAGCTACTCAGGGAAGCTGAGGCAGGAAAATCGCTTGAACCTGGGAGGTGGAGGTTGCAGTGAGCCAAGATCACGCCACTGCACTCTAGCCTGGGCGACAGAGCAAGACTCCATCTCAAAGAAAAAAAGAAAGGAAGAAAGAAAGATGGGTCCCTATGTTGCTCAGGCTGGTCTTAAACTCTTCGCCTCAAGCGATCGTCCAGCCTCCATCTCCCAAAGCACTGGGATTGGAGGTATGCCCCTGGCCTATTTTATAATTTTTATTATTTTTTGTCTTTGTCCTGGTCTTTGCTTTTACTGTAACAGTTACATTTTGCTGGCCTTATCCTGTTGTGCAATCCCCTAAGAGGCTGCAGGAGCCTCCCCATCTCCCTCTTCCACCCTCCTGGAAACTGTTGTATTGTTTCCTTCTTGGAAAGGTAGACATATTGTTTGTTTGTGGAGCCATCTCAGCTGGGCATGACCCTCTGAGGGATCAAATATTTGGACAGAAGCCGAAGGAAATACTGGCAGATGTTTCTAACTCCTAGCTGTGGCTTTCCCTGGGGTGTGGAGGAGGGCAAGGAGAGAGTACCTTTGAAGAGCGGGAACACAGTTCCATGTGGCTTTCCTGAGCGCGCTCCAACTGCAGCGCTTACTCCGAGCTCTGCCAGCTGGGCGGCCCGCCACAGGGAGACTGGGAGCCAGGAGCCCAGAGGCCCGTGTGGTGATCTGGCTGGCTGAGGTGGAGTTGAGTTTTTGCACACTGGAGGGTGTCTCTATGACCCCTGTTCTGCCCTGAGGTCCCTCCTCTGAGCTCTGACCTGGGGCTGGGTGGGACCCGGCACTGTTCCAAGAACCCCTCATGCCTTCCAGCTACCTGGTGATGCCCTTCATGCAGACGGATCTGCAGAAGATCATGGGGATGGAGTTCAGTGAGGAGAAGATCCAGTACCTGGTGTATCAGATGCTCAAAGGCCTTAAGGTGGGTGGGGACTTGGAGGCTGGCAGAGGGGACGCCTTGCTGTCTAGACCTGAGGTTTGGGGAGGCTGGAGGGAGCGCACTGTTACAGGTCGGCCAGCCTGAAGTGCCTGGTGTGGAAGCTGGGCCATGGACTCACCCTTCTCTCTCTCCCACATAGTACATCCACTCTGCTGGGGTCGTGCACAGGGTGAGTGCTTTCTCTGCCATGGTCCTCAGAGGCCCCTGTCCCATCCCTGGGTATGGGGTTCTCTGGCAATCAAGGAGTGGGAAAGTTGGAGGGAGGGGACACTGCCCAGGAGCACAGAATGTGGAGTTTTCACACCCAGCCACGGCCCAGGAAGGCCTGCTCAAAAGAGTCACTGTGTCCCAGGGGACTTCATGGGGAATTGCTGCAGACAAAGTGAGCCCTGAGCTGAGTGTTTCAGGCTTCAAGAATCAGGAACATTTTAGAGCTGGGTGGGCCCTGAGAGAACACCTAGTCCAACCCTCATTTTACACATGAAGAAACTGAGGCCCAGAAGGGGAAGGGGCCTGGCTGAGGTCACACCCCTGGGTGGTGGTGGAGCTAGGACAAGCTCCATCTCTGCCTCAGCCTAGCATGCATTCTCTGTCCTCCCCCCAGGACCTGAAGCCAGGCAACCTGGCTGTGAATGAGGACTGTGAACTGAAGGTGAGTGGGCTGCAGGCTCAGCCCAGAGGCGGGATAGGCCCTCCCCCAGGGAAGCCCCTGGAAGCCGCTCCCAGAGCCTCCTCCCCTCAGCAAGTTCCTTTTCTATTTATCCCCTGTGCCATAGATTCTGGATTTTGGGCTGGCGCGACATGCAGACGCCGAGATGACTGGCTACGTGGTGACCCGCTGGTACCGAGCCCCCGAGGTGATCCTCAGCTGGATGCACTACAACCAGACAGGTCAGTGGTCAATGCCTGAGAGGGCGGTCCTGGGGCCATCTGGTCACTCGGTGCTGACTGACTGCTGGGCCCCAGACAGTCCAGGTGACACTCTCCCTCCCTCTGCAGTGGACATCTGGTCTGTGGGCTGTATCATGGCAGAGATGCTGACAGGGAAAACTCTGTTCAAGGGGAAAGATTGTATCCTTTGCTGGAAAAGCCAAACTCCATCTAGGGATTCCTTCCTTCAACAGACACTTTATTTAAATAACTGTCTTTTTTTTCTTAATGTGAGAGTGATACATACTCCCTGTAGAATAATTTGTAAATGCAGATAAGGCTGGACGCAGTGGTTCATGCCTGTAATCCCAGCACTTTGGGAGGCTGAGGTGGAAGGATCCTTTGAGCCCAGGAGTTTGAGACCAGATGTGGCAACATAGGGAGACCCCATCTCTAAAAAAGTTTTTTAAATTAGCCAGACATGGGCCTGGCGCAGTGGCTCATGTCTGTAATCCCAGCACTCTGGGAGGCTGAGGCGGGCAGATCATGAGGTCAGGAGATCGAGACCATCCTGGCTAACAAGGGGAAACCCCGTATCTACTAAAAATACAAAAAATTAGCCAGGCGTGGTGGCAGGCGCCTGTAGTCCCAGCTACTCAGGAGGCTGAGGCAGGAGAATGGCGTGAACCCAGGAGGTGGAGCTTGCAGTGAGCTGAGATCGCGCCACTGCACTCCAGCCTGGGTGACAGAGCAAGACTCTGTCTCAAAAAAAAGAAAAAGAAAAATCCCAGCTACTTGAGAGGCTGAGGTGGGAGGGTTGAGCCTGGGAGGTTGAGGCTGCAGTGAGCTATGATTGTGCCACTGTACTCCAGCCTGGGTGACAGAGGGAGACCCTAACTCAAAAAAAAAAAAAAAAAAAACAAAATGTTGGGTGGGCATGGTGGCTCACACCTATAATCCCAGCACTTTGGGAGGCCATGGCAGGCGGATCACCTGAGATTAGGAGTTCGAGACCAGCCTGGCCAACGTGGTCAAACCCCATCTCTACCAAAAAATACAAAAATTAGCCGGGTGTGGTTCACGCCTGTAATCCCAGCTACTCGGGAGGCTGAGGCAGGAAAATCGCTTGAACCCAGGAGGTGGAGGTTGCAGTGAGCCAAGACTGTGCCACTGCACTCCAGCCTGAGTGACAGAGTGAGACCCTGTCTCAAAAAAAAAAAAAAAAAAAAAATGTAGATAAGCAAAATGATGAAAAATTCTACCACTACGTGGAAAATACATTTTGGCACGGCACACATTAACTGAGTACCTGTGTGTGCAGGGCAGGCCTTTGGTGAGAAGACGAGGAAACAGAAAAGAGTCACTGGGATGAAGGCTGAGAAGTCCACATCCATTTGTTGGGTAGGGACCCCCCTCAGCCTGGCACGTTGGAAAGCTCTCCAGAGCCCTGAGCCCTGAAGAATAAGCCTCCTCCTGAGAGCAGGAGGTGGTTAGGCAGGGCTGGAGCCTGGATGATCAGTTGCCATGGTGCCCGGGTGAAGTGATGGTGGGGTCGCAGGAAGGGCAGTCTCAGACCCACCAGGAGAGCAAGGCTAAGCCTTAACCTGCCACCAAGACCTGGACCAGCTGACCCAGATCCTGAAAGTGACCGGGGTGCCTGGCACGGAGTTTGTGCAGAAGCTGAACGACAAAGCGGTGGGTGGTAAATGGGACCTAGGCTGGCCTGGGCTGTGTGCTTGCCTGACGTGGGCCCAGTGGGCTGCAGGCCTTTGTGGAAGAAGGCTCACCAGCACCTTCCCACAGCATCCTCCTACCCTGGCAGGCACTCTTGTCTTAATCTCACCGTGGACCCTGACCTGAACTTTCAGCCCTGCTCTGAGGCTTTTCTGAAATCCCTGCTCTACACGCTGAGGCCAGAGCCCTAAGGGGTTTGATGCTTTTCTGTCTTCCAGGCCAAATCCTACATCCAGTCCCTGCCACAGACCCCCAGGAAGGATTTCACTCAGCTGTTCCCACGGGCCAGCCCCCAGGGTGAGTCTCAGAGCCCGCTCCCCAGGGGCCTCTCAGCGTATCCCAGAGGGCGGGCTCTCCCAGCCCCTGGTGTGAGGCTCTTGGCTCTGCCCCTGCAGCTGCGGACCTGCTGGAGAAGATGCTGGAGCTAGACGTGGACAAGCGCCTGACGGCCGCGCAGGCCCTCACCCATCCCTTCTTTGAACCCTTCCGGGACCCTGAGGAAGAGACGGAGGCCCAGCAGCCGTTTGATGATTCCTTAGAACACGAGAAACTCACAGTGGATGAATGGAAGCGTAAGAGCTGGGGCCTCGGGCTTCCTCGCCTCCGCCTGCAGCCTCTCTTCCTTGCTTCCTCCATCTTTGTGCCTGGCCTCTGCCAGCCCTACCTGCCACCTCCTTCTTGGTGGGCATTGTCTCCTGGGTGCTTCTTTCTCCTTGAGCTGACTTCGCTCTCCATGCTGTCTCTGAAGGGGGGTGGACTTTCTCGCCACAGCACCTCTTTACGCACCTTAAACCATGCTGCCTTTCTCAGAGCACATCTACAAGGAGATTGTGAACTTCAGCCCCATTGCCCGGAAGGACTCACGGCGCCGGAGTGGCATGAAGCTGTAGGGACTCATCTTGCATGGCACCGCCGGCCAGACACTGCCCAAGGACCAGTATTTGTCACTACCAAACTCAGCCCTTCTTGGAATACAGCCTTTCAAGCAGAGGACAGAAGGGTCCTTCTCCTTATGTGGGAAATGGGCCTAGTAGATGCAGAATTCAAAGATGTCGGTTGGGAGAAACTAGCTCTGATCCTAACAGGCCACGTTAAACTGCCCATCTGGAGAATCGCCTGCAGGTGGGGCCCTTTCCTTCCCGCCAGAGTGGGGCTGAGTGGGCGCTGAGCCAGGCCGGGGGCCTATGGCAGTGATGCTGTGTTGGTTTCCTAGGGATGCTCTAACGAATTACCACAAACCTGGTGGATTGAAACAGCAGAACTTGATTCCCTTACAGTTCTGGAGGCTGGAAATCTGGGATGGAGGTGTTGGCAGGGCTGTGGTCCCTTTGAAGGCTCTGGGGAAGAATCCTTCCTTGGCTCTTTTTAGCTTGTGGCGGCAGTGGGCAGTCCGTGGCATTCCCCAGCTTATTGCTGCATCACTCCAGTCTCTGTCTCTTCTGTTCTCTCCTCTTTTAACAACAGTCATTGGATTTAGGGCCCACCCTAATCCTGTGTGATCTTATCTTGATCCTTATTAATTAAACCTGCAAATACTCTAGTTCCAAATAAAGTCACATTCTCAGGTTCCAGGTGGACATGAATTCCAGGGGGAAATGATTCAACTCACTACAGACAGCTGGGAGGGAGGGGCCCCTTCCTGGGCCCCGTGCTGAGGCCTTGTGCTCTGTGAAGGAACCCAATGTGTTTGGCTGCTAAATTAAGGGAGTTGCAGAGAGAGCTGCAGCTGGTGCGATTGCATTCAGGTTATTTTGGGTGAGTGATAAGCAATCAAGATATGAAACAACAGCAGGCTCGGAGACTGCGAGCTGCACAGGCAGAAATGGGCTCTTGCCTGGCTTGATGGCAAACCGTTCTGCTCCCTTTGGGAGATGGCACAGCTCTCCAGAGCTTTGACCTGACAGTGGCTAGAACCTCTCTGTTTTTATCTGAGAAACTTTGGCAGAACAAATTTCCATGTGCACAAGCTGTCGGGCACAGTGGGTCTCAAATTTCCTTGTGCACCAGGGGACTTGTTAAAATGCAGATTCCTGGGCCCCACCCCAGGGCTTGTGACTCAGCAGGTCTGCAGTTGAGACCTTAGAATGTGCATTTGAATGAGGACCTCTCGCCCTGACCCAAGCCTAGTGATTCTGATGGATATCAGACCATAGTTCGAGACATTTAGTGGATTTCAGTCATACTTGATTTGTTGGGAGGCCTAAATCAAAAACCTATAGGAGGAGACTGGGGGGCTTCAGATGGAGTTTCACACTCATCTTACAGGTGTTAAAACTGAGGCTCAGAAAGCTTTTTTTTGTTTGTTTGTTTGAGACAGGGTCTGGCTCTGTCACCCGGGCTGGAGTTCAGTGGCACAATTACATCTTACTGCAACCTCAGCCTCCTGGGCTCAAGCCATCCTCCCACCTCAGCCTCCTAAGTAGCTGGGACTACAGGTCTGTGCCACCCAGGTGCACCAGGACTGCAGGTGGCTAATTAAAACATTTTTTTTCTTTTTTGTATAGGCGGGGTTTCTCTATGTTGCCCAGGCTGATCTTGAACTTCTGGACTCAAGTGATCCTCCCACTTTGGCCTCCCAAAGTGCTGGGATTATAGGCATGAGCCACCCTGCAGGCCCAGACAGCATTTTTAAGGCCTTGAAACTCTTCTGTATAATACTGTAATGGTGGATACCTATTGTGCATTTGTTACCATCTGTAGGACTGGATAACACAGAGTGAACCCTCAAGTAAACTATGGACTTCAGTTAATAATAATGTATCAGTATTGGTTCATAAATTGTAACAATTGTGCCACACTAATGCAAGATGTTACTCATCAAGAAAACTGAGGAGAGAGAAGGGGAGGAAGTAGGTGGGAACCTCTATACTTTCTACCAACCTAAAACTGCTCTAAAAAATAAACCACAGGCCGGTCGCAGTAGCTCACGCCTGTAATCCCAGCACCTTGGGAGGCTGAGGTGGGCGGATCACTTGAGGTCAGGAGTTCAAGACCAGCCTGGCCAACATGGTGAAACCCCATCTCTACCAAAAATACAAAAATTAGCTGGGCTTGGTGGTGCATGCCTGTAATCCCAAACTACTCGGGAGGCTGAGGCAGAATTGCTTGAACCTGGGAGGTGGAGGTTGCAGTGAGCTGAGATCACACCACTGCACTCCAGCCTGGGTGACAGAGTGAGACTCCATCTCAAAAAAACAAAAAAAACAAATACCCTGAGGACACAGAGACATTGGGTCAGACACCCACAGCTAGGAAGTGGTGGAGTCAGATTGGAACCCAAGTAGGCTTGAGCACTGTACCCAGCTTGGATTCAAGGGTTGCCCAGCCTTCCCTCTTCACGCCAGTCTGAGACCCTTACTGCTGACTGTGTCCATGGTCTCTGTTTTCTCTCCCACAGAATGGCCCTGCTGTCAAGGAGCTGGGGAGTCCTTGACTGGGACTGGCTAGTCTTGCCACAGCCCTGGCCTCGCTGGTTACTAAAACTGCCCCAGGTTCCCTGAGTCTACATCCCTCTAAGCCTCCTGAGAATTCTCACTGCCCCAAGGAAAAAGTCTAGCCTTCCTTCTTGGCCTGGCATTCAAAACCCCTTGTGTTCTCTCTAATCTCATCAGCTCCCACTGCCTCCCCTAGCTAGTCCTTATGTCAGTGTGGGACACCAGTCCTGGGATCCACCGTAAGGTTCATTCTGCATTCACAGGTTAAAGGTCTTGACAAGTCCTGCAGTAAAGAGATCCGTTCCTCATTTAATCCAGAACTTCCCAGATGTACTTAACCGCAGGACCCATTTTCTCCCAACAGCATGACACACATAGCCTTTTTTGCCCAGTGCAGCCCAGTGCACAGGTCCCGATATTGCCTCTCCCCAAGTAGGCTTGGCCTTCTTTTAGTGCCCGTGCGTGGAAGGCCCTCCATTCTCCTCTCCATTCTCCTTGGCCTTCAAGGCTCTACCTTAGGCCTCCCTCCAGGCAGCTGTTCTCCATCATCCCCCCTGGGCTGCAGGCCCTCTGTGGGCAGCATTTAGTGTGTGGTTTGGCCTCCCCTTCCCATTGCCCACTGTGAGCAAATACCTGTGCGTGAATGAATAATGAGTGAAAGATGTCCCAGGGGCCTGTCGGTCACTTCTTTGCCCCGACCAGGCCAATGTCATATGGAAGGTGGCAGAGAGCCCAGCAGGAAGCAGAAGTGGGCGGCCCTGGGCTGTACCTTTGAGCTGCTCTCCTGAAAATCTCTATTATTTCAGACTCCCAGACCCCACCCCCCGCTTCATCCTCTGGTGTCCTCCTAGGCCATCCCCACTCCGGAATTAAACCTCAGCCCCTCCCACAGAGTTTTCTCAAATCTGTGAAGTTTCTTCAAAAGGCGGTGGAGGTGCTCAGCAGTGCAAGGTGGGGGGTGGAGGGGGTGGGGAGTAGAGGGAGTGGGGGTTCCACGGGTTTGGGTCTTGCCCAGTGGGCACATGGCCTGTGTAATAGGAAACAAGTCCATTCTCCTGCTGTGGGGGGCAGAGGAGCTGGCGGGGCGAGGGAGGGGGAGATGTGGGCTCAGGTATTCTTGGTGGATGCGCTTCGTTCTGTGGCTGATGGGGTGGCTTAAAAGATCTTAACAGAGAGAGATCAGGAAGCCAGACTGCAAGGTGGGGGACATTTCCTAAGAGCAAGTGTACCCTCCATTCCCTCTTTTGAGGAACAAAGAGTATCTTTGCTGGGGCCTGAGTCATCCATGAAAACAGACAGCAGCGGTGTCCCAGGGCAGGGCTTGCCTGGCGTGGATTGGGGTGGTGCTGCCCCCAGTGAGGGGCAGCACAAGGGGAGACAGAAATGGAGGAATAGCCCCCGTAAGGGCAAGCCCAGTGTGCACCAGTGCCCAGAGCTGCCTGATGGAGGAACAGCTCCGTAAGGGTGAACCCAGTGTGCACGGGTGCCCGGAGCTGCCTGCGTGAGGCTGGGGGCTAGTTTGGATGAGGGCATGGCTCAACTTTCACTTGGCACATTGAAATAGCTTTTGCTGTCTGCTAGGGTGTGGAAAACTGTTTTTCCATGGCCCCAAGCAATGCTATAGCTACAGCTGAGGAGGGAGGAATCTCTCCCTGCCTCTCCTCCCAACTCTTGGCTTTTGCTTCCTTAAATTTGAACAATTCCCTAAGATCTAATGCTGGGAGGCTCCCCTTCCTTCATTACACAGTGAACTCATGTGCTCTATCTGCATTCCCCCTAAATCCTCCTGAGCTTTTAGGTAAGAGGCCGATGATTTCACAATCGGCAGCAGAGGCCTAAGGCCATTCCATCAAACTGAAGATGGCAGCAAGTTGTCCTCACTTCTTCATTGAGCACCCATGGGTGTGTACTGGAGCAAGGGTGGTGCCAGGGATTCTCCTGCTCTGGTTCCTCCTGCGGGGTCCCTGCTCAGCTGGGCAGCTGCCCTCACTCTGGGCGGGTGGCATGTGAGTGTCAACAGGGCCCCTCTCAGTCAGGGGCTCTTGGCCATTTTTTGTGCCATGGATCGCTTCTCAAAATCATATTTTCTTTTCTTTTCTTTTGAGATGGGGTCTCACTCCATTACCCAGGCTGGAGTGCAGTGGTGCAATCACAGCTCACTGTAGCCTCGACCTCCCTGGGTTCAGGTGATCCTCCCACCTCAGCCTCCCAAGTAGCTGGGACTATAGGCATGCACCACCATGCCTGGCTAATTTCAGAATAATATTTTCATACACATAAAATATGTAGGATTACAAAGTAAGCTAGTTATATTTATATACAGTTGTCAAAATATTTTTAAAATGTATAACGTGATACTATGTGTATAGGTTTCTTTATTAACATATTGAATAAAAAGATCGAGGGTAGGCCTATTAAACAATGGTAAACTGAAGAGAGATGAGTGTAAACAATATTTTAAGATAGATACCTGTGGCAAACTGTAAAGGGATATGAAAAACTCTGTAATTTCTATTGGCACTGCTGATACAACTGCACTTTGCTACCTTTGTTCATAACCAAGGAAATAGAAATGACTGAAAATAAAGTTGTATTCTATTCCAATCCAAGTGCACAGACCCCTGAATTCTATAGTTTGTGGACCCCAGTTATGAGCTATTGGAATGAGGCTGTTCTAGCTACTGAAATGAGGCTTTAGGTATCCTCTGTCAATTCCTAACAAACCCCCCAGCCCCACCCTCTATGATCATGGAGCCAGGCTGGAAACTTCCAGCACTGCACCTGGACGCCCACACACTCATCAGGGCCCGCTCCTCTGGACCGCCCAACCTCACCATCTGGGTAGAAATGGACCTGACTGGGGCATTTTGCTAGGGCAGCACTCCCCAACGTTTTTAGCTCCAGGGACTGGTTTTGTGGAAGACAACTTTTCCATGGATGGAAAGGTTTTGGGTGGGGAATGGTTTTGGGTGAAACTGTTCCACTTCAGATCATCAGGCATTAGATTCTCATAAGGAACGTGCAACCTGGATCCCTTGCATGTGCAGTTCACAATAGGGTTCGTGCTCCTATGAGAATCTTGTGCCGCCACTGATCTGGCAGGAGGCAGAGCTCAGGCTGTAATACTCACCTGCGGCTCACCTCCAGCTATGCAGCTCGTTCCTAACAGGCCACAGACAGGTATCGGCCCCCTGCCTGGGGGTTGGGGAACCCTGTGTTAGGGAATTGGTGGAGGCCTCTATATCTAGTTTGCAGAATGGGTGGAACTCCTCCATCCCTGCCCTACTGTGGTCCCTCTAAACAATTTTACTGATGAAGACACTTAGGCCCAGAGTAGGGCGAGGGCTCAGGTCTCCAATTTACCACTGCACCATTCTTCCTGCTGCCAGTGTGGCACGGGCACTATGGAGATGAATTTGTGTTTTTTGCTCCCTGTGTTACTGCCCCTGAGCCCCCGGCCACCATAGGCACAAAGGTAGCCACACCTTGGGACAAGTTTGTGTTAACTGGCCAAGAGAAGGAGCTGCCACAATACATTCCTCTCTGTGTTCCCAAAGGTCTCACTATTGAGAATATTTGGCCAGGACCCTGGGATGGGACAAGGTGGGGGATGAGAGAGGGAAGTGTGGTTGGGAAGCACTGTGGCTTAGATAGGAGGTTTCTCCTGACCAGAAGGAGTTTGAAGCCCATGAGTCCCCATATTCATTTGGGACGGTGCCAGCTCCCCACAACACCCTGGCAAAGCCCAGGAAGGAGCTGCTGGGTGTGCCCGGGAAGGCTGGACCCTAAGACCAGGGCTCCTGGTTTTGGCTGAAATTTCTGTGTCCGGAGTGTGGCCTGGGGCAGCAGACCATGGACCCCAAAGAGCCCTGTGGACTGGGTCAGTGGTCTTCTGAGACAGACGTGTTGGTTACCCACCCAACAGCCATTCTCCCATCTTCCTTAAAGAACTCACATTTTATTCTAGATGCAGCTTGCTTGGGAAGGTGGCCTTTCCCCCAGCTCCAGAAGGTGACCCATGAAAGCCCTAAACCAAATGTGCTGATTTTCCCTTTGCTAGGGATCGATTTAGGACTCAGTCCTGCCCAAGAGAACTTGGGAGAAGTCTGGGAAGAAGATACAGGTGGTCTGCACCTGCTACCTGCCCTGAAGATGGTTTTGTGAGCTCTGCAGCTCTGGCAGCCATGGTGTGACTATGAGGTAGCAAGCCTAGGGTAAAAGGCCCATACACTGAGGACGATGGAATGGAAGGATGGAAAGTTCCTAAATGCTTGGATACATCAGGGAACTATGAAACCACTCTGAGGACTGCCTGCCTCTAGACCTCTTGCTGTGTGAAATAACTAAATAATCACTTTTTAGCTTAAGCCGCTATCAGGCAGGTTTCTTGTATGTATGGCTCATACATTCTTAACTGGCACAGCATCTCAGTGGTTTCAATACAGACTCATATGCACGGGGGCTTTCTCCAGATTGTGGGGTCCGTAAGATGGCAGAAGTTTTGTAAAGTTCCCAGGAAGAACCACAGTAAAGGCTGCAGTTGGATTTCCTCCAGCCCGGCAGGATAGGGCATTGCCTTTAGAAATCTGAGTTTAGTTCGGCCTTTCCTTTTATCTTATTTGTTTCTTTTTTTAGACACAGGGTCTCGCTCTGTTGCCCAGGCTGGAGTGCAGTGGCACAATCATAGCCCACTGCAACCTCAAACTCTTGGGCTCAAGCAATCCTCCCACCTCAGCCTCCCAAGTAGCTAGGACTACAGGCACATGCCACCACACCTAGCTAATTTTTTTATTTTTATTTTTTGTAGAGACAGGGTCTCACTATGTTGCCCAGGCTGGCAATCTTTCTTTTTTATCTTCCATCAGAGGAAGTGGCACCCCTCTCTAATGCTGCTCTCTCCTTGTGTGGTACACTATAGTAGTTAAGTGTTAGCTCTGGAGATATCACGTTCTTCTCACCAGCCCTGTGATCTGGGGCCTCAGTTTCTTCATCTGTAAAATGAGGACAGCAACACTAAAGAAATAAAGATAAGGAATGTACTCAGAACAGTACCTGGCACAAAGGAAGTGCTTGCCAAGCATTAACTGTTATTTTTATTATTTTCTCTACCACATCCTCTTCCCTCCTCGATTACCCCATCTTCCTGACATCTCCACTTCCTCCTTCTCAGTAGCAGTTTTTCCCACTCACCTTGTGTCCATGTTAAATCCCTCCTCAGTGGGTCTACTACCTTATTCCCACCTGGGTTCTTTACCTTCTTGACAAACTGTCTTCAAAGAGGAGTCTGTGTTTGTCACCTCTGTTTTCTCACCACGACTCCCTAGCAAACACCCTGATACCTGCCTTCACCATCTACCCTTCTTCCACAAGGACTCTGTCATGTTCTACAGCAGTCTCTGATCAACAAATCTTGCTGTCCTGGGTCCCAGGCCTCTCCACCATGCCTGCCACCCCCTTCTACAGGGAGCCCCTCTTCCTCAGTGGTGTGACTGTCTCCCACCCCCCCAGTGCCTTCCAGCTCTATCTCCCCAGTCTGGTCACTGGGCCAGCTTCCTCCTGCCTTTGACTTAGCTCACAGAGCAAAGTCCTTAGCCTGTGGCTTCCCTTTCTTCCCAGCCGTACTGGCCCTCCAGCCTGGTCCTCTCTCTAGAGCCTGGATCTGACTCCGGAGGCTTTCCGTGGAATCCTCCCACTGGGCCACCACATCTCTTCCCACTTAACCTTCCTAAACTAACCTCCCTAGACCAGCTCTCCCATCAGACTCCCCCACTCTGGCCCACGATGCCCTCTATCCCTTGGCCATTTAGCAGGGCCACCTTGCTGGCCCCTCCCTGCCTCTGCCTTGTTTCCCTGTTCATCCCACATCTCGGGGCCCCTCTGTGATAAGGCTCCTCCCAGCTATTCTGTGTTGGCCACTCTAGGCCCCTTTGCACCTGTTCTATTATAAGATTAATAATACACAATGATTTCCTCCCTCTAGGCTCTTCCTTTTCTTATCTGTTCTGCTGCCAGATCCTTCTCCCTTAATGCTGCTGAGACATTTCATCCCCTTGCTCAAAAGCCAAAAATAGCCCCCTCTTGCTTACAGCACCAGGTACCATACCCCGCCTGGCTGTGTTAGTTCCCACAGTAGGAACACAGCTGGGTTACAGCAGCTCTTGCTTGTATTACAACCCCAGTAGCCTTTCGGGCAAGGTCTGCTGAGTGTGGAGTTAAGAGCCTCAGTTTTGCATTCAAAAAGACCCGGGGTTGCATCCTGGCTTTGCCACTTATTAGCCATGTGTATTAGTCAGGGTTCTCCAGAGAAACAGAACCAACAGGATATATGCAGAACTTGCAAAAATCTCTATCATCTATCTATATCCACCTATATCTATATCATCTATATATATCATCTATCTGTATCTGTATCTATCATTTTTGGGGGACCTGCCCCAAAAATCACGTAGGTTCTTTTCTATTTTCCTAAGCATCGGCTGGCTTGAGAAATAAAGGGACAGAGTACAAAAGAGAGAAACTTTAAAGCTGGGCATCCGGTGGAGACAGCACATGTTGGTAGGATCCGTGATGCCCCACAAGCCACAAAAACCAGCAAGTTTTTATTAGGGACTTTCAAAAGGGGAGGGAGTGTGCGAATAGGTTTGGGTGACAGAAATCAGGTACTTAACAGGGTAATAGAATATCACAAGGCAAGTGGAGGCAGGGCGAGATCACAGGACCACAAGATGGAGGCGAAATTAAAATTGCTAATAAAGTTTCGGGCACCATTGTCATTGATAACATCTTATCAGGAGACAGGGTTTTGAGATCAACTGGTCTGACCAAAATTTATTAGGCGGGAATTTCCTCTTCCTAATAAGCCTGGGAGTGCTATGGGAGACTGGAGTCTATCTCACCTCTGCAATCTCGACCATAAGAGACAGGTACGCCCTGTGGGGGCCAGTTCAGAGACCTACCCCTAGGTGCGCATTCTCTTTCTCAGGGATATTCCATGCTGAGAAAAAGAATTCAGCAATATTTCTCCCATTTACTTTTGAAAGAAGAGAAATATGGCTCTGTTCTGCGCGGCTCACCGGTGGTCGGAGTTTAAGGTTATCTCTCTTATTCCCTGAACAATTGCTGTTATTCTGTTCTTTTTTCAGGGTGCCCACATTTCATATTGCTCAAACACACATGCTGTACAATTTGTGCAGTTAATGCAATTATCACATAGTCCTGAGGAGACATACATCCTCCTCGGCTGACAGGATTAAGAGACTAAAGTAAAGACAGGCATAGGAAATCACAAGGGTATTGACTGGGGAAGTGATAAGTGTCCATGAAATCTTTACAATTTATGTTTAGAGACTGCAGTAAAGACAGGCATAAGAAATTACAAAAGTATTAATTTGGGGAACTAATAAATGTCCATAAAATCTTCACAATCCACGTTCTTCTGCCATGGTTTCAGCCGGTCCCTGTTTGGGGTCCCTGACTTCCCACAACATATCATGTATATCTATAATCTATATCTATCATCTATCTATATCTGTATCTATCATCTGTCATCTATATCTGTATCTATCATCTATCTATTATCTATCTATCTATATATCTATCTATCCTTATTTATTTTTAGGAATTGGCTGACAAGATTGCTGGGGATTAGCAAGTCTGAAGTTTGTAGGACAGACCAGCTGGCTAGCAATTCAGGTAAGAGTTGATGTTGCAATCTTGAATCTGAAATTCATAGAGCAGGCCAGGCAGGCTGGAAACTCAGGCAAGATCTCTATGTTGTAGTCTTGAGTCAGAATTCCTTCTAGAAACCTCAACTTTGCTCTTAAGGCCTTTTCCTGATTGGTTGAGGCCCACCCTCAGTAGGGAGGGTAATCTGCTACAACCAACTGATTGTAAATGCTAATTCCATCTACAAAATTTCTTTGCAGCAACATCTAGACTGTTTAACCAAATAACTGGGCATGTAAGCCTGCTTGTCACACCATGCATTTTGGAGCAGGGTATTTTCCTCCTCTGAGCCTTATTTTCCTTCTCCAAGATGGAATCTTGGAAGAGCTCAGCTCATAGAACTAGTGAGGGTAAAGTGCATACAGAGTGCACAGTAAATATTAGCTATTTTTACTATTGTTGTGGTTCTATCAGTGGGTACTCAAAAACACTTGTGGATGATGTTAATACTCTTGGGAATATGGGACCTACAAAACACGGCTGCTGCCCTCCAGTTTTTGGTTGGGCTGTGTAGGTATAACACGCAAGTATGGAGGTGAACCGTGCTTATTCCCATCTGACTCTGGGGCCCAACAGACTGGTTCAGAGCCTTTAGTTCATGTACAAACTCCCAAAGGAACAAAATCTTCCACAATTCTTCACATTCATTTTTGGGAAGGGAGGAATAAAGTTTCTCCACTGGTTTCTTCATTTTTGCGGGGATTTGGAACAATATATCAAAAAGAATTAAATTTTACTTCTTCAGCAGCCATTTCACATTTTGTAAGAACTGCATATTTATGCCAGTAAACAACGAAGCAGGAACAAGATGATAGCTCTGTTTTCCTGGAAATCAGGAAATCAATCAAGCTGTCTCAAACTGAGATGTCTGCATTGTGAAATCTTGCTAACATTCCAAAAAGCTGTTTTAAATAAGAGTAATTTTTGTAAGTGGAAATTCTCTCCCTCTCTTTTTCCCCCCTCACCCCTCTCCCTTCCTTCCCTCCTTTCTTTTTTTAAACCAGTGTTGCCCACTGATTACTTCTGATGTGTTCGGCCTAGGCATCAATTTTTAAAAATAGGTGGGATGGGATATGGGTTTCTCTGCTTCTCTGAGACCTTTTCATTGTTTCTGCCCAATTAATTGGCACCCATCTCTGCCTGCCTAGGAGTCTGCTTGCCTTTGTCCACACCAGCCCTGCCTGTTCCTATCCTTTTTTTTTTACAGTGAAGCCATTACTTCAGCTGCCTCTTTCAGAACCAGGAATAAAATGATCTCAAAAGAACTTCTCTGTGTACAGTATTAAGATTTTATACACACACACACACACACACACACACACACACACACACACACACACTTTTTATTTTAAGGGTACAGTGGGGCATGCGTGTATTCCCAACTACTTGGGAAGCTGAAGCAGAAGGATCACTTGAGCTCAAGAGTTCAAAACCAGCCTGGGCAACACAGCAAGACCTCATCCTTTAAAAAACAAACAAAAACTTATACAATGAACAACTTCTTTATTTTAGATTTATAAAATAGGTGCAAGAAGAGCACAGAGAATTTCCATATATGCTGCACCCAGCTTCCTTCTTATTAATATCTTAGTACAGCACTTTTTTCACAACTAATGAACCAATATTGATATATTATTATTTATTTATTTTTCTTGAGACAGAGTCTCACTCTGCCACCCAGGCTGGGGTGCAGTGGCGTGATCTCAGCTCATTGCAACCTCTGCCTCCCGGGTTCAAGTGATTCTCCTGCCTCAGCCTCCCGAGTAGCTGGGATTACAGGCCCACACCAGCACGCCTGGCTAATTTTTGTATTTTTAGCAGAGACGGGGTTTCAGCGTATTGGTCAGGCTGGTCTCGAACTCCTGACCTCAGGTGATCCACACACTTTGGCCTCCCAAAGTGCTGGGATTAAGGCGTGAGCCACTGCGCCTGGCCTGATACATTATTATTAAGTAAAGTTCATACTTTATTCAGTTTCCTTTGTTTTTACCAAAGTTCTACAGTAAAACTTATTTCCTAAAGTTTTACCTAATGTTCTTTTTCTGTTCCAGGATCCCATCTAGGATGCCATATTCATTTAGTCATGGTGTGTCCTTAAACTCCTCTTGGCCATGTCAGTTTCTCAAATTTTTCTTGTTTCCGATGACCTTGGTGGTTTTGAGGAGTACTGGTCAGGGATTTTGTAAAATGTCCTTCAGCTGGGACTCGTTTAATGTTTTTCTCATGATTGGACTCAGGTAATGTGTTTTTGGAAGGAAGACTACAGTAGTAAAGTAACCTTCTCATCACATCATATCAAGGCTATATCCTATCAATATGACTTAGCACTGCTGATGTTAACTTTGATCACCTGGCTAAGGTGGTGTTTGCCGGACTTCTCCACTGTGAAGTGATTTTCTCCCCCTTCTTCCCACACTATAATATTTGGAAATAAGTCACTAAGCACAGCCCATACTTAAAGAGGGGAAGTGTACTCCACTTCTTTGAGAAGGGAATATCTAGATAAATTATTTGCAATATTTCTGTATGGGCTATTTTTCTCAATAATTTACGTCTATGGACCAACAGGTGTTTATTTTATACCTTGGTTATAATCCAATAAATAACATAATAAAAATAAGTAATAATAGTGATATGGGTTGGCTGTGTCCCCACCCAAATCTCATCTTGAATTGTAGCTCCCATAATTCCCATGTGTTGTGGGAGGGTCCCGGTGGGAGAGAACTGAATCACAGGGGAGGTTCCCCCATGATTCTGGAGGTAATGAATAAGTCTCACGGGATTTCATGGTTTGATAAGAGGTTTCCCCTTTTGCTTGGCTCTCACTCTCTCTTGCCTGCCACCATGTAAGGCGTGCCTTTTGCCTTCTTCCATGATTGTGAGGCCTCCTCAGCCACATGGAATTGTGAGTCCATTAAACCTCTTTCTCTTTATAAATTACCCAGTCTCGGGTATGTCTTCATCAGCAGTGTGAAAATGGACTAATACAAATAGTAAATAAATTTTTTGAGATGGAGTCTTGAATTGCTTGAACCCCAGGCTGGAGTACAGTGGTACAATCTCAGCTCACTGCAACCTCTGCCTTTGGGGAAGTAGGAATGTTCTAGGAAAAGATACTGACAGATACCTCTGGGTCTGGGCTTTTCTTCTGGGGAAGTTTATAAATGACTAAATCATACTCCTTGTTACAGGCCTGTTTAGACGTTCTGTATCTTCTTGAGACAGTTTTGCTTTTTATCTTTTTTGTTGTTGTTAATTCCAAAGACTTAAAACTATGGTTTCTGTCTATGAATTTAGTCATTTCAACCAAGTTACTGTGGTGTGGGTTCTGCCTCTGTGGTTCAAGTAATTCTCCTGCCTCAGCTTCCCAAGTAGCTGGGATTATAGGCGCCCACCACCATGTGCAGCTAATTCTGTATTTTTAGTGCAGAGGGGGTTTCACCATGTTGGCCAGGCTGGTCTTGAACTCCTGATTTCAAGTGATCCACCTGCCTTGGCCTCTCAAAGTGCTGGCATTACAGGCATGAGCCACTGTGCCTGGCTAGTAAATAATTTTTTTTTTTTTTTTTAGACAGGGTCTCACTATGTTGCCTAGGCTGGAGTATAGTGATACAATCTCGGCTTACCGCAACCTCCACCTCCCAGGTTCAAGTGATTCTCCTGCCTAAGCCCCCCGAGTAGCTGGGATTACAGATGCCCGCCACCATGCCCGGCTAATTTTTGTATTTTAGTAGAGACAGGGTTTCACCACATTGGCCAGGCTGGTCTTGAACTCCTGACCTCAAGTGATCTGCCCACCTTGGCCTCCCAAAGTGCTGGGATTACAGGCGTGAGCCACCGTGCCTGGCCAGTAAATAAATTTTTAAAGAGCTCTATCTTTTGACTTGATTTATAGGCTTTACTTTCTTTTGTGTGAATTGAGCCCATTTCCCTGAAAGGACCTGGAGGTACTGCTCACAGCCAGAGGGAGTCAACTCATCAGTCATGCAAACACACCGAGTCCTGGGGGTGGTGGAAAGATGTTTCACTTCTCCCATTTTGATGCTGACCAATCCAGAGTTCACTTTGGATGGGCACCCTGGAGGCCCTTCCCGCTCTCATCTGGCTTCTTCCTTGTTGATCCTCTCTCCCTTTTCCATCCTAACACCCACCTATCCCCTGGTAAGACATGTAGGGGATCTTCATTCTATTTGCATGAAATAAGGAAATAAAATATAACAGATATAAATCATGGGTAGTGTAGCTATCCTTTTGTTGCATGTTTTCTAGGTGCACTCTTCTGGGTACTTTAAATATATCACATCTAATCTTTGCACTAATTACACAGCAATTATTATTCCAATTTAACAAACAAAGAAACTGAATCTCTAAGAGTTTTTTTTTCTTAATTCCCCCAAAGTTTTCCTCTTACTGCAGTTTTTTCTTTTCAGTCTCTTCCACCAGCAACTCCTCTGATGCATCTCCTAATGGTGGAGTGCCCATGGCTCTCTCCTTGGTTGCCCTTTTCTGTTCATGCTCCCCTCTAAATGGTCTCTTCTACTCTCCTGGCTTTCCATACCATCCATATGCTGATGACTAGCAAATGCACATCTCTACCTTGGATGTTTGTATTTGATTTCAGACAAGTCAACATCTTCCCTTGAGTGTTTTAAATCAAAAGTCAGAGGTTCTGCTTCTAGTAGTGGTGGAGTCGCTTGTATTGTATTATGATCATTATAGAAATAATAAAAAACCCAACTATTGGAAGGCACTGGAGAGACCAAAAGCAGGCAGAAACCAGAGGGGAGTAAACCACCAGAAGAAGGAAGTGCAGCGGGGAAGATTTGTGATCACAAGGCTTTTGCCTGAGGGTACTCTTCAGAACAGGTAGCACAGGATGGCCAGAAAGTGGCTAGTCTTACTGGTTTGACAAGTCAGAGAATGGGATTTAGAAAGAAAATCTAAGAAATGAAGAAACCACAGAGGCTTCTTAAAAGTGCATATAAAATCTGATCAAATCCTTGGCTGACTCCTGATGTGCATGGATAGGGGATAATTTAAGGAGCCCAGCAAGAAACAAGCAGAAGGTGAAAGACAGGAAGTTGAAAGAACTGAGCAGAAAGTTTAGCTGCCACTCATCTCAGGGGACACAGAATTTGGAAATTTATGCCTGCCAAGTTAGCTGCCTGAAAATAAATGCTCTTCAGAGGAAGGTAACAGAATCCAGATTCTCTATATTGTATTATCTATAATGTCTAGAATAATACAATTTTTTTAAAACTTGAAACTTGAAAACAAGCAGGGAAATGTGATCCATAGTCAATGAAAAGCAGTTGGCCAGGTGCAGTGGCTCACGCCTGTAATCCCAGCATTTTGGCAGGCTAAGTCGGGCAGATCACAAGGTCAAGAGATCGAGACCATCCTGACCAACATGGTGAAACCCCATGTCTACTAAAAATACAAAAATTATCTGGGCGAGGTGGTGCGTGCCTGTAATTCCAGCTACTCAGGAGGCTGAGGCAGGAGAATCACTTGAACCGGGGAGGCAGAGGCTGCAGTGAGCCAAGATGGCGCCACTGCACTCCAGTCTGGGTGACAGAGTGAGACTCTGTCACAAAAAAAAAAGAAAAAAAGAAAAGAAAAGCAGTCAATGAAAACCAATCCTGAAACACTTCATCTATTGGAATTAGTAGTCAAAGATTTCAGAGCAAATATAATATATGTTTTCAAGGACTTTGAAAACACAGTCATAATGAATGAACAGATGGGCAATTTCAACAAAGAACTAGAAACTACAAAAAAGAACCAAATGGCAATTCTAAAATTAAAAAGCATGATATCTGAAGTGAAACTCTCACTAGACAGGCTTAATAAGAAAAGGTGAAGTTGAATAAAAATCAATAAAATTTATATAATCTGAGGAACAGAGATGAAAATATTTGAAAAGATAATCAAAGCTTCAGTAACTTATAGGACATTTCCTAGAAGGAGAAGAAATAAACAATGGGACAGAAAAAATATTTGGAGAAGTAAATTATTTGGAGAAATAATGGCCAAAAATTTCACAAGTTTGACGATAAATATAAGCTTACAGATCCAAGAAGCTCAACACAACTTAACACAAAGAAAACTACTCTTGAACATATCATAATCAACCTACTAAAAAACAGAAAATCTGGAAAATGACCAAGAAAAACAGCATATACTATATACAGGGAACCATGAGTAGAAAAATCAGCTAACTTCTCATCAGAAATAATGAAGGCCAAAAGACAATGGAATGCCATATTTAATGTGCTAAAAGTAAAACCCTGAAACCTGGAATTGTACATATACAATGTATTTCATTATTATCATGTTGCTAATATCCTCACTTACATATTTTAATATATTTATTATGCTTATTCTAAACTCTTGGTTCATCTGTTCTAACGCATCTCTTTCTGATGTTATCCATCATCTGGCCATGATTTTTTTTATTTTTTTATTTTGAAGTGGTTGTGTTACTCAGATATCTTAGTTTGGTCTGTGAACTCATATCCCCTAGCTCCTCTGTCCAATAAGGAACACTGGGGAAGGACAGAAGCGACAGTATTACAGTAATGAGCTAAAGGGTGTGTGTGTGTGTATGTGTGTGTGTGAAAGACAGGACAGAGAGAGAAAGATGTGAAGGGTGTGATGGGGAAGAACAAACACTAAGAGAGCCCTGGTGCATTAGTCCGTTCTTATGCTGCTAATAAAGACATACCTGAGACTGGGTAATTTATAAAGGAGAAAGGCTTAATTGACTCACAGTTCAGCACGGCTGGGGAGGCCTCAGGAAACTGACAATCGTGGTAGAAGGGGAAGCAAACATGTCCTTCTCCACACAGTGGCAGGAAGGAGAAGAATGAGAGCTGAGTGAAGGGGGAAGCTCCTTATAAAACCATAAGATCCCATGAGAACTTACTCACTATCACAAGAACAGCATGGGAGAAACCACTTCCATGATTCAATTACTTCCCACCAGGTCCTTCCCACGACATGTGGGGATTATGATAACTACAATTCAAGATGAGATTTGGGTGGGGACACAGCCAAACCATATAACCTGGGCACCAGAAAACCAGTAACATCAAACCAATCTTCAGGTTAAGTCTTCATCTCAACCAGTCAGGGAGAAGCTATATTGGTAGGAGGGTTGGGAAGGTGACTTGAGGCTCTTCAACATCCACCCATGAAACTCCTCTACAGAGCAGAACTGCACTGTCCTGATTGTATTCCCTGAACATCACTACAAAACAGCCCAGTACAATGTTAAATAGAAGCAGAGGTAATTAGATGAACCCATGGATATAAAGAGTCAAATATATATATACACACATACATATAAACACACACACATATATAAAATATATAATATAAAATATGCATATATACAAATAATGCAAAATATATACAAAATATATATAATCTCTTACAAAACTGAAGTTTATCAAAATGAATTGACAGATACTATTACTTTGTCTCTTCAACAACCATATTTTTCACACTATTTATTCAGGTAGCAAGAGAAGATCCCTTGTCCAATAGTTTTACGAAGATACGTTTGAATCAATTTTGCCTGGCACATGGTATGTTCTTTGACTTGAAAAGAAGAGTCAATCTTCTTTTATTTCAGAAAAGATTTTTAAATTTATATATTGAAATATATCTTGATCTAAATAATAAATATAGTTGGCCCGCCATATCTATGGGTTCCACATCCATGGATTCAACCAACTGGGATCAAAAATATTCCAAACAACAATAAAAACAATAAACAATAAACAACAATAAAACAATAAACAACACAATAAACAAAATAAACAACAATAAACAAAACAATAAACAATAAAAAATAACAATAGAACAATTAAAAAAATACAAAATTTAAAAATACAGTATAACATCTATTTACATAACATTTATATATTGTATTAGGTATTATAAGTGATCTAGAAATGACTTAAAGTATACAGAAGCCTAGCCTGGGCAACACAGTGAGACTTCCATTTCTACAAAAAATAACATTAGCCACGTGTAGTGGTGCATGCTTGTGGTCCCAGCTACTCAGGAGGCTGAGCTGGGAGAATTGCTTAAGTCCCAGAGGTTAAGGCTGCAGTGAGCTGTGATCACACCACTGCATTCCAGCCTGGGTGACAAACTGAGAACCCGTCTCAAAAAATAAGTACATACAATAAAAAATAAAGTATACAGGAGGATGTGCATAGATTATATGCAAATCTCACACCATTTTATGTAAGAAACTTGAGCATCCTCAGATTTTGGTATCCATGGAGCTTTCCGGAACCAATCCCCTGTGGATACCTGTATACACACACACACACAAATACACACATATAAATACACACACACATATACACACACATATATAAATACACACACATACACAGAGTGCAATTGCTGGAGTGTCTGGTAAGCCTTTGTTTAATCTTTAAGAAACTGCCAGACTGTCTTCCAAGTGGCTGCATCATTTTGCATTCCCACCAGCAATGAATGAGAGCTCCTGTTGCTCCACAACCTCATCAGCATTTGCTGTTCTTAGTATTTTGGATTTTAGCTCATCTAATAAGTGTATACTGGTATCTTGTTTTAATTTGCAATTTTCTAGTGACATATTGTGTTGAGAATCTTTTCATATGTTCATTTGCCATCTACATATATTCTTTGGGGAGGTTTCCATTCAGCTCTTTTGCCCATATTTTAATCAGGTTGTTCATTTTCTTATTGCTGAGTTTTAAGAGTTCTTTGTATTTCAGACATACTTCCTTTATCAGATAGGTGTTTTGCACATATTTTCTCATAGTCTGTGGCATGTGTTTTCATTCTCTTAACAGTGTCTTTGCAGAGCAGAAGTTTTTCATTTTAATGAAGTCCAACTTATCTATCTTTCTTTTCTTTTATGGATTGTGCTTTGGTGTTGTATCTAAAAACTCACTGCCAAACCAAAGTCACCTAGAGTTTCTCCTATGTGATATGCTTACCTGAATGAAATGTTTGGCTTTTTCATTCTTCTTCACAGTATAACCCTCTTCTAACTTCATTTCAAAAATGTGTAAGCCATTCATTCTAGTTTTTCCGTATTTTAGCAGCCACATTACTAAATCACTTATTTCTCAGGTTCCAGTTTTCTTCCCTCTTGGGAAATCATCTCCCTGAGTCAGCAAAGGCCCGTTACTTTTTTAGTTTTCCAGTGTCTCTAGTCTCATAGTTGCGTTCTCTGACGTTTGGATAGTCATCACTCTCCTCTTTAATCCTCAAAACATTGCCATGGAGTTCTAAAAGGAAGGAGAGCAAATGATATGGAGGTAGTAGTTGCCGATTTCCTGAACCAACCTCAGGAGATAAATGAGCAAACACTTCCCAAACTTCAATTCCAGCCTGTTTGGCCCAAATTTATATGAAGTGCTCACTTGTCAATTAATAGCTTCTTCACTGATTTTTCTTGCAGCCTTAGTAAGGAAACTTCTTTTTTTTTTTTTTTCTTTTCTTTTAATGAGACAGGATCTTACTATATTGGCCAGGTTGGGCTGAACTCTTGGCCTCAAGCAATCCTCTCGCCTCTGCCTCCCAAAATGCTAGGATTACAGGTGTGAGCCACCACGCCCAGCCAGGAAACTTCTACAACAAAAGGTTTCTGTTACAGAGTTTATTTATTTTTTATTTTTAAGATAGAGTTTTACTCTGTCACCCAGGCTGGAGTGCATGGCACAGTCACGGCTCATTGCAGCCTCAACCTCCCAGGCTCAAGCAACCCTCCTCCCACCTCAGCCTCTTGAGTAGCTGGGACTACAGGTGTGTGCCCCCATGCCTGGCTAATTTTTTTAGTTTCGTAGAAACAGGGTCTTACTATGTTGCGCAGGCTGGTCTTGAACTCCTGGACTTAACGCAATCCTCTCACCTTGGCCTCCCAAAGTGCTGGGATTACAAGCATGAGCCACTACACTTGGCTCTCTGTTAGATAATTTAAACGGACAACATCTCTTGTATCAAAGAAAATTTAACTAGTTTCTTCCCATTTGCCTTTTCTTTCTGTAATGGAGTTCCAAATGGAATTAGTAATAGGCATAGTAATTTGAGTTCTGAATGGCTTTAACGATCACACTTTTATTTCATTTAAAACAATATTTGTAAGAAACGTACACTGCACTCCAGCCTGGACGACAGAGCGAGACTCTGTCACAAAAAAAAAAAAAAAAAAAGAAAGAAAGAAATGTATTTGATAGACTTGTTAGGTAATTGATTTTGTAAATAACTGCAGGTTCTGATTAAGTATGCTTTTTTTTTTTTTTGAGACAGGGTCTCTCGCTCTGTCACCCAGGCTGGAGTATACTGGCTCCATCTCAGCTCACTACAACCTCTGCCTCCCAGGCTCAAGTGATCCTCCCACCCAAGCCTCCTGAGTAGCTGGGACTACAGGTGTGTGCCTCCATGCCCAGCTAATTTTTGTATTTTTTGTAGAGACAAGAGTTTTGCCATGTTGCCTAGGCTGGTCTTGAACTCCTGAGCTCAAGCGATCTGCCTGCCTTAGCTTCCCAAAGTGCTGGGATTACAGGCATGAGCCACCACACCCGGCCTAAGCATGCTTCTTATAAAGATAACCCACCAAATCATTCATAGTGTTTCTGTCTGACATGTTTAATTTAGATAAGCTGAGGTGAAGAGTGAGTATGAGTTTCCTACGGCTGCTATAACAAATTCCTACAAACTGGATGGCCTGAAACAATAGAAATGCATTCTCTCACAGTTCTGGAGGCCAGAACTCTGAAGTCAAATGTCAGCAGAGTTGTGCTCCTTCTGAAGGCTCTAAGGGAGGAAGAATTCTTCCTTGCCCTTTCCTAGCTTCTGGTGGTTGCTGGAAATTCTTGGCATTTCGTGGTTTATAGCTGCATCACTCCAATCTCTGTCTGTCTGCACATGGCTGTCTTCCCTCTGTGTGTGTGTGTCTTTAAATCTCCTTCTCCTTATAAGAACACCAGTCATTGGATTTAGGGCCCACCCTATTCCAGTGTGACCTCACCTTAACTTGATCATGTCTCCAAGGATCCTATTTCCAAATAAAGTCACAGCCACAGGGTTTAGGATTTCAATTCAACACACAACAGAGCAATGCTATAAGGCCTATGGCACAAGAATAAAATTCAGAGGAGATATGCTAGAGAGAGAAAAACACAGAATAAAACACGCTTCAGGAAGAACAATTGGAGGTATGCGTGGTGTGTGGTTATTTCTTTGAAGACAGGCTGCTTCAGTCTGAGAAAGTGCTTCTTGTAAATATACATAGAGAAGCGTAGTGTAAATATGCTTGACTTTAGCCTTGAAAAGAATAATTAGGAAAACAACAAACCCAAATCATCAATATTAACTAAAGGAAATTGTCAGAGAGAGTAAACATTTAAAGCATAATTGCAGCTGAACACGGTGGGGTGTGAGAGGAGAGGTCTCATAACTGGCCACCAGTCACGCAATAACAGGCAATGCACTGCCCCTACCTTAATTTTTGTTTCATTTTGTTCCTGTTTCTGTTTTGCTTCATTATTGATTGATCAGACATCTGGTAAACATTTATCATCAATATTATTGATTGGCATTTCCCTCCACCATTTGCTCAAGTCTCCAAAGTATTGGCTGTGCTATCACGGCACACAAGTTACCTGGGGAGTGCAGTGGAGAGAAAGACCTTGGGTCTGCAGAAGGATATTGTGCCTTCTAAGTATGACTGAGAAGGTGAAGCTAAAACCTGCTGGTCTTGCAGTGTCTCAACTCTCTCACAGTGTTGGGGATTATAGTGGGTGGCTTTAAATGTCAAAGATTATTAACTAATTATAATAACAATACAATATTTATCATCTTTTGAATTGACAGATTTTTCAAATTCACTTATTAGTTCTGGTAGGGTTTTTTTTTTTTTTTTTGGCCCCCCTATATCCCATTTCCATCTACACCTTACCTATTATTTTATTGTGAAGACTTCCTAAGCTTCCTTATGGGGTAGGAGGTGGGACTTTACTACAGGCCACATTGAAGACTGGCTGAAACAGGGAAGAGGTGAAAGCACCTCTCCAGGCCAGGCACAGTGGCTCACTCTTGCAGTCCCAGCACTTTGGGAGGCCAATGTGGGTGGATGGTTTGAGCCAAGGAGTTTGAGATCAGCCTAGACAACATGGTAAAATCTCGTCTCTACAAAATGTACAAAAAATTAGCCAGGTGTGGTGGCACCCGCCTGTAGTCCCAGCTAACCGGGAGGCTGAGGTGTGAGGATTGCTTGAGCTTGGGAGGTGGAGTTTGCAGCGAGCTGAGATAGCACCATTGCTCTCCAGCCTGGGCAACAGAGCCAGACCTTGTCTCAAAAGAATTTTTTTAAAAAAGCACCTCTTCATAAGACATGCCCACCAGTGCCATTGACATGTCAGTTTACCATTGCCATGGTAGCACCCAGAAGTTATCACCCTTTTCCTACAAATTTCTGAACAACTCACCCCTTAATTTGCATGTACTTTAAAGTGGGTATAACTGTGAATGCAGAACTGTCACTGAGCTGCTGCTCTCAGCACACTGCCTGTGGGGTAGCCCTGCTCTGCAGGAGCAGTCATGGAGCTATAACCCTGCCACAGCTTCAATAAAGCTGTCTGCTACCATCGGCTAGCTCTTGAACTTGAATTCCTTCCTGGGCGAAGCCAAGAAACCGCCCTGCATCACTTATGCAAATAAAAACAAACAAACACTATTATATATTCTTATTCCTTCCTTTGTTACACAAAATGTAGCATGTATGTTTTACACACTGACAAATACTGCCAACCTGACCTTAGGGAGGTGTACACCAAATCACATCTTACCATATTTTGCCAAGTGCCTTTTACTTCAAATCCTCACCAAAATATTTAGTATTATTTTTGAAAAATAAAAATCAAACCCAGAAGACACAATAGGTACACTTTTCCATTTGTTCAAATCTTCTGTTATGTCACTCAGAAAACTGCACATTTCTTGGGTTAAACTTGTTCCTAGAAATTTATCTTTTTGGTTACTATTGTAAGTAAGACTTTTTCTATTAATCTATTGATTCCTAAATATTAATTTTGTAATCAGTCACCTGACTAAAGTCTCTTATTATTTATAGTATTATTTATAGTAGTTTTCAAATTGGTTCCTTGGGTTTTCCAGTCGAACAACTGTATCATTACATCACTGTATTTCAGTGCTTGTGTTCAAGTCATCCTTATTTTATGTAATACTGGTCCCAAAGAGCAAAAGTAGTAATACTGATAATTCAGATATGCCAAAGAGATGCCATAAAGTGATTCCTTTAAGTGAAAAGTTGAAAGTTCACAACTTAATAAGAAAGAAAAATTGTATGCTGAGGTTGCTAAGATCTATGATAAGAACAGATCTACATATTGCCAGGTGCAGTGGCTCACACCTATAATGCCAGCACTTTGGGAGGCCAAGGCAGGAGGACTGCTTGAGCCCAGGAGTTTGAGGCCAGTGACCGCAACATAGTGAGACCTTGTCTCTACAAAAAATAAAAAATAAATAAAATATAGCCAGGGATGGTGGTGCATAACTGTAGTCCCAGCTTCTAGGGAGGCTGAGGCAGGAGAATTGCTTGAGCCTGAGTCCAGGCTGGAATGAACCATGCTTGCACCACTACAGTCCAGCCTGGATGACAGAGTGAGACCCTAAAATTAACCATTTTAATGTGAACAATACAGACCAGGTGCAGTGGCTCACACCTGTGATCCCAGCACGCTGGGAGGTCGAGGTGGGCGGATCACTTGAGGTCAGGAGTTCCAGACCAGCCTGGCCAACATGATGAAACCCTGTCTCTACCGAAAATACAGAAATTAGCTGGGCTTGGCGGCAGGCGCCTGTAGTCCCAGCTACTTGTAAGGCTGAGGCAGGAGAATCGCTTGAACCTGGGAGGTGGAGGTTGCTGTGTGCCAAGATTGTGCCACTGCACTCCAGCCTGGGTGACAGAGCGAGACTCTGTCTCAAAAAAAATAAATAAATAATAAATAATGTGAACAATTAAGTGTCATTTAGTACATTCACAATGCTGTGCAGCCACCACCTCTCTCCAGTTCCAAAACACTTCATCATTCCAGAATAAATCCTGCAATCTCTAAGCAGCTACTCCTCATTGCTCCCTACCAATAGCCCCTTGCAACCCCCAAGCTTTCTACGAATTTATCTATTCTGGATATTTCAAATAAATGGACTAATACAATTTTGTGTCTAGCTTCACTTAGCATTATGCTTTGAAGGTTCATCCACACTGTAGCATGTATCAGTACTTCATTCCTTTTTTTTTTTTTTTTTTTTGAGACAGAGTTTTCACTCTGTCATCAGGCTGGAGTACAGTGGCACAATGTCAGCTCACTGCAACCTCTGCCTCCCAGGCTCAAGTGATCCTCCCACCTCAGCCTCCCCAGTAGCTGGGACTATGCGTGTGTGGCACCACACATGGCTAATTTTTGTATTTTTTGTAGAGACAGGTTTTTATCATGTTACCCAGGCTGATCTCGAACTCCTGAGCTCAAGTGATCCACCAGCTTTGGCCTCCCAAAACGCTGGGATTACAGGCATGAGCCACCGTGCCTGACCCCTTCATTCCTTTTTATGGCTGAATAATATTTCACCGCATGCACATACCATAAATTGTTTATCCATTTATCCATTAGTGGACATTTGGGTTATTTCTACATTTTGGCTATTGTGAATAGTTCCATTACGAACATTTGTTTACAAAGATATGAGCATCTATTTTAAATTCTTTTTGGAATATAGTTAGGAGTAGAATTGCTAGGTCAAATTTTATGCTTAACTTTTTAGGGAAATCACAAACTCTAAGAGTTATTTTACTCAAATTAGGGGAGAGCAAATTCAGGCTGAAGGCACAGGGGTAAATGGATACTTCTTTCAAGGGAGATGTTTCAGTGGGGTTTCCTAGGAATCAATGCAAACAATCATATTTACCATTTTTATAAATCTTGGAGAAGGGGTACAAAATTAAGTGAGTGTAGCGATAACATAAGATGAAGCACAGGGCAAAAGGAGACAGCCCTTGGGGAGGTGTCATGAAGCTGTATCATTGGTCAGAACATTAGAACAGTATGAACAAATGTTAGAGAAAAGAGCACCACTACAGTGTGAGAATATGAACACTAAGCTGACACCAATGATAGAGAAAACAGCTCTCAGTCATAATTGATTATTCCCATTAGGAATACCTTTAGTGAATTATTGTACATGACCAGGAAGAATACTAGAGAAAAGAAAGGGACAGTTTTAAAGAAAACTTGCAGTTATAACTCAGGCACACAAAAAAGTGTAACTTTGTTTGTATTCTTTTAACTGATTCCAGCCTTGCTGAGGAGTAACCATTTTTTTCTGTGGCAATAAACACAAATTCTTGCCAACTAAATGTTACTGTGTCATTCTGGAGTACAAACTGGTCTCTCCAGGTTCCCCAGACTCTTGGCGTGTTTATCCTAGTGTGCCATTTTTTATGGAAATAACCACAGACAACGGATTTGCCTGCTCTATCAGCTAGTTTAGACCAAAATGACTGCAAATGTCTCTAATTCCTCTTTGTTAAAGGATGTATTAGACAAAGGGACTCAAGATTAAAAAAATATGAGACATGAGAGTCTTTCAGCCATTTTAAATATGGACCACTATGAACAGGAAGAGGCTCTTCCATGTTGTCTCTGGCTCTCTAGCCCCTTTTTAAGTGTTGGAAGGTAGAGATCCAAACACAGAGGGTGAAAGCCTTTGAAACACCAGTGTCAGGCTGGGCAAGGTGGCTTGTATCTGTACTCCTAATGTTTGAGGCCAGGAGCTTGAGACCACCCTGGGCAACATAGGGAGATCCTGTCTCTACAAAAAATACAAACGTTAGCTAAGTGTGGTGGCACATGCCTGTAGTCCCCAGCTACTTGAGAGGCTGAGGCTGGAGGATTGCTTGAGCCCAGGAGTTTGAGATTGCAGTGAGCTATAATTGTGCCACCGGACTCTAGCCTGGGTGACAAAGTGAGACCTTGTCTCCAAAAAAAAAAAAAAAAAAAAAAAAAGTAAAAGAAAGAAAAGAAACACCAATGCCAAATATTTCTAAAATTCATATGGAACCAAGAAAGAGCCTGCATAGCCGAAGCAAGACTAAGCAAAAAGAACAAATCTGGAGGCATCATACCACCTGATTTCAAACTATACTGTAAGGCCATAGTCACCAAAACAGCATGGTACTGGTATTAAAATAGGCATACAGGCCAATGGAACCGAATTGAGAACCTATAAATAAACCCAAATACTTACAGCCAACTGATCTTTGACAAAACAAACAAAAATGGGGAAAGGACACCCTTTTCAACAAATGGTGCTGGGATAATTGGCTAGCCACATGTAGGAGAATGAAACTGGATCCTCATCTCTCACCTTACACAAAAATCAACTCAAGATGGATTAAAGACTTAAATCTAAGACCTGAAACTGTAAAAATTCTAGAAGATAATAGTGGAAAAACCCCTCTAGACATTGGCTCAGGCAAGGACTGCATGATCAAGAACCCAAAAGCAAATGCAATAAAAACAAATATAAATAGTTCAGACTTAATTAAACTAAAGAGTTTTGCACGGCAAAAGGAACAGTCAGCAGTGTAAAAAGACAACCCACAGAGCGGGAGAAAACCTTCACAATCTATACATCTGACAAAGGACTAATATCCAGAATGTACAACAAGCTCAAACAAATTAACAAGAAAAAAACAAACAAGCCCATCAAAAAGTGGGCTAAGGACATGAATAGACAATTCTCAAAAGAAGATATACAAATGGCCAATGAACATCTGAAAAAATGCTCAGCATCACTAATGATCAGCGAAATGCAAATCAGAACCACAATGTGATACCATCTTACTCCTGCAAGAATGGCCATAATCAAAAAATAAAAAAAAAACAGTAGATGTTGGCATGGATGCAGTGATCAGGGAACACTTCTACACTGCTGATGGGAATGTAAACTAGTACAGTCACTATGGAAAACAGTGTGGAGATTCCTTAAATAACTAAAAGTAGAGCTACCATTTGATTGAGCAATCCCACTACTGGGTATCTACCCAGAGGAAAAGAAGTCATTATATGAAAAAGATACTTGCACGCACATGTTTATAGCAGCACAATTCACAATTGCAAAATTGTGGAACCAACCCAAATGCCCATCAATCAATGAGTGGATAAAGAAATTGTGGTATATATATGATGGACTACTACTCAGCCATAAAAAGGAATGAATTAACAGCATTTGCAGTGACCTGGATGAGACTGGAGACTATTATTCTAAGTGAAGTAACTCAGGAATGGAAAATCAAACATTGTATCTTCTTACTGATATGTGGGAGCTAAGCTATGAGGATGCAAAGGTATAAGAATGATACAATGGACTGTGGGGACTTGGGGGGAAGAGCGGGAGGGAGGCAAAGGATAAAAGACTACAAATATGGTGCAGTGTATCGTTCTTGGGTGATGGGTGCACCAAAATCTCACCAATCACCACTAAAGAACTTACTCATGTAATCAAATACCACCTGTACCCCAATAACTTACGGAAAAACTAAAAATTTAAAAAATCCATTCTTTTGGCTTATGCTTACATTTTCCTCTATCATCATTGAGAATATATTATCACAATTTCATGTTTTTATTTAATACTTTTTTTCTGATAAAATGTTGTCATAATTATTTGCTAGATTAGGGCAAAAATGTTTCTGATATAATTATAGTGGCCATGTAAATGTAATAGGATGATGTTCTCTTCTCAAACCTCCTTAAACCATAACAAATGGGAGAGTCCAGCTATTTTACCTTTCTAATAGTAACTTATACAAAATTCATTATCTTTTGCTCATTTTACAGTGACAGGTCACTAAATATTGTGCCAGATAAAGAGGATTAAAAAAAAAGATAGGTTTGTGACCTGGAATACTTACAGTCAGGGAGAGGGACTGGACACAGTCAATAAGCACATAATTACAGTTTTATATGTGAAGATATGATAGACACAGCTCTGAAAACATACTTACACAGTGTTATAAAAGCAGAGAAGAGGGCATGTAACCCAGAACTGGGTATGGGGTGGGGACAGAGGACTCAGGTAATGCATCGTAGAGAAAGTGATGTTGGAATTGAGTTTTGAAGAATACATTGTAGGGCACCAAGTGAAGAAATGGTGAAAGACATTTTAGGCATAGGACTGAGTTGAGCAATGGCAGAGAGGCATAATAATAAAGCATGATCGTAGAATTTCAGAACATTCAGCAACATGCAGCACAGAACATGTGTTGGAAGAGGCACAAGAGGAGGATGGAGAAGTCTTTTTCAATATGTAGCTTTAAATCATTTTTTTTTAAATCAGAAAGCTTTTGTTGAATTATAGTTTTTAGTATTTGTTATAATCTCTGATTTTTTTTAAACCCTGGGACTCTCATTACATATATGTTGGCTCCTCTTTATTTTCAAGAGGAGGTATCTTCAATATTGGCTATTTTCTCTCAAATCCTTTTTTATCTTTTTTTTTATTTGCAAATCTTCTTTCTTTTCACCTTAAGGCATCATGTGTTGTGTTTATTCTACTTGTCTTTCTTTTAATTTGGTTTTCATTTATGAAACGATCTTTTATTTCTAATTATTTTCTGAATTTTGTCACCCATGCTGTTTTTCTAATTCTGATTTAGGGTTTTTTTCAACCCATGTATTATTTTATTTGAATGTCTTTTAGCTTGTTTTAAAGTAACAAGTTACAGTTTTGATCTATTGTATAGGCTCATCCTGGCGTGTGTTCATTAGTTGTAGGCATGTTATTCTACATATTATTCCATTTTGATTATAATAATTTTGTATCGGATCGATCTGGATACTTTCTGTTGCATTTTTTTCTTTTTTTGAGACAGAGTCTTGTTCTGTCACCCAGGCTCCCAGACTGAAATGTAGTGGCAAGATCATGGCTCAATGTAGTCTGAAACTCCTGGCCTCAAGCAATCCTCCCACCTAGGCCTCCTAAGTAGTTGGGGCTACAGGTGCACGCAACCACGCCCAGCTGATTTTTTTTTTTCTTTGGTAGAGACACCGCCTTGCTATGTTGCCCAGGCTGGTCTTGAACTCCTGGCCTCAGGTGATTTTCCTGCCTCGGCCTCCCAAAGCACTGAGATTATAGGCGTGGGCCACTGCACCCAGCCTCTGCTGCTCATTTTTATCTGAGATTTGTTTCTCTGAACTTTTAGAAGGCAGTATAGTTCAGATGAGGTTTTCCAACCTCACAGAGTTCTTTCTTCTGTTTTTGTGTACTGTTCAAACAAATGGCAGCTTACCTTCTGGGATTTCCTGGCTGTATCTCCCTGACCCTCCAAATTTTGTTTTGCCCTTCCTTGTTTCCTTTGGTCCTGATATTGTCCCTGTCCTGCTCAGTTTCTCTTCAATGTGGAAGTCCTGGGAGGTCAGTCTCATGAGAATAAGGTGCTGTACTTTCACAGCCTTCTCAGACTTTTCTGAGGATGGCCTTACACTTGCCAGCTAGTGGAGTGAGCAGAACTCCTCCTGGTTTCTGTGGCTGTTCTCAGAATGCCCTAGTTCACTTTCCAGTAATACTTTTTTGGGAACATTTTGTGTTTCTCATTTTCTCAGGTCCCCCAGGCACACCATCTTTCCTCTGCTTCCTCTCACACAGGTGCTGATACTGTGTAGGTTTGGGGCTGTTGTTCTGGCCCACTCCCTGATATTTTCTGGGTTTGTCACCTAGTTTTCTTAAAAGTATCATCTACATGGTTTTGGTTTCACTATCTATTCTGTCTTTATTTGAACACTAGGGGAAATTCATTATGCCAATCTCACACATTGTGTGATTCCATTTATATAACCTTCTTGAAATGACAAAACTATAGAGATGAAAATCAGATTAGTGTTGCTAGGGCTTAGGGATGTTGAGCAGGGCAGTAATGAGGAAGAGCGTTATGGTGATAGAATAGTTCTGTATGTTGAGTGCAGTGGTGGTTATATGAATCTATACATGTGATAAAATGGTGCACACCATTTTATTTTTTACCAATGTCAAATTCCTGGTTTTGACACTGTACTGTAAGTATGTAAGATGTAACCACTGGGGGAAACTGGATGAAGGGTACACCAGACCTCTCTGTACTATCTTTGCAATTTTCTGTGAATCTATAATTATTTCAAAATTTAAAAAATGTTTAAAACGGGAATGAAGTATTGATACATGCAATAACATGGATGAGCCTTGAAAACAGTATGCTACATGAGAGAAGCCAGGCACAAAAGACCACATATTGTATGATGCAGCTTACATGAAATCAGAATAGGCAGATCTAGAGACAGAAAGCAGATTAGAGATTGCCTAGAATGGGAGATGGAGTCAGGGAGAGGGCAGAGTAGGAAGTGAGTGCTAATGGGGATGAGGCCTTTTCTAAAATTCTAAAATTAGATAGTCAGGTTGATTGCTCAACTCTGTGATGCTAAAAAGTCACTGAACTGTATATTTTAAATGGGTGGATTTTGTGGTATGTAAGTTATATAACAACTCAATAAAGTTGCTTTAAACCATTAAAAATAGTACCCGGATGTAATGGCTCACCTCTATAATCCTAGCACTTTGGGAAGCCAAGGAGGGAGGACTGCTTGAGCCCAGGAATTGGAGACCGCTTTGGGCAACATAGTGAGACCCTGTCTTTATAAAAAATAATTTTTTTAATTAGCCAGGCATGGTGGTGCATGTAGTCCCAGCTATTCAGGAGGCTGAGGCAGAGGATCACTTGAGCCTAGGTGTCCAGGCTGCAGTGAGTCATAATCGCACCACTGCAATCCAGCCTAGGCAACAGAGTGATACCCTGTCCCAAAAAGTTTTTTGTAATACTGTCCATACCAAGTATTGGTGAGGATGTAGAAAAGTTAGAACTCTCATGCACTGTTGATGGGAATGTAAAAATGGTAAAACTGCTTTGGAAAACAATTTGGAAGTTTCTTAAAGAAAAAAAAAATTGAGCATAAACCTGCCATATGATTCAGCCATTCCACTGCTAGGAATTTATCCAAGAGAAAGGAAACATATGCCCATAAAGACTTGTTCTCAAACATTCATAGCAGCTTTATTTGTAATGGTCAAAAAATGAAAACAATCAAAATGTGCATCCACAGGTGAATGCATAAACTGTGGTATAACCGTACAATGGAATACTACTAAGCGATGAAAAGGAATTAACTACTGACACATGTCATGATATGGATGAATCTCAAAGTAATTATACTCAGTGAAATAAGCCAGACAAAATAGTAATACTATATCATTTCATTTGAATATCATTGGTTACCAGGCAGGGAGGCAGAGGAATAAAAAAAAAAAAGGAATTACAAACTTTTGGAGCAAGCTTTTGGAGGTGACTGTATGTTCATAATCTTGATTGTGATGGTTTCATGGGTATATACATATGTCAAAGCTTATAAATTATATACTTTAAACATGTGCAGATGATTTTATACCAAGTATACCTCAATAAAGCTGCTTTAAAAAAACTATGCTACCATCATCTTCCTAAAATCAGCAATCATGTTTTTAATTATCAAGAATTATTTCTTGTTCTTTGTTAGTTTCACAATATTATAATTCTTTTTTAAATTAAAAAAAGCTGTATCTTTGAGAATATGAATTATTTGTTGTTTCTAACCTATTTCCTGAATTGTCTCTGGTGTCAGATTTTTTTCTTTCTTTTTTTTTTTAATTTTGATTTTCCAGTTGTATGCTATAGACCTTTCTCAATGTCTGGTGATCTTTGGCTTTCTACTCATATTGTGAAAATAGAAAAGAAGACATCTCACTGAGGACCCTGTACATGGGAGGCCTATATTGCTTTGGGTAAAGTGCAGGAATCTTACTTTACAATGAAGTTCTCAAATTCCAGAATGAGGAGGGCTTTAGGTGAGGTGCCGACATCACACTAGCTGCCTCCAGACTTTGTGTTCTATTCTTTTTAGAAAAATATTCTGTGCTGTCTGTGCTAGGACTTGGGTAGAAGGGGCTGTTATTTCAACTACCCTCCTGTGTTTAGCCTCAACATTCACTTCCACTTTCATTACCCACTGAAGAAGTCTCTCTCTCCTCCCTTATCTGATGAAGCTGTCTCTCCCTTGTTCGAAAACATATCTATCCCCTTTCCTTGTAAGAGGAAGACAATCCTCTCTAACTAAAGACAAATCCCAGTAAGCTTTTAGAGATATAAGTTCAAGTCAAACCTAGGAAAAGCTTTACACACAAAAATAAATATAGGGATATTGCCCATTTATAGCAGAACTGGATTCTGTGTCTGCCCACCAAATGAGGAGGAACATAGTTTTAGTTTGGGACTGAATTTACTGATGCGGATGTCCTTATGATTTTGGACTCATTATACTAGCAGCAGGGAATAGTTCTAACAATTTGCTCAGCTGGTTAACCAAAACCCAGAACCACCTGGTGTTCACTTGACAATGGAACACACTAAGTTGAGGTGCCAGAAGTTTCTTGAAATAATGCAGAAGTACATAGGAAGCTCCTTCCCTTAGCATTTATGAGCCCGTGGATCCAATGGTGTTCCATAAATGAGTGGCAATTGTGAATGCGATAGGAAATCTGTGACAGTCCTCAATAGGAATTGCAGTGGAGGCCCCTAAAGTAATGGAGCAAAGCCGCTGCCTCATAAGCAAGTGATTATTTTCATTTTGGAAAACTGCTCTAGCCTTGCTCTGGGGATCTGGGGGAGTCCAAGTGCTAAGATCAAAACTGCCCACTGTGAGTTGTCTCAGCTACCTAGCTATGAAGTTGGGCATTCTATGCAACATTTTAACATGAGCTATAAGAGGTATAAAATACAGAATGAGGCTCCAGCCATAGCTGAAGATACAATAAGCTGTCTGAATATAAGTAACACATGCTCCCACCATGCCTAGTCTGGCAGCTTGCCTTAGAGAATAGCAGAATGCCCTGCTGAAGAGCCAGCTGTGCCTCCAATTGGGACAACACCTCATGAGGTTGGGGCACTGGCATGCAGGATATATTATATGTTCTGAATCATGAACCAATGTATGCGTATGTGTGGCTTCTCCTGTAATTAGAATGTACAGGTATGGAAACAATGGGGTGGAAATGGGATAGTATCTTTCATGATTAAGTCTAATGTGTTTGTTACTCATCAAATTATTGCTTCTCCTCTCCATGACTTGGGGCTCTGCTGACTTGGCATTTGGGGATCCAAGAGATAACTGCTTCTATAAGAAGACAAAACAATGTTTCCACTGCTGGTCATTTTGGGCTCTTATACCACAGGCAAAAAAAAAAATAAAGAAGGTCATGATGTTGACTGGGATGACTGGTCCTGAATAATCTTGATCATCATGGGAAAGAAGGCTGCTGCTTCAAAGTGGGGATGTGGAAATCTTAAAAATTTTGATATAGAGTCTCACTCTCTCACCCAGGCTGGAGTGCAGTGGCACTATCATGGCTCACTATAGCCTTGACCTCGGGATAGGAAAATCTTAATAGAACTCAGGTCTGCTATTCTGGAGCAGGTCTTAAACAACCATATCCAACGGAAAAAGTTAATGGAAGACTGCTATATCCCTGAAGACAGATTTACCAAGGAAGTAATTCTTATGAGGTGAGTTTGGTAAGAAACTCCAACTTACTGAGTTCTTTTGTGAAGGCAAAGGGAACATGACACAAATTACAGAGAGGAAAATTTATACATGTCAACCACAGCCCCATAAGCAATTACAGAATAGGGACTGTCACCTCTACCCATATTTCTTTCCTCGTTGGGTATATATTTATACATTTTAATGAATTTTAAAATTCCTCATCCCCACTTGTACCATTTATATTTGGTGTGCAAAAGTGGTTAATTATACAATTTCTTTTTTTCTTTTTAAAAATATCAGGTTTACTGAGGCCTAATTTTCTTTTTTAACAGGGTCTCACTCTGTTGCCCAGGCTGGAGTGCAGTGGTGCAATCTTGGCTCACTGCAACATCTGCCTCCTGGGTTCAAGCGATTCTTGTGCCTCAGTCTCCCAAGTAGCTCGGATTACCAGTGCCTGCCACCACGCCTGGCTATTTTTGTATTTTTAGTAGAAACGGAGTTTCACCATGTTGGCCAGGCTGGTCTTGAACTGACCTCAGGTGATCAGCCTCACAAAGTGCTGGGATTACAGGCATGAGCCACCGCACCTGGCCAAATTTTTTTCAAATATTTTAAATCAGCAATTGATTGAATCTGAAGATTCAGAACCTCAGAGGGAAACTATGTTGTTCAGAAGACTTACAGATTTGATTAGCTCAAGACATTTTAAAGTATGCATGGTGAAATTTTAATGGTAACCACGAAATAATAAAATTAGAATGTATAATTTCCAAACCAATAGAGAGAAGATATATGCAAAAGAAAGAAAAGAAAGGAAGAATGGGGGGGAAGGAGGGAGGGAGGGAGGGAGGGAGGGAGGGAGAGAGGGAAGGAAGGAAGGAAAGAAAGATTGGCAAAAATCTAAAATGAGACAAGAAATGTGTATATGCGTGTGGTGGGGGGAATATAATGAAAAGGGGACAAAGCACAAAGCAAGGTGATGGAAATAAGGCCAAATATATCATAATTACAATAAAGTTAATGACCTAAAAGTGCCATTTAGGACAGAGATACTTAAATTTGAAATAAAAACAAAGTCCATTAATATACTGTACAATAGGCTCACTTAAAACATAAGTCAACAGGTTGAAAGCAAAAAGATGAAAAAGACTAATCCAGACAAATACTAACAAAAGAAAGCTGAGGTAGTTATATTAATATTAGAGAAAATGGATTTTAAGACAAAAACATTATTAGGAAGGAAGAAGTTTGTTATATAATTTTAAAAATAGGGGGTTATAAGTACACAAAAAAATTGGTTAAAAAAATAAAAAAGATTTGAATAACACAATTAATTTGTTTTGTTTTATTTTTGGAGGTAGGGTCTCACTCTGTCGCCTAGGCTGGAGTGCCATGGTGCGATCTCGGCTCACTGCAATCTCTACCTCCTGGGTTCCAGTGATTCTTCCACCTCAGCCTCCCCAGTAGCTGGACTACAGGCATGTGCCACCATGCTTAGCTAATTTTTATATTTTTTGGTAGAGACAGGGTTTCACTATGTTGGCCAGGCTGGCAGGATTAGTTTTTGATCACACAATAGAACACAATAGAACATCTAAAAATTAGGGAATATTCATTCTTTTCAAGCACATGTGGAACATTTATAAAAATTAAATACTAGTCCATAAAGTGTCAGCAAATTTCAAATAACTGCTATAATAATAGCATTCTCTGACTACACTAGAATTAAATGAGATGTTAATAATCAAGAAAAAGGCTGTCTGTGCTGGCTCACACCTGTAATCCCAGCACTTTGGGAGGCTGAGGTGGGCGAATCACCTGAGGTCAGGAGTTCAAGACCAGCCTTGCCAACATGGTGAAACCCTGTCTCTACTAAAAATACAAAAATTAGCCAGGCGTGGTGGCAAGTGCCTGTAATCCCAGCTACGTGGGAGGCTGAGACATGAGAATTACTTGAACCTGGGAGGCGGAGGTTGCAGTGAGCCGAGATCGTGCCACTGCACTCCAGCCTGGGCAACACAGCGAGACTCCATAGGAAAGAAAGAAAAGAAAGAAAAGAAAGAAAGAAAGAAGGAAAGAAAGAAGGAAGGAAGGAAGGGAGGAAGGGAAAGAAGAAAGAAAGAAAGAAAGGAAGGAAGGAAAGAAAAGAAAGGAACTCTCCATGTATTTATAAATTTAAAAACACACTTCTAAAAATGTCAATACTCCCCAGATTGATATATAAGTTAAATAAAATTTCTACTAAAATCTCAGCAAGGTTTTATGTAGAATACACAAAATTAGTCCCCAAATTTATGTGAAAAGACAAATAGAATAGCCAAAATAATTTGGAAAAAAGAATAAAGTGGGGGAACCAGTCTTCCCAATTTCAAGATTTTTATAGAGCTACACTAATCATGACTGTGTGGTATTGGCAGAGGGAGAGATACAGATCAATATAACAGGATAGAGAACTCAGAAATAGACCTACACAAAAATGTCTAACTGATTTTTGACAAAGGTGCAAAAGCAATTCAATGACGAAAAGATAGCCTTTTCAACATACGGCACTGGAGTAATTGAAGATCCATATGCAAAACAAACAAACAAAAACACATGAACTTTGAAGTAAGTCTCATACTTTCTACAAATATTAACTCAAAATAGATCACAGACTTAAGTGTAAAGAACAAGACTATAAAACTTTTAGGAAAAAAAATAGGAGAAAATATTTGAGACCTAGCACTAGCAACAATTTCTTAGACTTGACACCAAAACATAATTCATAAAAGGAGAGATTGATAAATTGGACTCTATAAAAAATTAAAAAACTGTTGCTTTCTCAGAAACCCTGTTGACAAGATAAAAAGAAAGGCTAAAAACTGAAGAAAACCACATATCCAACAAAGGATTAGTATCCAGAATATACTCTCAAAAGAACCCTCAAAACTCAACAGTAAAAAATAATCCAATTAGATGCCAAATGAGCACATATAAAGATGTTTAATATCATTAGCCATTAGGGAAATGCAAATTAAAGCCACAATAAAATATTAGCATATACTCTCTCTAGTTAAAATAAAAAATTTTGACAACATCAAATGCTGGCAAGTATGCAGAGAAACCAAATCATTCATATATTGCTGGTGGGAATGTAAAATAGTAGAGCTGAATTGAAAAACAGATTGGCAGTTTCTTAAAAAAAAACAAACTAAATGAAGTATGACTCAACAATTACACTTCTAGGCATCTATCTCAGAGAAAGACAGACTTATATTCATATAATAACCTGTATATGAATATTCACAGCAGCTTTATCCATAAATCCTTAAACTAGAAACAACTCAGATGTTCTTCAGTGGGTGAATAAAGAGTGGTACATCCATATTATGGATTATTCCTTAGCAATAATAACAAATTATTGATAAAGGCAATGATCTGGATAAACCCCCAGGGAATCATGCTGAGTGAAAAAAATCCCAAAAGGCTATATACTGCATGGTTCCATTTATACAATTCTTGAGATAACAAAATTATAGAAATAGAGAACAGATTAGTGGTTGCCAGGGCCTAAGACAGTAATAGGAAGGAAATGCACGTGGCTGTAAAAGAACAACACAAGAGATCCTTGTGGTGATGGAATTGTTCTGTATCTTGACTGTATTAATGTCAATATGATTGGAACTGCATTCAGAATGGTGGAGTAAAAATCGCCAAAAATTGATTTCTTCAGAAAAGCAATGAGAGCACTGGCAAAAAATTGTTAAAATCAACATTTTTAGAACTCTGAAAATTAACCAAAGGCTCACAAAAGTCTGAGGAGCATTTTCACACACACACACACACACACACACACACACACATGGCTAAATCTCATAAGAAGAGCAAGACTGGTGGCATTTTAACTTGTCCTATTGCCATCCCTCTTTCTGTAGTTCCATAGTAGCCTTGGAAACCAACAACCTTCAATCATGGTAACCCTGAAAACCAGCAACCTAGCAGTCACTGAAGCAGGCAGAATGGGCTTGGAGTTCCCCTAAATGCTCATCTTCCATTAGTTATTCTTTGACTTGTCTGGCAGTTTCCTGGAAACCACAGGGGCTCTCAGGGTTGGTCTTTATTGGAACTGACTCAGGGTTCATTTACTGTGAACAGCCTTTTCTTTGGAGTATTTATGGAAAACAATTAGTGGCAATTGTTTAACATCTCAGGTGCCTGAGGTGATAACATTTGGGGGAAAAAAAGATTATAAGGAAAAACTGAGGAATAAGATTTTTTTTTTGACATGGAGTCTTGCTCTGTTGCCCAGGCTGGAGTGCAGTGGCACGACCCTGGCTCACTGCAAACCTCTGCCTCCTGGGTTCAAGTGATTCTCCTGCCTCAGCCTCCTGAGTAGCTATGATTACAGGCATGTAGCACCATGCCCGGCTAATTACTGTATTTTTAGTAGAGATGGGGTTTCACCATGTTGACCAGGCTGGTCTCGAACTCCTGGCCTCAAATTATCCGCCCACCTCGGCTTCCCAAAGTGCTGAGATTACAAGCATGAGCCACCTTGCCCAGCTGGATTAAGAAGTTTATAAGTGTGTTTGGAAAGCTTAATCAGATTTCCCGGAAATGTAGATGACCACATGCATGTACAGGTGACCACATGCATGTACAGGCTGTATCCCTGCCCAGAACTATGTGCGTACCCAGGAAAGGTTTGAGAAGACCTTAATCTCTAACCACTGGCAGACCTTGAGGTTCTGCACAAGCAGAAAGTAAAGACTAAAGCAGAGTTGTCTAGTGTGTGGTACAGCTTTATGGATATGTCCCAACACACACACACAGACCTTTGGCAAAGGCTGGGAGACTTATCAATTCAAAGCATTTAAGAAAATATCTGTCCATTTATTACCTGATCACTAAGCTAAGAAAGCAGAGGCTATAGTGGCCAAACGTTACAAAGAATACAGACTTTACAGAATTAATTTAGGAAAGTAACTAGACAAACAGGAGCAACAGCAATTGCAAGAATAAATTCTGGGGAAGAGGGGGAATCTGATTTCCAGAGTTGCCACATTTTATTATTTAAAACATCTAGTTTTCAATAAAAGTGTATAAGATATGCAGAGAAACAGGAAAAATAACCTATACACCGTGGGGGCTGGGTGGGGGGAAGCAATGAATAGAAACTGTCAGGAAGCCCTGATGTTGGATTTACTAGACAAAGACTTTAAATAGGATAGTATAAATGTGTTCAAACAATTAAAGAAAACTATATCTAGAGAACTAAAGAAGAGCATGAGAATAATGTCTCACTAGAAAATATTGATACAAAGATACAATTATAAATGAGGACCAAACAGAAATTCCAGAGTTGAAAAGTACAATAACTGAAATGAAAAATTCACTAGAGGAGCTCAATAGTAGATTCAAGCTAGCAGAAAGAAATATCAGCAAACTGGAAGAAAGGTCAATTGAGATGCCCCAATATGAAAAACAGAGAGAAAAAGAATAAAGAAAATGAAGAGTTTCAGAGATCTGTGAAACACCATGAAGTGTACTATCATACATATAAAATAAATCAAAGAAGCAGAGGGGAGAGACCTAAAAAGAATACTGGAAGAAAAAAAGGCCAAAACTCCCCAAATTTGTGAAAAACATTAATCTACACATTTTAGAAGCTCAGCAGACTCAAAATACGAGAAACTCAAAAAGATTTGCACCTAGACACATTATAATCAAATTGTTGAAAGCGAAGGACAAACAGAATCTTGAAAGCAGTGAGAGAGAAGTAATTCATCACATATAAGGGATCCTCGGTAAAACTAACAGCTGATTTCTCATTAATGTCAGTATCTTGATTGTGATATTTTCTATAGTTTTACAAATAGGAGAAATTTTACAAATTGGGAGGAAACTGGGTAAAGTGTACACAGGATCTCTTTCTATTATTTCTTACAGCTGCATGTGAATCTATAATTATCTCAAAATTTAATTAAACATACTCCTGAAACAATACTTCAATCCAAGATGAAATTGTAATAAAAGTGTAAAAAATATTTAGAAATGAACAATAATAAAAATACTGTGTATCAAGACTTGGGAAACAAAATAGTAGTGGTAATTCAAGGTAAACTTATATAGTCTTGTATGCTTATATTAGAAATTAAAACCTGAAAATGACATAATTAAGCACCCAACCGATGACAGTAGAAAATAAAGAATGAACTCAAAGAAAGTAAAAGGAAGCACATAAAAATTATTAAAGCAACAATCAAGAAAATACAATAGCCACGCACAGTAGTGTGTACCTGTAGTCCTGACTACTTGGGAGGCTGAGGTGAGAGGACCATTGGAGCCCAGAAATTTGAGTCCAGTCTGGATAACACAGTGAGATACCACCTATAAAAACAAAATAAAATGAGATATTTTTAAAAAGTATTTTAAAAAGTACAATAGAGGGGATCAACAAATTCAAAGCTTGTTACATAGGGAAGAAACTAATAAAATTGACAAACTACAGGGGGCAGGGGGAGGGGAGAAGAGAGAGGGAGAAAAAATATTAGTAATGCAAAGGGGGACATAACTACAGAAGGATCAGAGATGAAAAAAAAAGTTTTTTAAAACTTAGATGAACAAAATCCTAGGAAAACATACTTCAAGAAGAAATAAGTCCTATGACCAGTAAAGAAATTGAAGTTAATAAAAATCTTCTTACAATGAAGCCATCAGGATTAAATAATTTATATGATCTGAATGTCCCCTAAAACTCATATTGTTTCAAGTTGAAGCAGTCTCACCAATATAATAGTATTAAGAGGTAGGTAATTCTTCTGTGTCAAAACAGGGGGGATAATAAAACAAAGAGGTAACCCCTTTAGGTAATGATTAATTCATGAAGTGGAGTCCTCATGAATGGGATTAGTGACTTTATAAAAGGGCCCAAAGAACTAGTCAGTTCCTTTTGCCCTTTCATCTCTTCTGCCATGTGAGGACATAGTGTTCATCCCCTGAAAGAGGCAGCAACAAGGCGCTAACTTGAAAGCAGAAACTAGGTCCTCACCAGGCACCAAACCTGCTGGCACCTTGATCTTGGACTTTCCAGCCCCCAGAACTGTGAGAAAATAAATTTCATTTCTTCATAAATTACCCAGTGTCAGGTATTTTGTTACAGCAGCAGAAACACAGTAAGATAGTGAGTTCTACCAACTTTTCAATAAACAGCTTATTCCAATGTTATACAAACTCTTATAGAAAATAGAAAAAGAGAAAATATTCTCGACTCATTTATGAGGTAAATAAAACTTGATTCCCTAAACAATCTAATTATAGACAATCTCACTTTGGAGCCTATATGTAAAAATATTAAAGTATTAGCAAACCAAATCAGTGAGATATTTTAAAAAGGTAATAAATAATGAGAAAGTCAGGCTAATCCAGGGATGCAAGAATGGTTTAATACATATATTTTTTGTAAGCAGAATTTTCCATTGCTAAGAGAATGGTTTAATATTAGGGAAACAATTATTCACATTAAAGATTAAAGGGGTACTTGGTATGGAAAAAAACAAACTCAGTTTCTCCTACTATACCCTCACAACACAGAACACTTCCGTGACTCCAGATGTGTGGGGGTTTATACCCACACATCAAGCAAGCAATCAGTTCTGCAGCAGATAACATCTGAGTGTCTTTTAGTTCTATTTGATTCTGACACTATCCACCCGGAGTTCTCTACCCATAGGTTGAGAGATCAGTCCCACAAGACTCCTCTCCACTTTGGATGCAAGTTGCAAGCATAGATTGTGCTTACATTGTGCAACCTGAGTTTCTGACCAATTGGCTATAAATTGAGGATTCCCATGACTCCCTCCTTGGGTTTGATTAATTTGCTAGAACAGCTCACTCAGCTCAGGGAAACACTTTACTTACATTCATCCATTTATTATAAAAGATATTACAAAGGATATAGATAACAGCCAAATGGAAGAGATGCATAGGGTGAGGTATGAGAGAAGGGGCATGAAGCTTCCATGCTCTCTCCAGGCCTGCCACTTTCCAGGAATCTCTACATGTTCAGCTATCTGGAAGTTCTCTAAACCCAGTCCTTTTGGGTTTTTATGGAAGCTTCATTACATATGCATGACTGATTAAATCATTAGCCATTGGTGATCAACTTGAGTTTCAGCTTCTCTCCCCTCCTTGGATGTTGGGAGGTGGGGCTAAATATCCCAACTCTCTAATAATGCCTTGGTCTTTCCTGTGACCAGCCCCCATCCTGAAGCTACCTATGAGCTGCCAGCCACTAGTCATCTCACTAGCATACAAAACATCCCCTTATCAATTATCATTATCACCCCCTTATCATGAAATCCCCTTCAGGGATTTCAAGGGTTTTAGGGACTGTATGTCAGGAAACAAGAATAAAGACCAAATATATACTTCACGATATCACAAGGAGAAAACCAATTATTATCTCAATAGATGCAGAGAAAGCATTTGATAAAATTCAACATCTGTGATGATAAAACAATTAAAAGTAGAAATGATTTTCCTTAATTTATTAAAGAGTATCTAACATACCTTTATAGAAAACATCATTCTTGATAGGGAAATGTCAGAAGCATTCCTCTTAACTATGTAACCAGGGCTGGGCATGGTGGGAGGCTGAGGCAGGAGGACTGCTTGAGCCCAGGAGTTCAAAATCAGACTGGGCAACATAGTGAGACCCTGTCTCTACAAAAAATACACAAATTTAGGCAGGTGTGGTGGCATGCACCTGTAGTCCCAGCTACTCAGGAGGCTGAGGTGGGAGGATTGCTTGAGCCCAGGAGGTCAAGGCTGCAATGAGCTGTGATCACACTAGCGCACTCCAGCCTGGGTGGCAGAGCAAGACCCTGTCTCAAATAAATAAATTAATTAAATAAATAACAAGATAAGGATTTATACTATCACTTTTTCTATCCAATATTGTGCTGAAAGTTGGGGTGAGGGGAGAGGGGAAGAGAGAGAGAGAGAAAGAGAAAGAGAGAGAGAGAGAGAGAGAGAAATGATACCATATACATCCAGTGGACCCCAGGCTCTGGCTTGTCCCTTTAGACCCAGGCACCAGGCCTGCCTGCCCACTGATTCAGACACTAGGCCATGCTGTCCAGGGACTCCAGCAATAAGCCTTCTCGTAGACCCCACCAGCTGGCCTGCCCAGAATCTCTGGACAAGCTGACTGGTGAAGGGCTTTCCCTGCTGAAGCCAGCGTGCAAAGACTGAAAGAGATGCCTACTTCTTCAAACGCACAGACATCAACACAAGGCAATGAGGATCACGAATAATCAGGAAAACATGACACCACCACTAAAGGAACAAAATAAAGCACCAGTAACTAACTCTAAAGAAACAGAGATCTATGAACTGCCTGACAAGAAATTAAAAATAGTAAATTTTAAAGAAGATCAGTGAGCTACAAGAGAACACAGACAACTAAGCAAAATCAGGAAAACAAGACATAAAGAAAATGAGTGAGATGTTCAACAGAGATAGAAACCATAAAAAGAACCAAACAAATTCTGGAGCTGAAAAACACAACACTGAACTGAAAAATTCCACATACAAATTTCAATAGCAGTTTCCATCAAACAGAAGAAAAAAATCTGTGAGTTCAAAAACAGGACATTTGAAATTACTAAGCCAGGGAAACAAAAAGAAAAAAGAATGGAAAAGAATGAAGAAAGCCCATGGGACTTGTGGGATACTGTCCAGTGAACCAATGTATGTATTATGGGATTCCCAGAAGAAGAGAAAGATAAAGGGACAGAAATAATATTTAAAGAAATAACGAGAGAGAGCTTCCCAAATCTGGAGAAGGAATGAACATCCAGGTCCATTAATTCCCCCAAAAACCCAGATAGTTAAACACAAAGAGATTTTTTACCGAGACACACTGTAATCAAATTCCCAAAGAGAGCATTTTGAAAAGGGCAAAAGAAAAAGACTTGTCACGTTCAAAGAAACTCCGTAACACTATGAGTGAACTTCCCAGCAGAAACCCTGTAGGCTAGGAGAGACTAAGATGATATATTCAAAGTGCTGAAAGAAAATAACAACAATAAAAACTGCCAACTCCAGCAAAGCTATCCTTCACAAATCAAGGAGATATAAAGACTTCCCCAGACAAATAAAAACTGAGGAAGTTCATCACCACTAGACCTGCCTTACAAATGCTAAGGAAAGTTCTTCAAAGTGAAACAAAAGGACTTATGTCAAAGAGGTACCTGCACTCCACTATTTATGGCCACACTATTGACAACAGCCAAGATTTGGAATCAAAGTTTCCACCAATGGATAAATGGATAAAGAAAATGTGATAAACACACACAATGAAATATTATTCAGCCTTAAACAGAAGGAAATCCACCAGGAATGATGGCTCATGCCTGCAATCCCAGCAGTTTGAAGTGGGAGGATTGCTTGAGCTCAGGAGTTTGAGTTCAGTCTTGGCAACCTAGTGAGACCTCATCTGTAAAAAAATTTTTAAAAAAATAGCCAGGTGTTGTGGCTCACACCTGTAGTCTTAATTACTTGGGAGGCTGAGATGGGAGGATCACTTGAGCCCAGGAGATGAATCCAGCCTTGGGCAACATAGCAAGACCCTGTCTCTAAAAAAATTTAAAGAAGGAAATGCTGTCATTTGTGAAAACATGGATGAACCTTGCAGAGTTCCCAGATTCCCCTGCTTTCTTTCTTTGTTTTGACTCAGAGACAGAGTGCCTTGACCATTCTATGGCCTGGCCAGCTGCATGTTTTCTCCTATGGGCTTGAACCCAAGCTGGGACCTTGAACATCTCCATGAACTGATAAATTTGTATAGGTTGTTGTCCAAAACACTGAAACATCAACATATTGCCAAATATGTAGAAAATAGCCTTGGCCCTGAGCCAAACTCCTTAACCCCCCCCCCCCATATAAACTTTATAATCCAACCTCTTTGTTGACATACCTAGGTAGAACATCTTTTTTCTCACTGTCCATCATGAGGACTGCTGATGCACTCTGTACATAAGTTCCCCCTGATTAATGCTTTGGACTGATCATTCTGGCATTTAATGCTTCTTTCTTTGGAAGCCCTACTCTCTCCATGTCAGGATGGTTTGGTCAGTCCCTTGCAGGAACTTCTCTGCTGCCACTTTTGTGGCAACTTCAGCACTGGACTTGACTGGATAGAACAAATGTGGAGGACATTATGCTAAGTGAAATAAGCCAAAGACAGGCTTGTGGTAATCATTTCACAATGTATACAAATATCAAAACATCACATTGTATACCTTAAATATGTACAATTTTTACTTGTCAATTATATCTCAGTAAAGCTGGGGGAAAAAGAAATTAAAGGTCTAATGTTTGAAAGAGAGGATTAAAACTATTATTCGCAAATGTATAATTCTATAGAGAAAACTCTTAACCTGCCAAATTATTAGAATACAGGTTAGCAAGGTGGCTAAATATAAAATGAATATGCAAAAATTAATTATATCTTCAATACAACTAACAGGAGAAAAATTTAAGATACTACTTACATTATAGGCAGTGGTGGCAATGATCAGGCTAGATTATATTTGCTTTATAGCTTCCTCCTCCAGTCTCCTGTCAATTCTGTGAGCCCTCCTTAAACCCTTCCAATAAATTATTTTTGTGCTTGAGGCACAAAAAGGTTGAATTAATTTTTTTTTTTCTTAGAGTCTTGCTCTGTCACCCAGGCTGGAGTGTAGTGGCGCAATCTTGGCTCACTGCAACCTCTGCCTCCTGGGTTCATGCAATTCTCATGTCTCAGCCTCTTGAGTAGCTGGGATTACAGGCACCCACCACTATGCCCGGCTAATTTTTGTATTTTTAGTAAAGACGGGGTTTTGCCATGTTAGCCAGGCTGGTCTCGAACTCCTGACCTCAAAAGATCTGCCTGCCTTGGCCTCCCAAAGTGCTGGGATTACAGGTGTGAGCCACTGAGCCCAGCCTTGACTCCATCTTTCAAAAAAAAAAAATTAGATCAGTTGTTTTTTTTACTTGCAAGCACACATCCTGTAACTACACTATTTAATGTTTTATTTATTTTTAGTTTTATTTTATTTTATTTGAGACAAGGCCTAACTCTGTCACCCAAGCTGGAGTGCAGTGGTGCCATCATGGCTCACTGTAGCCTCAACCTCCTGGACTCAACTGATCCTCCCAGTTTAGCCTCCCAAGTAGCTGGGAATGCAGGTGGATGCCACCATGCCTGCCTAATTTTTGTATTTTTTTTGTAGAGACAAAAAAATTGCTGGAATTTGTACCAGATGAACTCCTGGGCTCAAGCAATCTGCCCACCTCAGCCTCCCAAAGCACTAGGATTACAGGTGTGAGCCACTGAACCCAACCCTATTATTTTAATGAGATATTTGGATTAAAATATGTGTGTTGGGGTCCCCAAGATCACCCGCAAGTCCAGTGATTTTCTAGAAGGAATCACAGGACTCAGTATACAGCTGTACTCATGGCTGTGACATGTTGAAAGGATACAGAGCAAAATCAGTGAAGGGAAAATACACATGGAGTGAAGTCCAGAGGAAACCAGGCCCAAGCTTCCATGAATCCTCTCCCAGTGGAGTCACTCTTATCAGTTAGAGTGGTGGAGAACACGCCTAAAATCCAAGTCTCCAGATGCCAACTACGTGCCTGGTCTGGTTACCATCCTTGAAGGATCTGCATACAAGATTGGCTCACTGTAACCTCGAACTCCTGGCTCAAGTGATCCTCCCACCTCAGCCTCCTGAGAAGCTGAGACTGCAGGCATGCACTACCATGCCTGGCTAATTTAAAAAAAAATCTTTAGAGATAGGGTTTTGCTATGGTACCCAGTCTGGTTTCAAACTGCAGGCCTCAAAGGGATCCTTCCATCTCGGCCTCTCAAAGTGCTGAGATGACAGCATGAGCCACTGCACCCAATCTGTATTTCTTTTCCATGTGTGACATGGTCTGGCTGTGTCCCCACTCAAATCTCATCGTGTAGTTCCCATAATCCCCATGTGTCACAGGAGGGACCCAGTGAGAGGTAACTGAATCATGGGGCAGTTACCCTCATGCTGTTCTTGTGATAGTGAGTGAGTTATCATGGGATCTGATGGGTTTATATGGTGCTTTTTCCCCTTTTGTCCATTCTACTTATTGCTGCTGCTGCCATGTGAAGAAGGATGTGTTTGCTTCCCCTTCTGCCATGATTGCAAGTTTCCTGAGGCCTCCCCAGCCATGCTGAACTGTGAGTCAATTAAACCTCTTTCCTTCATAAATTACCCAGTCTTGGGCAGTTCTTTATAGCAGCATGAGAACAGACTAAAACAATGTGAGTTATCTTTCTTGGAATTAGTAATTCTCTAATTTAAAATTTTTATTTTTTATGTATACATTATTAAATCCATCCAGAAACTCTTCATCAATATTGAAAAACTTCCTCTCATATGGTCAAATGTATGTGTTAATCTATCCATTCCAATTGTTTCTGGAGTCCTTTGTCTTCCTACTCCAATGGTTTCACTTGAGACCTGCCACACAATTCTCTTCCTTGAATTTCCCTTCATTGTAATCCTGGGGATATCTTTTGCTTCTTTTTTACATTTAATCCTGTATTAGTCCATTCTCACATTGCTATAAAGAAATATCTGAAACTGGTTTATATATATATATAATATATTAAATATATAATATATATAAAAATATATATTATATAAAATATATTATATAAAATAAATATATAATATATTATATAATATATTATATATATAATATATAATATATATTAAATAATATATTATATATATAATATATAATATATATTAAATAATATATTATATATATAATATATAATATATATTAAATAATATATTATATATATAATATATAATATATGTTAAATATATAATATATATTAAATAGATATATGAGGTTTAATTGGCTCACAGTTCTGCAGGCTATATACAGGAAACATGGTGGCATCTGCTTCTGGGGAGGCCTCAGGAAACTTACAATCATGGAGGAAGGCAAAGGGGAAGCCCACACTATACATGGCTGGAGCAGGAAGAAGGGTGGGAGCAGGTGCCACACATTTTTAAACAACCAGATCTCATGAGAACGCATTATTGTGATGATAGTACCAAGGGGAAGCAGAAAATCTGCCCCCATGATCCAATCACCTCCCACCCAGGCCCCACCTCCAACACTGGAGATTACAATTTGACATGAGATTTCGGCAGGGACTCAGCTCCAAAGCCATTTCCTGGATCCCATGTATTTTACTTTTCTTGGTTTTTTTTTCTACCTCATTTTTTGTGAAAAATGTCATGCAGTTATTTCCTGAGGAAGTATAGATAAATGTTGTGAAATCTTGAATGTTTGAAAATGTCTATACTATTTTCACACTTGATATTTTGGCTGGGCATAGACTTTTCCATTGGAAACATTGTTCCTCAGCATTTGAAAGAGTTTTTTCATTGCCTTATAGCTGCTTGATAACATTCTGATTCCTAGTTCTTTGTATCTGACCTGCTTTTCCTTTCCAAAAACTTTTTGGATTCTCTCTTTTTCTATCACTAGTGTTCTTGGTTTAGATCTTTTCGCATTTATTGTACCAGAGCACTGAAGGAGACTTTCATTCTGGAAACTCACTACCTTCATTTCTGGGGAAAATTCTCATCTCTTTCTAGAACTACTGTAAATGGGATGTTGAGCTTCTTAAATTCATCCTCAAATTCTCTTTTTTATTCTCTTTTCTGTCCTATTTTCCATCTCCTTTTCTCTCTGGGAGAGTTGTTAAACCTCACCTTCTAACTCTTCCATTACAGTCTTTAAAATTTTTTCACATTTTTAATATTCAAGATTTGCTCTTTTCTGACTCCTTCTTTTCTGTCCTTTCTTCCTCCTTTCCTTCCTCCTTCCCTTTCTCTCTCTCTCTCCCCTCCCCTTGCTATCTTTATTTCTTTGAGACAAGGTCTCTGTCACCCAGGCCAGAGTGCAGTGGTGCGATCTTGGCTCACTGCAGCCTCAACCTCCTGGGCTCAAGCAATCCTCCCGCTTCAGCCTCCCAACTAGCTGGGATCACAGGCACATGCCAGCACATCTGGCTAATTTTTTTTTTTGTTAGTAGAGACAGAGTTTCTCTATGTTGTCCATGCTGATCTTGAACTCCTGGGCTCAATCGAGCCACTCACCTTGGCCTCCCAGAGTGCTGGGATTACAGGTGTAAGCCACAGTGCCTGGCCTCCCCATTTTTTTTTTTTTTTTTTTTGAGATGGAGTCTTGCTCTGTTGCCCAGGCTGGAGTCCAGTGGCACTCTCTCTGCTCACTGCAACCTCTGCCTCCCTGGTTCAAGCAATTCTCCTACCTTACCCTCCTGAGTAGTTGGGGTTACAGGTGCCCACCACCACGCCGAGCTAATTTTTTGTATTTTTAGTAGGTATGAGATTTTGCCATTTTGGCCAGGCTGGTCTCAAACTCCTGACCTCAGGCGATCCGCCCACCTTGGTCTCCCAAAGTGCTGGGATTACAGGCCTGAGCCACCATGCCCAGCACTTTTTTTTTTTAAATGAAGACAGGGTATTGCTATGTCACCTAGGCTGGTTTGAAACTCCTGGCCTCAAGCGATTCTCCCACTCTGGCCTCCCAAAGTGCTGGAATTATTAGGCATGAACCATCACCCCAGCCAGCTACTCTTTGAGGCTCTTAGAGATTTTTGTTTGTTTGTTAAGACTTCTTTGGTTCTCTATATTGTTTTCCCCATTCTTTTTTCTTGGATTCTGACCTTCATGATACTTTCTTCATATATCTGTTGGTTTTTGGTTGTTTATTCAATGTTAAGAGGTAGTTTTTTTTAAAGCTGTTTAAAACTCTATGTGTGTTGGGGTAGGGGTGGGGAATGCTTGATACCAGGTGAGCTTCAGCATAAGGCAAAAGGTGACAAGCTGGATGTTTTAGTGAAGATGTTCCATCGCCAGTATTCATAAATAGGTCTTTTCTCCATCTTCAGAGAGGAATCATGGTATTCTCTAACATTCTGTAATCCATTGCTTCTCAAATCTTAATATGCATATGAAACATGTAGGGAGATCTTAAAAAGCAGATTCTGGTTTGGTAGGTCTAGAGTGGGGCCTAAAATTCCACATGTTTAACCAACTCCCAGGAGATGTCAATACTATCGGTTCTTGAACAATAATCTAAGTAGCAAGGTTCTGGCTGCGGGTGGTGGCTCACGTCTACGAACCCAGCACATTAGAAGGCCAAGTTGGGAGCACTGCTTGAGCACAGGAGTTCAAGACCGGCCTAGGCAACAAAGTGAGACCCTGTCTCTTAAAAAAAATTATCGAGGCATGATGCTGTGTCCCTGTAGTCCCAGCTACTCAGGAGGCTGAGGTGGGAGGATCGCTTGAGCTTGGGAGGTTGAGGCTGCAGTGAGCTGTGATCACACCACTGCATTCCAGCCTGTGCAACAGAGCAAGACCTCATCTCAAAAAACAAAAACAAACACTAGCAAAATTCTAAAATAAACCTGGCTTCCAGTGTTTTGCAATGTGATTGGGGGAAGAGGCAGGACCACTAAGAATTTTGATCTATGAAACATTTATTTCAACTAAAAGGATGGACTGACTAGAAATGTTTTCATGAAATTTTCTCTTAGCCCCCTTCTGCACCACCAGATTCCAGCAATTTGTACCAGATTTCCCCTCCCTCATCAGTCTAGGGAAGAACATGTGATGGTGATGATTGGGGCTCGGGGGAGCATCTTATTATTTAGTATGCAGAGATTCCCTTTAATTTCCGTTTTCAGTATGACACTTCATCGCTGTCTTCATTGGTTCCTGGTGGCCCCAAGTCTAGAACTTCTTTAGTTCAATTTCTTGAGATAGTAAATCTCACCTGCTGTTGTTTTCCCTCATTCTCTTTGTTCTTGTGGATTTCATTGTCTTGTGGATTTTTTTATCCTTTACTAACATTATTGAAGTTAGGGGAGGGAGTGGGGACCAATGCATGTTGTCAAGCCAGACATTATTTTAACCATGCAATCATTAAACTTTTCCAGAAATGTCCCACTCATTGTGGACTACTCTTTCTACAATGTACAATGTAAATTGTAAATTGAATTTAAATTTGCCATCATTTCATTGTTTTCTATTTGTTTCACCTTTACTATATTTCCTTTTCTTTCCTTGACTTCTTTTAGGTTGGTCGAATTTTTTATTCTTTTTTTACTCTGTACTAGTTTGTGAGTTACATCCTCATTTTTTCATTCTTTTAATGTTAATGATTAGTCTAAAAATTGCAACAGGTATGCTTTATCAACTTAATTGTGGTAAAATTTATGTAAAATAAAAGACAGCTACTCTGTACAGTTTAAGTTTTGGCAAATGTATATATACCTGTTTCTCCACCACTGCCATCAACTTACAGAATGTTTCTATCACTCCAAAAAGTTTCCTCATGCCCTTTATAGTCCCTCCTCCCCTTCACATCCAGGAAGCCACCAATCTGCTATCATTATAGAGCAGTTTGCATTTTCCAGAATTTCATATAAATGGAAACATGTATTTTATTATTATAGGTATTCTGGAGTAATCAAAAGCTAATATTAATCCTTTAACTTTACCTTTTTCTCAGAGTATTTTAATCCTGGAATTCTCTAAAATCCTCTAATTCACTGTTTCTCAACTTTAATATGCATATAAATTACTTATGGAAATCTTGTCAAAATGCAGGTTCTAGTTTAGTATGTGCTATTATTTTTGTGTATTTTCTCTCCCTTTAGTAAAATTATGCCAAGAAGATGGCTACTTTTAGGGTTGGTACTTCTGCTAAAATATGGAATTATATTTTATAGTGTCCTGGCTTCACTCACAGTTAAGAGTTTAGGATTTAATAGAAATCCTAATTAAAGGTTGAAAAGATAAGACATTAGATCAAGTTGAACAATTTATACTTGTCACATACTACTTGCTTTCATGCTTGCTTGGTTTAGCATTCCACTGAGTATATGGTAAAATGTTCTAGCTAGAATTCAAGTTCAGAAGATAATGCAAGCCACACTGGATAGCTAATTTAAACCATACCGTATCACACTCTCTTGCCTGACTAGAACTTAAAGCATGGAACTATTGAAGTCATTTCCCTGTTCCAAAAATCATCAGGGTCTCCTGCCCCTTCATGTCTAGCTCCCTACCCAACCAACAGTCTCCATGCTCTGACTTTACCTTACCAGCCTTCTCTCTCATATCCCTCATTTTTGGGTCAATGGGTAACCCACTGTTTCCTGAAACAATCTTATGGCATTCCATGTGTTAAAGAAAAGACAGCAGACCCCAAATGGAGTCATTCATGCTGAGAGGTTCCATGACACCAAACCAAAACCTGTATTTTACTGTAAGATCTGACTCTTCAAGAAATCAGGAGAGAGATGATAGTCAAATCCCATTAAACCAACAAGATTTCATTTACATTCCTATAAAGAAAAATAATCTTGAAAAGACCAATCTGCTATTTGCTCATTGTTCCTGATTTATTTCACTTCTTTCTGCCTATAAAACTCACCTACTTGTTTAGCTCATAGGAACTCCTTTCTATTTTGTAGACTGGATGTTGCCCAGTTCATAAACAGCTAATAAAGCCAATTGGATCTTTGGGACTCATTTGTTGAAATTTTATTCTTTGATACGTTCTTCCTCTTTGCTCATGCGGGTGGCTCAGCCTGGACCACACTCCCTCTACCATCTTTCTAGCTGACACACCTACCTGAGAGCTTTCAGGTAGAGCTCAGATAGCACTTTCTTCACAGAGCCTTCCCTCTTCTCCTAAACAGACGAGCTCACTCCCTCCTCCAAACTTTGGCACTTCGTTTGCATCTCTCTTGAAGTGCTTATATTGTAGCACGTTCCAGTTATAAATACCCTTGCTTTATACTGTGATTAGAATCTAAATGCCTTCAAGTCTGCAAGCATACTCTTTTCACCTTTGTGGCCTTTACAGCCATAAAATAGAACCTTACCAGCAGCTCACAAATAGTAATTGAATAAATATGTATTTCAGTGTGACCAAAAGAGGTTCCAGAGAACTTGAGCTGATTTCATCATTTCTTCAATCCTCAGGTTCCCACCTCCAATAGGAGCTCCCGAGCAACCCTTTGCCACCTCTTAATTTGCAATGATTGTACCAAACTGTGAGAACCTACAAAGTTTGAACTTAGATTCTTCTTCAATCTTCTCCTTTGTTCTTATGTCCAATCAGACAAAACAGTTGCTTTGTCATCTGATTTCTGATTTGACCTTTCCTTTTCCTCTTTCTCTAACACATTTTCCATCATTCTGCTTAATGCCTTTTTATTTTCATAATGCCTAATTACCTATAGTAAACTCTTCCAGGTTTACCGGATCTCCTGTTCTACTTTCTCCAATACATAAAGAGGATAACAGTAACATTTTATAGAGTTAGTAAGTTGATAAATAAGATATGGTGTGCATATTGGACCTAGTTTGTACATGTACCTACTACCCCATTGTACAATCTTCTCCTGCTCATGTCCTCTGGTTTTAGGAGTTGATACATGACAAGCAGCATGTCCCTCTGGCCACAGTTATTGGCTCAGGATGGCTGAGAAATTGCAAGATACAGTATGCTGATGACATAATTCGAGTCCTTTGACTCGATCTTGTCTATAGCTAGATGCACCCCTGGACTTTCTGGTTATGAGAGTTTATTTCCTTTATTAAACTCACTTAAGTTGGTTTTCTGCTAACTGCAACAAAGATCTTTAATAAATGGAGTATATAAAGCACTAAGCACAGTACCTTGTACATAAGTGTTAGGTATTATTTTTATTATCCCTGTCCCCTTGCCATACCTCCTACCCAATTCAATCTTTTTCTTATCATCTGCCCATACATACCAGCTAGGATAATTTCCGCATTATTCCCTGCATATTTTCCCTTTGCCTGGACTGTCCTGTCACCAACCCAATGTCACTTTACACTCTTTTCACCAGTTCACATCCATCATGATTTAGAACTTGGCTTAAAGAAGTCTCCCATTCTCCAAGAAGCCTTCTTTGAATAATGGTGGCTCCATACTCTTCACTGCCTTATCTATTTTTTCTTGTATGTGTTTTCTACTTATTTCTACCATTCTGGATTGCACACTACTCAAGGCAAGAAAAAATATATTCTATCTATACTTATGATCATTAGTCCCTTTCTAGGTTGAGATTTTGTCATTATTTTCCAAAGAACTTGTGCAGTATTAGACACACTCTAAGTGGTCAATGAATACGTTTTAGAAATACATAAATGGAATTAAATCTAGAGAGTGTGGTATGTTACTCTATTTAAGACCTGTTGTTAACCTAGCTAAACTTTTCCCATTTTCCAAGCAAACTTTACATTCTTAAACCATTTTAATTAGTGTAAAAGTATCGGCCGGGCGCGGTGGCTCACGCCTGTAATCCCAGCACTTTGGGAGGCCGAGGCGGGCGGATCACGAGGTCAGGAGATCGAGACCATCCCGGCTAAAACGGTGAAACCCCGTCTCTACTAAAAATACAAAAAATTAGCTGGGCGTAGTGGCGGGCGCCTGTAGTCCCAGCTACTTGGGAGGCTGAGGCAGGAGAATGGCTTGAACCCGGGAGGCGGAGCTTGCAGTGAGCCGAGATCCCGCCACTGCACTCCAGCCTGGGCGACAGAGCAAGACTCCGTCTCAAAAAAAAAAAAAAAAAAAAAAAAAGTATCACAATGATTCCAACCTCAAACATTCCTCCCAACTGTGGTTTCAGAATTCTTTTAGTCAAGTATCTAAGGAAGGAATATTCTATTAAAAATAATTTAACAATCAATCAAGGCCTATTTTTTTCCTTATCATCCACGTTATTAATCCAGTGGGTACTGCGTCTGACCCCTGAGAGGTTTCTTGGCCTGATAAACTAATGACAATAGTGAAGCATTAACAAAGATATCCTGAGATGCTGAAAAAAAGTATGATGGGGAAGTATGAAAGAAAGAGGTGGGGAAATGGTGATTTTTTTTTGTATTCATGTTTCTTTTAGTTTTAAATGGTAAAACCTTCTCCTATCCCAAATAAGTTGGTTTCTACTTACAGCTGGAAGGTTCTTAAAAACAACTATTTGGAATCAAAGATCCATGCCTCTGTTTGTTGAATTTAATTGCTGTATGGTTTATTGGAAAGGCCAGGGGTGGTGAATTTAAACCGTTTAAAATAGCAAACGATTAAAGTGAATTAAATTTAGTGCCTCTGAGATTTTTGATATATGTTCCAAATTTGTTTTTAATAACATAATTGTTCCATGTTACATTTAAGATTCCATCACAGGGAACTGGTTACGTGTGCAGTTATGCTTGTAGAAACCAATTCCAAATGTCAAAAATTAAAGTGAGGGCAACTGTAATGATATCATTAAAAAAGTAGAAGTTGAAAATGGAAGAGAAACACTTAGGTTGAATAAGGTCTTAATATGAAAGCTTTGAATAGAAAAACCTGAAAAAAATCACATGCATTAGGTTGACTTAAGGCCTTTTCAACAGCATTTAAATCGTTGACTTACAAGTAGAAACCAATGCATTTTCTCAAGGTATTTATTCATTCATTTTAGTGGAAAAAGATAGCTCCTGATCACGCAAATGGGAATTGTGCTAAATAAATTTTGAGAACATCCATCAAGAAATAAAAGTTACTAGTCATATGTATAAATGATTATTATATTTCATGTTTTAATAGTTTCTGTTAGTTTTCAGACTTTTTTTTTCTTAACTACAAGTACTGTAATTGCAATATTTTCTTGCCTCTGGGGCTTTCTCTTCCACAATTAATCATCTTTTTCTTCCACACCTTCCCTCCAAATGATTATTCCCCCTAGCTTCAGAACACTTGACATTAATTCATACTATTTCATCTTCACAGCTTTCAAAACATTGTCCTGCCCTTGCTTAGCTCCACGAGCCACCCCCCTTGCATTTAAAAAATTGGTTAACAGAAGCATTTTTGTACTATCTCTTTGCCAGAAGATGCTATTTACTTGGAAACAAATTAGCTTCCTTAATCAAACTTTTGAATTTGAAACTCTCTATATTTAAATTCCTTAGTATAACATCTATACTTCCAAAGTAGCAGTATGTTCACTTTAAACATTCAGAAAATTTGGATCCTAAGACTTTATCCTTCATCCTTCTGACTCTAGAATACATGTCCTTGATCATCAGAACCAAGAAAGAAATTGAGTCTCACCAGCTACACCACAAGTGCCAGCAGAGGAAACACTTTCAAACTGTCACTCACCTTCACATTTACAGGCAGCTTATCCATACGTCCTTTATAAACATCATTATGTATTGGTGCTTAAGACTTCAGTCACATGAGGTAAGCTTTCCAGTTTACAGGCAAAAGGGGGTGGCAATGGAGCCCTTTTCTTTATTTTTTTGTTTTTTTAGATCAAAACAAAAGCCAGTTTGGTCTGATGCTGCCATTTGTCAAGCATCTTTTAGAAAGCCGCCTAATGCATTAAATTAACCAAGTCAGGTTTAAAGTGTTTCCCATGCCCACAGTGACAGACGAGTTACCAGGCATGCTTAAGCAGACTGTCAAACTTTTGTTTACTCCTTTTAAACGGAAAGTCAGATTTTTTTTTTTTTTTTTTAAAAGATGTGTGGTGCGGAACAAGACGCTCACCTGTACACAACAAAGGCAGGTCTTTCCCGGCTGTCCTCACTGGGGGAGGGGATGGACAATCGCTAGACCTTTGTCCTCAGGTCCTGGGCATGGGGGTTAGGGGAGACGCGACTTTCTGGGAGTCGTGCAGGCACCTGCAGTCAAGAAACTACATATTGGTTTTGACCTCAATGACTGCCCTGGCTTAACCTTTGGAGAGGCCCTTTAGTTCGGGGAGGGGGCTTGCTGCTCCAAACCGTAGCCACGTCACCCACAAGGACTGGGGAGGAAATGACTGACCGCTCAAGAGTCAGGGACCCCTGTCTCTCCCAACTAGACCCGAACGTCCACAGCCCTCTTATCGGGCTCGCCCCGTGGCGGGCAGGGCCGTGGTGCGCAGGGATCGCGGCGGGCGCAGACCCGGTCTCTTGCTCGGTGTCCCCGCCGCGCCCGCACCGCCACCGTGAGGCCGAGCCGGGGATGGTGCCCCGTGGCGGCGGCGGCGGCGCCTCCGCGCTCCTCTCCGCACCGCCCCGGCCGCCGCCGCGCCAGGCACGGGCGGGGGGATTTTTTTCCCGTTTCCCCCTCTTTCGCGCTCTCGCTCCTGTTCAGCGGGAGAGCCCGCAGAGTCAGGGAGGGAGCGAGGGAAGGGGTGGAGGTGGCGGGGGGAGGCCGGAGGGGCGGATCCTGCCTGGGGGCTGATCCCTCCCTCCCCTCGGCCGGGCTCCGTGGCGGCAGCGGCAGCAGCGGCGGCTCCATTCCCCCTCCTCCCCCGGGAGCGGCGGCGGCGGCCGGGCCGGGGCCCCAGCGCGGGCCGGGAGGGGGCACGGCGGAGGCCACGGAGGCAGGCGCGGGAGAAGACCGCGCTCCGCTTCCCGGGCCGCGCCGACCTGCTCGGCGGCCTGCCCGCCCGCGCCCAGGGGCCCCGAACGGTGGGGCCGGGCAGGCGGCTGAGGTAATGGGGGCGGCAGCGGGGCCGGACAGAGCGGGGGCGGGGGCATCGGGGCCTTCGGGGACCAGGGACTGCACGGGGGGAAACCGGAGAAGCGGGGGGCTTTCCGAGCAGGGCGGGGGCGGTGCGAAAGCTCTCTCCTGGAGCGAGGGCGGCGGCAGGGAAGGAGAAGGCGGGTGAGCGGGGGAGCTGAGAAGCGAGGACCCCCTCCCGCAGCCGCCATCTTGTCTCCCCCCCCAGCCCTGGATTCCGAGCCGCTAAGCCCCGCCCCCGCCACGCCTTCCAATTGGCCTGGCCAGACGAGAGTCCCGCCCCTTGAGCGGCCCTAGGTCCCCTGGGTCCCTCTGACGGGCAGGTGACGCAGCCAATGGGTTCTCGCCTCTCCGCCCCGCTCATTCGCTGGCGCTCGCTTTCTCTGTCTGAGGGTCGGACTCCACGTCAGGCTGTCTCTGGTGCGCTCGCCCCTCCCCTCTGAGGAGATGTTATTTCCCTCCTTTCTTCTCCGAGGGGTCAAGATTCTTCTGGAAGAGGTGCCCCCTTAAAGGAGCAGGAGCCTTGGCTGGGGTCCTCCTTGTCTCCTGAGTATCTTGTGTGAGGTGCAGGGGATACAGTCTAATTGCAGAAGCTCCTCATTCTTCGGGGACCTGGATGGGGTGGGTGAGCGAGGGGTCAGGGGGTGCCGAGGGGAAATCTGGGGGGGCGGGGGTTGTTGGAGATATTTTGGAGGTGTGTATGTGGGAAGGGCTGTGTAGGTTGAGAAACTCCCGCCAAAAAACTCGTCTAGACTGTAAGCTCCTTGTGGGCGAAACTCTTTTCATTTCCCTCATCAGCAGTCCCTTCCCCCTCTAGAGTTTCTCCCCGGTGTCTGGAGGCGTGGGTGGGACAAAACACGTCTGTGTAGAGTCTTGCATGGTCGAGAGATGCTTGAGCAGCCGAGGAGGTGGCAGGTGGGGAAGGAGAAGATGGAGCGGCTTTCATGAAAGTGGGCGCCGCACCGCCTGTCTGCGCTGTTTGGGGTCGGTGTGGAGGCAGATGTTCTCACCTCTTCTAGGGCCTCGGTGCCTTTGGAGGGGTGGGTGATGAAGCAGGTCTGTTGGCCCTGTCTGCCCCCAGGGACTTGGCATTTGTAAGGAATCCAGTAGCCAAGGGCCTCTGGAACCCGGACAGAATTGCTGCGATGATTCTGTTTCCTTTGGCTCCAAATGGGGTGTGTGCCAGCCCGCCTGGCACTGCTCCTCAGCCAAATTGGTTTTTTGTTTGTTTCAGTCACACTTTGGGATTGGAAGGCCTTTCAAGTAAAGATGTTAATAATACCTTATTAACAAGTAGCACCTAGAGAGCTAGATTGTGTTACCCTCATTTTACTGATGGAGTATGGAGGCATAGAGAGCTTAAGGGACTTTCTCTAGGTCACAGAGGGCCAAGATTAGAACCTAGATTGCCCCAGAGCCTCGTTTTGTACCAGACCATAGCACCTCTGTGGTGTTCTTAATTCCCACTGAGAGGAATTGAGCATCGGAAGACCTGGGTTCAAATTGTAGCGTTATCACTTACTAGCTTTACGTTGAGTGACATCTTTCTGAGCTTCTGTGTAGATGATAATAGCTACACCATCTCCTAAGGTAGTTGTGAGAAATATTAAAAGTAAGAGGGCTTTGTAGTTTGGAAAAAGTGCTTTTATTATCACCGTCTCTACTTTATATAGATGGTAGACCCTGCAACCAAGGCGATGAATTGTTTTTCTCTTTGAAATCTTCTCTTTGTTCATATCCTTCCAAGTCTGCCCACACCATGGGGCCCTGTATCCCCAAAGGTCTCTCCTGGTGGTGACAGCCTTGGTAACTGCCTACCGCAGCTCCTTATGAGCTTGTCATCCAGAGAATGATGGGGGAAACTAGGACTTTCTCTTGGCTGTACAAGGATAGACTAGATATGAGTGTTCTGGGAGAGACTTTTGAGGTAACAGAATGCATTGAGAGTTTACCTCAGATACTGCCCAGATCATCTTGGCCTTCGGTCGAATGAAGGTCCTAGACAGGCCACTATAACTTCAGAGATCTCTTGGAGCCACTCTCAGAGCTTCTAGGGTTTGTTTCTGCCTGGAAATGTACTAGTTGGTGTATCCTGGATCAGGGGTTCCCAACCCCCAGGCCGCAGACTGTGGCCTGTTAAGAACCAGGCCATACAGCAAGAGGTGAGTGGCGGGCAAGCGAGCATTACCACCTGAGCTCTGCCTCCTGTCAGATCAGCGGCTGCTTTGGATTCTCATAGGAGCGCGAACCCTACTGTGAACTGCGCATGTGAGGGATCTAGGTTGCATGCTCCTTATGAGAATCTGACTAATGCCTGATGATCTGAGGTGGAACAGTGTTCACCACCCACCCTCATCTGTGGAAAAATTGTCTTCCACGAAACCAGTCCCTGGTGCCAAAAAGGCTGGGGACTGCTGTCCTGGATGGTGTCTTTTGTAGGGAATACCCTGCATACTGTAGTTTGAAGCCCTTAGACCATGTATCATAGATATTTCAGATGCCTTCACCCCTTCACCTCTAGGCAGGGTCAAGGAGTAGGGTTTCTGATCGTGGTAAGAGGTATTGGGAGAAGACTCTAGTGACTTTTGATCCTCTGATGGGGCCCATTGTTCACGTACAGAGCTTGACAGTGGATGCTTTTCTTGTTTTCTTTTCTAAACCGTTAACTACATGTGTTTTCCATAGTTAGCTGTCGCCCAGCTTTATGTACATCATTAGAACATTAGATCTTTCCCCATGTTACACTGTAATAATCTGTTTACTTTTCTGTCTTTTGAGTTAGACAGGGCTCCTTGAGGGCAGGGATCATGTGTGTTTGATTTCTTCTTTCATTCAACTAATACTTATTGAGTGGTTACTTAGGAGCTAAGCACTGCTCCAGGAACTGGGGATGCAGCAGTGAACAAGACAAACAAAAATTCTTCCCCTCATGGAGCTTATATTCTAGTGGAAGGAAGGAAACAATAAACATAGTAGTAGGTAAATTATGTAGCATGGTATAAGATGATGAATGTTAAAGGGAAAAATAAAGCAGAATGAAAGGTAGATTGCTGGTGGAGGAAAAGGATTTGCAATTTTAGATAAAGTGGTCAGAGAAGGTCTCACTGAGAAGTGTTGTTCACTTGAAGAAATGAAAGACTCAAAGGAAGTGAAGGAGCAAGCCATGTGGATGCCTGAGGGGCAAGTTGTTCAGACAGAGGGAAAAGCCAGTCCTCTTGGTGGATGCTTGATCATATGGGAGGATGAATGGGTGCATAAGGGCATCCAACTCATAGTCTCCTGGCCTTCTCTCCTTAGGCCTGTCCCCTCAGTTCCCAGGTGCCATGAGGAAGCCTCGTCGGAAGTCCCGGCAGAATGCCGAGGGCCGGCGTTCCCCGTCCCCCTACAGTCTCAAGTGCTCACCCACCCGGGAGACCCTGACATATGCCCAGGCCCAGCGGATTGTCGAGGTAGACATTGATGGACGCCTGCATCGTATCAGCATCTATGACCCACTCAAAATCATTACTGAAGATGAGCTAACTGCCCAGGATATCACCGAATGCAATAGTAACAAGGAAAACAGTGAACAGCCTCAGTTCCCTGGCAAGTCCAAGAAACCCTCATCCAAGGGCAAAAAGAAGGAATCCTGCTCCAAGCATGCATCTGGTACTTCCTTCCACCTCCCACAGCCCAGCTTCCGTATGGTGGACTCAGGCATCCAGCCAGAAGCACCCCCGCTGCCTGCTGCCTACTACCGCTACATTGAGAAGCCACCTGAAGACCTGGATGCAGAGGTAGAGTATGACATGGATGAGGAGGACCTTGCCTGGCTGGACATGGTGAATGAAAAACGGCGAGTAGATGGGCACAGTTTGGTGTCTGCAGATACCTTTGAGCTGCTGGTAGACCGGCTTGAGAAAGAGTCATACTTGGAGAGTCGCAGCAGTGGGGCCCAACAGTCACTCATCGATGAAGACGCTTTCTGCTGTGTGTGCCTGGATGATGAATGTCACAATAGCAATGTTATTCTCTTCTGTGACATCTGCAACCTGGCTGTACACCAGGAGTGCTATGGCGTCCCATACATCCCTGAGGGCCAGTGGCTATGCCGCTGCTGCCTGCAGTCTCCCTCCCGGCCTGTGGATTGCATCCTTTGCCCCAATAAGGGTGGCGCCTTCAAACAGACCAGTGATGGGCACTGGGCCCATGTGGTGTGTGCCATCTGGATCCCTGAAGTCTGCTTTGCTAACACCGTGTTCTTGGAACCTATTGAGGGCATTGACAATATCCCGCCTGCCCGCTGGAAACTAACCTGCTATATCTGCAAGCAGAAAGGGCTAGGTGCAGCCATCCAGTGCCATAAGGTGAACTGCTACACAGCATTCCATGTGACATGTGCACAGCGGGCTGGGCTCTTCATGAAGATTGAGCCCATGCGCGAAACCAGCCTCAATGGCACCATCTTTACAGTGCGCAAGACTGCCTACTGTGAGGCCCACTCGCCACCAGGTGCGGCCACTGCTAGGAGGAAGGGCGACTCCCCTAGAAGCATCAGTGAGACTGGCGATGAGGAAGGGCTGAAGGAGGGTGATGGAGAGGAGGAAGAAGAGGAAGAGGTGGAGGAAGAAGAGCAGGAAGCTCAAGGCGGGGTGAGTGGCTCCCTCAAGGGAGTGCCCAAGAAAAGCAAGATGAGTTTGAAGCAGAAGATCAAGAAGGAGCCAGAGGAAGCAGGCCAAGACACACCCTCCACTCTCCCCATGCTTGCTGTCCCACAGATACCCTCTTACAGGTAAGCATGCCCAGAAGGGCTCCTTAGGGACTCATGGTTTCTTCTTGGGTTGGTGTTGGCCCTGTGCCAGGCCTTCGCTAAACACAGTTGGACACTATATCCTCCTCCCCGAATTTAAACTCTTCCTTTTGACCCCAGGCTCACCTGGCCTGGTTTGTGGTTTTGATTTTGCCCTCAGAGTAATGTATTTCCTTTAGTTCAAAGTGAAATAAAACACTTAAGTTACTTAGAAACTCAGGTGATAGGATATCTAAGACAGTATTTTTCAATAGGGGCACTAAGTGACATTTTGGACAGGATAATTCTTCGTTATTAGAAGTGTCCTGTACATTTCTAGATGTTTAGTATCCCTGGTCTTTGTAAATGCCAGTCGCATCCCCTCCCCCATTGCCTGGTCTTTGTGACAAACTCAAACCCTCCTCATGCATGTTTTCAAAAACCCTTGGGGAGGGTAGAACTAATTACCCAGTGAAGAACCACTGTTTCAGAGGATCGGCATGGCCATCTGCTGTCCAGCAAGTTCTGTCCTGGGTATGAGGGGGGTGGTGGTGTGGAGAGAACATGCTATTCCTCCTCTTGAAGCTTTAGATTTAGGGATAAGAGGATCATTCAGTTCAGCTGTGTAGCTAAGCTCTGTGGACCCCCCCCCCCTCCGCCCCCGCCATTGAGTCTGTAGAGAGCCCATGGTACCTGTTTTAAAACATCAGAGAGGTACCTGGAACCATTGGAGGGATGGGAGCTTGGCAGAGAAGCAAGAGATAGGGAAGATTTCCTAGCAGAGACTCATCTCAGGGGTGGTGTTCATTAAACAGTATACACTGTTAGAGCAGGAAGGAGTCTTGGAGACTGTTCATCTGATGTAGTCCTTGCACCTTCTCCCACACCCCCAGATGAAGAAACTGCGGCCAAGGGAGGTAAAGTTGTTCACTCCTTTATTCATTCAATGATATATTTATTGAGCACTTAATACATGCCATGTCCTGTTCTAAGGGATGGAACCAGGTGGAAAGTGACAGACCCTATACCACAAGAGCTGGGGCTCATGATGCCTCTAGGTTGCATTCCTGTAGTCCGTCTCTCTTGATGAGAAGGGTAGAGAGAAAGGAGTGCTGGGGAAAGAGTTGTGTGAGAGCTATGAATAGGCAACCAGACTTGCCAGGCTGGGAAGAAGACATAAGTGTGAGATCAGAAGGGGGAGGCTCTTATTGCCAGTTATTACCCAAGTTAGAATTTCAGTGACTCTGTATGTGTTTTCTAGTCACAGAGCTGTTCTAGGTTATTCTTTTTCCTGAGGTAAGTGGGTGGATGCTTAGTTCCCATCTGTAGGGTGGTTTTACCCTGAGGCTAGAATCTTTGGTTGACATATATGTTGTTCTAGATGCCTCTTGCTGGGGCCAGCAGAGCTTGCTGGCTAAGAACCAGACAAACCTACATTTGAAACCCAATTCTGTGACTTAGTACCTTTGTGACTTTTGGCAAGTTGCTTAGCTGCTCTAAGCCTTAGTTTATTTGTAAATGAACCCACCACATAGAGTTGTTGTGAGAAATAAATGAGATAATATAAGTAAAGCACTTAGCACAGTGTCTGGCAAATAGTAAGTGCTCAATAAATGGTGACTACTGCTGCTGCTGCTATTTTATTATTGCTGTTCTTTTCCCTACCTGCACAAATGCTGTTGGGATCCTCCATGGCCAAGAGGTAGAGGGAGGGTGCTGCCTACATCTGGGCAGGTGTGCTTGGCATGGACATTGGTCGGGATCTGTCCTTTGGGGAGAGGCCTAGTTCTTGATTTTATAAGCTTGGCTTTGGGGCAGGAATGTCTGACTGTGGAGAGGAGCAAGGCCTAGGTGAGCAACGTCCTGCCCAACATGCCCATCCTTCTAAGGTTTCAACTTGTTTAGCTGTGCTTATCTTTGTTTCAATGGAGTGGCATGAAGAGAAAAAGGAGAGGAAACACCACAAGAGCACTGAGGCCTTGCTTACCCTGTGGATAACCAGTCTGGGGATGTACCATGGTATAGCAGAGAGATCGTGGATTCAAATCCAACCTGGATCCACCATCTTATTAGCTGTATTAGTTACTTTGACAGTTTATTCAGCTTCTGTTCCTATGCTGCCTTTCCATCTTTTGTAAAATGGAAATAATGATACCCACCTTGCAATATGGATATTAAAGACAGATATTATAGGCTTGCATTAGTTCCTCTCCTACCCCTTTTCCTCCCCCAAGGAGTTACTGGCTTAAACCCTGACCTTAAGACTTTTGAGTAGTTTAGCCAGCTGGGTTTTCACATTTCCCATCCTCTTACATCTTTAGATCCAATTTTTTTTTTCATTTGGTTCAAAATTAAACAACATTTTTAGGCTGTTGAGGTTTATACCATGAAAAACCAGACGTCAAACAAGTCTAAGGGGTTGCATTGGGCTCAGCCTGGTTGTGGGCTACCCCCTGGTTTGATGGGACTCTCAGCCGCAGAAGGCAGGAAATAGTGGCCACATTAACCATAGCTTACCCCAGTTCCTGTTCCCTTTCGCTGCTTTTATAAGAGGAGGCTGGGGGTATTGAGGCATAGGCTTGTTTTTCAGTCCGTACGTGGAACAAGGAAGTCCAGGACCATAGGAAACGGGACTCTGGGAGATGGTTCTTTTGGAGGATTAGGACTGCAAGGCAAGAGGTGGAAAAGCAAATGAAATAACTCATGCTGAATCTGAGCTGCTTAACTTTACTGTCCTTTTCAAGCCTTTCTCTGAGGTGAGGTATTTGGCCATTTTATTCTGTCTTCCTGTATAAGGTTCAGAAATGAACCAGGTCTGGATAGGATGCACAGGCTGTAATCTGGGCTGCCCACTGACCTTGTCTTTCACTTCCGTGTGCCTCTACTCAAGGTTGAACAAGATCTGTAGTGGTCTCTCCTTTCAGAGGAAAAACCAGTTTATGCAGCGGCTTCACAATTATTGGCTGTTGAAGCGGCAGGCACGGAATGGTGTCCCTCTTATCCGGCGCTTGCACTCCCATCTGCAGTCCCAAAGAAACGCTGAGCAGGTAGGTGCAGTGGTGATTTGAGGCTGGTAGAGGGAGGTGGAGAGTGAAGGAAAAGGAATGATGGTTGGGGTGGGGCTGGCACCCCTTCTTGATCCCTCCATGGAGCCTTTGCCTACCTGTCTGGGTGGCCTATCCCAGGAACAACCCCCAGCACTACAGAGATCTTCAAGCAGCTCCTTCTGGATGGATGAGGCTTGACTTTGTAGAGAATTCTAGGGGAGAGTGGAGAGCATGCGTAGCTTTCCATATATGTGGGGAAAATCCTCTAGATGTAGCAGAAAGCCAGAAGTAGGCTGAATGAGAGCCAGGGTGGCCACATTGTGTTAATTAGGAAAAGGTGCCCTTTCCTCAAGACATTATACTGCCATCTGCCAAAAAATGTTTCATAGTAAATACACAAATTTACGATCTAAGTTGTAGCACACAGCCTGTCCAATTGTGGTGGCTGTTAGCCATTAGCAACTGGAGTTGCTGCATGTTTAATGTTTTCTGCTCCTAATTTCTCTTATTTTAACTCTTTAGTTCTTTCTCCCCCTTTACCTGTTCTATTCTTTCTGTCTTTAAGTGTTCCCACACTGCTGCTCCAGAGATGAAGCAAAGCTTTATGTGAGTCTGGTGCCTTCTGCATTCTGTCTGATCTCACTTTTGCCTTTTATAACTAAACTCCTGAAGTATAAGCCTGTATCTGGCCCGCCTTGAACCTTTTGGTCCACCTGCTCCACTGAAGCCTCCCCTAAAACATCAGCTACCTTCTCCCAGGAAGTCTTTCCTTATATTCTCACCTGATTGATCATTGGGCTGCATTTGACACCACAAATGACTTTGTCTAAGAGCTTCTCTGTGATACCACTTCCGGCTGCTTCTACCTCTCTGACTGTACCCTATGCTGATCCCACTTCTTGCTCTTTAATGGTAACATTCCCAGTGGCTCTGCTATCTGCTCGTTTGCTTGGAGAACATGTCCAATCTCATAATTGACAATAACTGTAATAGCAGCTCCAGACTTTTTGTCTTGTCCTCATCCCTTTTTTCTGCCATCAGTCCCTCAGGGATGTTTCCATGTGGATGTTGTTAATTTGTAACTCAAATATTGGAAATTAATTATCTTTTTTCCTCTCAGTAAACTTATTTCCCCATCATTATGGCTCTCCCCTCCCTCCTGGACTCATATCAAAAGTTCCCCACCTTGGAGTTACTTTTGACTCTTTACTCCCTAAGGGCCATTTTTAATCATCCTTTAAGCTGCTTTGGGGGCTTTATCAACATGGGTTTTTGTCTTCATTCTGCAGCTCTCCTGCTCATCCATGCCCTCTTAATCTCAGCAATAGCTTTCTAGGTGATCTCCAGCCTCTAATTCTTTCTTTGATCTTCAACTGGTAGTTTCTTATTCACATGCTGTTGGGATCCTCCATGGCCAAGAGGTTGTAGAGGGAGGGTGCTGCCTACATCTGGGCAGGTGTGCTTGGCATGGACATTGGTGGGGATCTGTCCTTTGGGGAAAGGCCTAGTTCTTGATTTTATAAGCTTGGCTTTGGGGCAGGAATGTCTGACTGTGGAGAGGAGCAAGGCCTAGGTGAGCAATGTCCTGCTCTTCCATTCTCTTACTTCCTCTTCCAGAATATACTCCTCTTTCTAGGCAGGCGAAGTTAAGGCTCTTTTGCCTTACATTTGAAGCTTCTTATTAGCTGTATCCTGGATCTTCCTTGGCTTTTATAGTTCTCCAGCATCTCTGTTCTGGCCAGCCTGTTTCACTTACTAAGCAAAGAATCACTAATTCTGCCTCTATATTTCTGCCCCTTTCATCCCTTTGGTTCCAGAAGAGACCTTCCTTACTACTTTGCCCATCCATGTCTGTCACCTACCTGTATGTTAAACTCTAGTAAGAGTCTTCACCAGGAAGCTTCTCTGATCTAACCTCCACCTACTCAGATCTTCTATTTTGTATCCTCTTAGCATTTTATTTCCAGTTTATATTATTAGTTTGTATTATCTTTATGCTAATATGCCCTTGTGCTTCAAGCTCTAGGTCTCTTCCCTTCCCCTGACTCCAACTGTAATTTTTTCTAGGGCAGGAATCGTGATTTGTTTGTTGTTGTTTTACCAGAGTATATTCAGGCTTATAGTAAGAACCTTGCTTTGTTTTCTAGCCAAGTGAAAGCTCTAGGGTGAAATTCTTTTCACCCCTGAGGTCAGTTTTCTTATGAAATTCTTTCTGACCCAGAGGGCCATAGCTGCTCTCTGGCATACCTGGGGATAGGGGGAAGCAGTCCCAGATCCTACTCCAGCAAAGGTTATTGCTTTATAATGAAGAAACAGTGCTGTAATACTGGGGCAGCTCAGGAGGAAGGCATGGGGTAGAGAGGGGTGGAAGGGCTCTTGGAACTGTGGGTCAAGGAAGGGGACAAGACTTTTACCTGCTGCAGCCCCGTGAGGCTTGAACAGGGAGAGGACTTTTGCAAGAAGGAGGTTCCTAGTCCCTCTTCTCTTCCCTCCTGTAGCGAGAGCAGGATGAGAAGACAAGTGCAGTGAAGGAGGAGCTGAAGTATTGGCAGAAGCTCCGGCATGACTTGGAGCGGGCGCGGCTGCTGATTGAGCTGATTCGGAAGAGAGAGAAGCTCAAACGAGAGCAGGTAAGGAGGAGCCCCCAGCCCTAGGGCCCTAGTTCAAGGCCACTTTCTCCCACTATTAGTCTAGTATTGGGAAATCTGGGAGCCCCTGCCTTATGCTAGGTTTCTTTCTCCCCTCCCTACCCAGGATTGTAGGCTCCAAGATCTGCCTACTTTGTATTAGATGTGGTGCTACTGATGGTTTCTATAGTTTGGATTTCAGCTCCTGGTGGCCTCAAGCATAAGCTTAATATCATATGCCTGGGCCTGTCCCTGTATTTTCTGATTCAGGAAGTCTCTCAGAGGGAGCCTGGCCTTGAGGATTTTGAAAAGCTTCTTAGACCATTCTCATGGGCATCATCAGTTGAAAGCCTCTGGCCTGGGAACTTCTGAGGGTTCCCACTTGACTCTTAAACACTTATGGTCCTGAATCATTTACATTTTCTGTTTCTCCTCTGTTCTAGGAGATTTTAAGCCCTTGAGCATAGGAAATGTTGAGGTAGGTAGTGTAGCATAGTGTTTAGGAACATGAGCTATGGCACCAGACTGCCTGGGTTGAAATCCTGCCTCTTCTACAGACTACCTGTATGACATTAAGCAAATTCTTTAATCGCTTAATACATTGGTTTTCTCACCTGGAATATGGGGGTAATTATAGAGCCTACATCATAAGGTTGTTTTGAGGATTAGATGACTTCATCATGTAAAGAGCTTAGAACAGTGCCTGGCACATAGTAACAGCCAGAGAAATGTCAGCTGCTGTCATTATTATTATTATCAATACTCTTTGCTTCTCTGAAGTGTCTACTGCACATGGCAGAGAGCAAATACTGTTAATTAAGTGGATGAAAAGCCAAAACTGTTCTCTCTGGTCTAGGAATAGCAGCTGTCACTCACATGCTTCAGAGGCCAGGGTTAAAGATGTTCCTTTCTTGCCGGGCACAGTGGCTCATGCCTGTAATCCCTGCATTTAGGGAAGCAGAGGCAGGAGGATAGGTTGAGTCCAGGAGTTTGAGATGAGCCAGGGCAACAAAGCAAGACCTGTTCTCCACAAAAAGGGGAAAAAAAAAAGATGTTTCTTTCTCTTTCTCCAAATTCTAATTCAGTGGTCAGCCTTAGCACAACCCCTTTTCTAGCAGGCCAGTAGCCTGAGTTTCCTCCTCATAGCCTGGGCAGCTCATGCCATATTTACCATGGATGGCCATGGAGGACATCTCAGGACCTTCTTCAAGGGTTCAAAATGTCTGTGCTGTCCCAGGCATGATCCCACAGCTGAACTTCTCATCTCATCTCTGGTTCAGAGAAATGAGAGAGAGAAGAAGGCCTGGTCCTGGGGAAGTAGGCAGGCCTGTTTTGATATAGCCAAAAGGTGGAAATTTTCTATAGTCTTAATTTGTGGCTTCCCAACTTTTCACATTAGGGCATATGTAGAAAATAGCATTTGTACAGCATACTACTGTAAGTATATGAAGCTACTTGCCACTTGCGGGGGCAAGCCTGGAGGCCCTGGTGACCCCATGCTGACCCAGATGCTCCAAGGGCTGATGGAATCAGTATCTCAGCACACTGGGAAATTCTGGTTCAAGCACATTTTACATCATCATTGTGTCCCTTGGACTAAGTCAGACCTGGGTTCAAATCCTATCTCTATTCTTTTCTAGACAGATGACCTTAGACTAGTAACTCCTTCATCATGCTGTCTCTAAACCTCAGATTCCATATACATTTTTTTAATTTGTATTTTTTTTCTTTTAGTCCTTGGTGATCCTTGTTCTGATCCATATTTGTAAAATGGGGATAATAATTTCTGTTTCAGGGTTATCGTGATGATTAATTGAGGTAATACAAGTACAGAGTTAGTGTGGCATAATGGCCAAGAGCACTCACTGTAGAATCACTGGGACTGAATCCCAACTCTGCTCCTTATTAGCTATGACTTTAGGCCAGTTACTTAGTTTCCTCTAGTTTCCTCCTAGTTCCTTAGTTACTTGGTTTCCTCTTTGTAAAATACCTCATCTGTTCCTACCTCATATACTCATTTATTTTACATAAAATGCTTAGAACATTACCTGGCATTTAGTAAGGGCTATAGAAGTGTTAATGATTATAATTGTAATGATAATTATTATTGTTACTGTAAATTTTAGTATGATGTTTGGTACATAGGAAACAATAATAAAATAGTAGCTGTTGGTGTCATTATTCCTAGGCTAAAGGTTGGGTGATAGCTTCTCATATACTGGTCAGCTTAATATTCTATGAAAATTTGTTGTACAAGATTGGTAAAAGTCAAACTATCAAGAAAAAGTTTCAGTACATCTTTGCAGGGGATGTTCTGATCTGATCTCACCCCACCTTCCCCACAGGTCAAAGTCCAGCAGGCTGCCATGGAGCTGGAGCTGATGCCATTCAATGTTCTGTTGAGGACAACACTGGACCTGCTGCAGGAGAAGGATCCTGCACACATCTTCGCAGAACCAGTCAACTTGAGTGAGGCAAGTTCCCCCTACTTTCCAAGTAGTAAATTCTTCTTGAACTGGAACAGGGTCTGAGTAGGCTAGGAAGGAGTTGGGCCACAGGGTGTACAAAACCAGGGGTAGGAGGGTGGGTCTGGCAAAGCTAGTAGACTTGCCCTTGATGAGGGGTCAGCAGGCCAGGGTGGGCCAGGACTGTAGGTCTTTGAGTTAGCCTGGCATGGCCAAATCAGAAATTGAGGAGGCCAAGAGTATTGGTGAAGGGTGTGTCTGTTTGGCTAGTAAATGGTTGTTGTAATTGTACAGGTTTTATATGTTTAGGTTCCAGATTACCTGGAATTCATATCCAAGCCAATGGATTTTTCTACTATGAGGCGGAAGCTGGAGTCCCACCTGTACCGCACCTTGGAGGAGTTTGAGGAGGACTTTAACCTTATAGTTACCAACTGCATGAAGTATAATGCTAAAGACACAATTTTCCACCGAGCAGCTGTCCGCCTGCGGGACCTGGGAGGGGCCATCCTACGGCACGCCCGGCGGCAGGCAGAGAACATCGGCTATGACCCCGAGAGGGGCACTCACCTGCCCGAGTCACCCAAATTGGAAGACTTTTACCGCTTCTCCTGGGAAGACGGTGAGAGGCCTGGATGGGTGGGGAGGAGAGGGGCCAGGAGGAGGCACAGGAACAGAGTCTACAGAGTGAGGGATCAGGGTGGTCCTTGGGGCTATAGGTAGACTCCAGGAGCAAAGCTGAGGGTGAGCACAGACTGAGGTATACCTTTGTGGCTAGAATAGTTCTAAGGGTTAAAGTTTAACTAATGTACTCTGCACTTCTTAAGTGGTAGAAAAGGGGAATCAGGTACTAGTGGTCTGTTTGAAAAGCTTAAAGCCTCATCAGAGGTCTTCCTCTCTTGGATCCCCTCTGTATGGCATTGGAGCATGGGACAGGGAGAGTGCATTGCTGGTGTGTGTTTGGCTCATTCAGAAGATTGCAGGTGGAGGACCAGAAAAATGGAATTGCCTCTGAGCCCCACACGCTGCCTGTCCCTGCTCTCTGCTTCTCGATGGCAGCAGCCAGTCACTCAGGCCAGGGTATTGCCAAGCTGCCTCATGCCTGCTCCATGGAGCCCATAATCGTGACTGTGAACTGCTTCCTGCAGACGTTTCCCAGATTCTGACCTTGCCCCTGTGGCTGCCTTCTGGGCAGTGGTGTTGCAGGGCCAAGGCCCACAGTGACGCTGCTGGAAGCTGCTGGCCCAGGCATTCCAAGAGAGAGTTTTGCATCCGAAGGATTCGGCCCCTTTCTCTTGCCCTGTGCTGGGCAGGTCCTTCAGCCCCTTCTGTCCTCCCTTCTCCCTGGCAGTGGACAACATCCTCATCCCAGAGAACCGGGCCCATTTGTCCCCAGAGGTGCAGCTGAAGGAGCTGCTGGAGAAACTGGACCTGGTGAGCGCCATGCGGTCCAGTGGGGCCCGCACCCGTCGTGTCCGCCTGCTACGCCGGGAGATCAATGCCCTTCGGCAGAAGCTGGCACAGCCACCACCACCACAGCCACCATCACTCAACAAGACAGTATCCAATGGGGAGCTGCCAGCAGGGCCCCAGGGGGATGCAGCTGTGCTGGAGCAGGCCTTGCAGGAGGAGCCAGAAGACGATGGGGACAGAGGTGAGAGATAGTCACAGGCAGGCAGGGGGTTGGAGGGTAAAGAGGGACAAAGGCTAAGCTGAAATATCATAATGGGGGTATTCTTTCTGAGTTTAGATCTGACACTTGTGGGCAAGCAAAAGTGCTTGGAAGGGCCACACTTCCATGTATACGCAGGGATGATGTTCAAAATATTTAACAATCACTAGAGACTAAAATTTATCCATCTCAGTAGATGTTGGCTGTTATATTGGAGTGGGCTCCCAAAGGCCCCTGTTGTGGATATTTAGTTGCTGGATTGTGGGGAGTTTCAGGTGCTGCAGCCCAGCAGCTGTTTATTAGCCAATTAAGTATGTCAGTATTTTGCACCTGATACAGCCGTATTGTACATACCAGTTAAATATCAGCCTACCTTGTAACATCACGTGGAGAGACTCTAGAGCAGGTTAGGTTGGGGTGTGAGGTGATAGCAGAGAAGGAAAGACCCTGGGCTTTTGAGCCACCTCATGGTTTTTACCCCATCTGGCTGAATCTACAGGCCCATCTCAAGTAGAGAGGCCAGACTATAAAAGATAGTTGGTTTCCACAGTTTTTCTTGATCTTGAGAAAAGACAAAAAAATAAAAATAAAAAAGAAGAAAAGACAGCCAGGGAAGTGACTCTCAGAAACCCAGGAACCTTATAAGCTAAGCTGCTTCTCATTCTTCTCCTTCACTGGGGATGGAATTGTCTCCCTCATACCTGCCTTCGGATCCGAGCCTATAGCTTGGGAGGGCCTGTCACGCACACAGTCGAAAAGGCTGGAAGTTACTTCCAATGGATAGGGGCCCAAATTGTAGGTAACAGCCCATTTTATTTTAGGTTGGCAGAGAATGGAGACATAGTTGAGAGATCACATTTGACATCAGAGGGCTTTTATGTCCATTGTGACTCCTCTGGACTCCCCGTATGACAGTCAGCATGCCATTTGTATCCCTACTTCTGGGGCTGTGGCAGTACAGAGTTGTGCCCAGTAGGCCAACAGCATCACCTAGAAAAAAAAAAAAAAAAAAAAAAGGTGTAGCCTCACCTCCCATAGATTCAGTTAGGGATGTCTGGGCTTTGGCTTGGAAGTCTCAATTTTTAAAAGTTTCGGCCGGGCGCGGTGGCTCACGCCTGTAATCCCAGCACTTTGGGAGGCCGAGGCGGGTGGATCATGAGGTCAGGAGATCGAGACCATCCTGGCTAACAAGGTGAAACCCCGTCTCTACTAAAAATACAAAAAATTAGCCGGGCGCGGTGGCGGGCGCCTGTAGTCCCAGCTACTGGGGAGGCTGAGGCAGGAGAATGGCGTGAACCCGGGAAGCGGAGCTTGCAGTGAGCCGAGATTGCGCCACTGTAGTCCGCAGTCCGGCCTGGGCGACAGAGCGAGACTCCGTCTCAAAAAAAAAAAAAAAGTTTCAAGGTGGTAGGTGAGCACACATGTTTGGCAACCACTGATTTAACTTACTTGGTCTCGTTTTTCACATTTGTGAACTTTTTCTGCCTGCTGTACTTGTTCTTACTTGGGTGATGTGAAATAAAATCGATTGACAGATGAGAAAACTCTTGAGTCCAGTGAGAATTGTAGATACCTAATCTGTCAAGCTGAGACTTAACCTATTTATTGATTAAGCATGTGGCTTTCTTTGTGTAGAGCAATGGTTTGCAATCCTCACTTCATTAGACTCACTTGGTAAGCTTTAAAAAACAAAATACCCTATCTTTACAAATTTGGTTTCAGTTGGTATGGGATGGAGCCTAGGCATTGGAATTTTTAAGAAACTTCCTATGTGATTCTTATACATAGCCAGGGTTGAGAACTACTAGTGTAGATAAAACTTACTTCTCCTGGGGATGGGTACAGTGGCTCATCCCTGTAATCTCAGCACTTTGGGAGGCAGAGGCAGGGGGATTGTTTGAGGCCAGGAGTTTGAGACCAGCCTGGGCAACACAGTAAGACCCTGTCTCTACAAAAATTTTTTTGAAAAATTAGCCTAGCCAAGTGTGGTGGTGTGTGCTTATAGACCTAGCTACTTTGGAGGCTGAGGCAGGATAATCACTTGAGCCCAGGAGTTTGTGGTTGCAGTGAGCTGTGATCAGACCACTGCACTCCAGCCTGGTCAACAGAGCAAGATCCTGTCTCTGAAAAAAAAAAAAAACCTAATCCTCCTTTCTCTTTGCTTCAGATCTAAGACCTTGAATGCATCTCAAGCCTTATAACAGCCAATGCTTTTGGTCCTTGGTTGTCAGTGTCAGTATCTAGCTTGTAGGAGCAGACTCTTTCTAAAATGTTCAAGCAGATTCTCTTTTTTTCTAATAGATGACTCCAAACTGCCTCCTCCGCCAACCCTGGAGCCCACTGGGCCTGCACCTTCCTTGTCTGAGCAAGAATCCCCCCCGGAGCCCCCTACTCTGAAACCCATTAATGATAGCAAACCTCCAAGCAGGTTCCTAAAGCCCAGAAAGGTGGAAGAAGATGAGCTCTTGGAAAAATCACCACTGCAGCTAGGGAATGAGCCTTTGCAACGCTTGCTCAGTGACAATGGCATCAACAGACTATCCCTCATGGCCCCTGACACCCCGGCCGGTACCCCACTTAGTGGTGTGGGTCGCCGCACATCAGTCCTCTTCAAGAAGGCCAAGAATGGGGTTAAGCTACAGAGAAGCCCAGACAGGGTCCTGGAGAATGGCGAGGACCATGGTGTGGCAGGCTCTCCTGCCTCTCCAGCCAGCATCGAGGAAGAGCGCCACTCCCGGAAGCGGCCAAGGAGCAGGAGCTGTAGTGAGAGCGAAGGGGAGAGGTCCCCCCAGCAGGAGGAAGAGACAGGTGACCCTGCCTGTGACTTCTCTTGATACTTCGCATCTGCTTTTCTGCTTTGCCTTGCCAACCAGCACCTTCCCCAATTGGCCATCTCTCTAATGGCACCATTGGACAGCAATAGTAGCATTGAGGGCACCATAGCTCACAGTTGGGCCTGGCATGTTAGTAGCAGCCAGGGGAAATAGGCTTTGAGCAGGTATTTTCCAGAGAGCCAGATTGTGTCTGGGATTCATTGGCCCTGAGGGTAATGCAATGTTGTATAAAGTAAAATGATTCCTACCTTCATTTCAGTTCATTCATCAAATATTTGTGTTAGGCACTGTTCTAGGCATTGGGGGAAAAAATCAATGAGCAAAACAGACAAAAATCTGCTCTCTTATGGGGGAATATATTAAAAGCAAATGAGTAAACCGTATCTTGTATTAGAAGATTTGGAGAAAGATCCAGCAGGGAAGGAATGCTAGAGTGGTCTTAGAGAGGGTGGCCAGGTTTTCTAAGGAGGTAACGTTTGAGTAAAGATCTGAAGGAGTTGAAGGCATGAGCTATTTGTATGTCTAGGGGAAGAACATTCCAAAAAGATAGACTAGAAAGTACATAGGTCCTGGAGGTGGGAACATGCCTGCATGTCTGAGGAACACTGAGGGAACCAGTTTGGCTGCAGCAGAGGGGGTGGGGTGGGGTGAGGTGGTGATAGAGGTAGGTAGTGGAGGTTCCATCACTAAAGAGAGGGTTTTTTTTTGTTTTTTTGTTTTTTTGAGATGAGTCTTGCTCTGTCGCCCAGGCTAGAGTGCAGTGGCATGATCTCAGCTCACTGCAACCTCTGCCTCCTGGGTTCAAGCAATTCTCCTGCCTCAGCCTCCCAAGTAGCTGGACTACAGGTGCCCACCACCACGCCTTGCTAATTTTTGTGTTTTTAGTGGAGATGGGGTTTCACCATGTTGGCCAGGCTGGTCACCTGACCTCAAGTGATTTGCCCGCCTCAGCCTCCCAAAGTGATGGGATTACAGGCATGAGCCACCGCGCCCCACCTAAAGTGTTCTTAATATACATCCAGCAGGAGCTAGTCATGAGTAGCTGTGAGGAAGTAATAAAATAAGTCAGACTTAATTCCAGCTCTGGAAGGTTCACAGGCCATTGGGCAAATGAGTCTCTCAAAATGTAGAGAAATCACAGTGGTGGACAGTATGTTGTTATTTGTCAGGTGAGAGGTAGCATTGCTAGAGGTGTTCAGGGAATTTGAGCTGTAGGAGTTGGGCTGAGCTGGCCCTGTGGGATGAGGGCAGACTGGAAAGGAATGGTTATGAAGGCCTCAGGCCTGGGTGTGTGGGAACAAGGAGGACAGAATCTCTGTGAGGGACAGCTTAGAGAGGGGCTTCCCAGAGCATCAGGAGCCAAGACTGGATGGGTGAGATGGGACTGAATGTGAAGGACTTTGAATGCCGGGCAGACTACTTAGGTCTTGGTGGGTTAGGGAAGACCCACTTTCTTGGCAGGGAGGGCTGCTCTTGGCTTTTGCTCTTTGTGTCCCTCATGTACTTTTATGTGGTGACTTTGGACTGTGTGGCCAGCACTTGCTTTTCTGTCTTCTTGCCTGACATTTTGTTTTCAACAATACCTTCCCATCTCGTCTGGCCAAAACTTTTCTGTGTTAGGGGAGTAAGTTGGTATATAGAGGCAAGAGCTTAAGGCCTGGATTTAGGCATACCTGCACTCAAATCCCCAATTTCTTACTAGCTGTGTAACGACAGGAAAATTAATTAACTTCTCTGAGCCTGTTTCCTTATTCTTAATATGGGGTTTCTGATACCTACCTTGCAGGGTTCTAAGAACTAGAAATACCCTTTATAAAGCACTTGGCATATAGCAGTAGATGGTAGCAGTTACTGTCATCCTGTCAGTTGAATCAGGCTTAGCCATACAGTGCTGAGAACACTGCATTAAAAGAATGAAAGATCCTGCTGTTGGGAAGTAGCTCTGTACATGAGGCCCATCCAACCTGAGGGGGCCTGTTGCTTGGAGATACTGCTAGAATCCTGTCTCTCACCATCCCAGTTGCCTGGCACTCAGGGATACTTCTATACAACCTTAGTTGAATCTCACAAAAAGAGGTGTTGATCCTTCGTAAGTGAGGCACCCAAGACACAGATGGCTTCAGTGATTTAAATTGTGGTCATAATGTTAGAGGCAGAGCCAGGTCAGAGGATAGACATTGTGGCTCAGACACCTGCTCTTATAGGAGGGACTTGCCTCACAGTTTTCTAGTTACGGTGTCTGTAATCTACAGCTTTCAAATCAGGTGCCTGGCCCATCTCTGTACACCTCTTGGCTCAGCTGTTAGAATTATAGGACTTTTAGTGTGGCTAGCAATTGGATAAAGGCCAGGCACAGTGACTCATTCCTGTAATCCCAGCACTTTGGGAGGCTGAGGCAGAAGGATTACTTGAGCCCAGGAGCTCGAGACCAGCCTGAGCAACATGGCAAGACCCTGTTTCTGCAAAGTTAAAAAGTTAGCTGGGCATAGGGCTCATTCATGCCTGTGGTCACACCTACTCAGGAGGTTGAGGCAGGGGATCACTTGAACCCATGCTATTGAGGCTCCAGTGAACCTTGTTTACACCACTGCACTCCGCCTGGGCAACAGAGCGAGACCCTATCTCAAAAAATAGAAAAATAAATTGGATAGATAGGAGAGTGGAAGCCTTCACTTCAAGGTCATATACCTGGGATGACCAAACAGCCTTCATTCGCCTCTGAAGGGCTCCCCACTATAAACAGACCTTCTCTCATACATACTGAATAGTAAGTAAGTAAGGTATTATCTTCACTTCACCAAAGGAGAGGTCAAGAGACCTCAAAGCAAGAGAAAAGGAACCTGTGTTTCAGAGCCCAGCCTAGAACCCCAGGTTCTGACTCTCCCTCCCAGGAAGTTCCGGGCTGCTTTAGTTCCGCTGAAGAGTGCCCCCATCCTCACTTTGGATTAGCCCTGTGAGATATCTCAGGGTGTGGTTGACAAAGGGCCCTTATCCATCTCTAGTCTCTCTTGACACCACCCCCAAAGAATCAAACTAGCTGTTGCCAGCTGTGTGATGCATAGGTTATGTGAGTCTTTATCTGAAGAGGCAAGGTGGTTGGGCTCCTGAAAAAGGCAGAGAAGGCTACCTGATAATCGAGGTTTGAAATTAGAAGCAGATCCAAGGACTTGTGAGCCAGCCAGGGTAGGAGAAGTCTTAGTATCTCCCTGTGTAGCCAAATGACAGTAGCTGAGTGAGCTGTGTGCTATGGTTTCCTTAAACAAAAAGCAGAAGGATGGGAAGGAAATTGCAGTGTCTGCTCCTTGCCCTAGCCAGCAATATTTCCCCCCAAACTTTTATCTTGATCAGATCTTCTCTATCACCCAAGACCCATTTCTCACAGGGAAAGGAATAGCCATCCTCTCCACTCGTCACTGAGCCCTCCTGAGGTGGCTGCCTCACCCTGTAGCATGTGTTGGGAAGGGGGATTTCTGCACTCAGACTCACTGTGTGTGTCCTTGGCAGGCATGACCAACGGCTTTGGAAAACACACCGAAAGCGGGTCTGACTCTGAATGTAGTTTGGGTCTCAGTGGTGGACTGGCATTTGAAGCTTGCAGGTAAGAACACATTCCCAAAGCTTTGTCAGCAGCTCTGCTACCCCTCCTTTTACTCTCCATTCAGCTACAGATTGAACCTCTTCCTGCTTACCTTTTTCTCTCTTCCCCCACTCCTGCTATTTCCTGAGGCCTCTTATCTGTAACTCTGGGAGTTCCTAGGAAACAGGGTGACCCTTGACTCTCAGATCTGATCTGAGAGAGGAAGAGTAGTGCTGATGCTTACAGGGTTTGTGGGGCTGAATTTGGACTCTAGAGGATAAGAAAAGCTAAATCTCCTGTTGTTCAGTGAAATTAACATTTGAGCCAAAGTCCCCTGCTGCCCCTACACACATTTAGACAACCCAGCCATTACAGAGTTGGTTTTGCTCTTTGCCTTTTGGGGCGTCATAGCCTCTTTATAGAGGTGTGGTGTAGGTGTATGAAATGACCAAGTAGGAAATTTGGAATTGCCTTTTTTTTTTTTTTTTTGAGACGGAGTCTTGCTTGCTGCCCAGGCTGGAGTGCAGTGGCCCGATCTCGGCTCACTGCAACCTCCGCCTCCTGGGTTCAAGTGATTCTCCTGCCTCTGCCTCTTGAGTAGCTGGGAGTATAGGCACGTGCCACCACGCCTAGCTAATTTTTGTATTTTAGTAGAGATGAGGTTTCACCATGTTGGCCAGACTGGTCTTGAACTCCTGACCTCAAGTGATCTGCCCGCCGCAGCATCCCAAAGTGCTGGAATTACAGGCGTGAGCCACTGCGCCTGGCCTGGAATTGCCTTTTATTCAGACAAAGGCCCCAAAGCTCTTCTGCTGTCCTTGAGCTGAAAAGAGATGGATTTCTTCCCATTCTTTTATCTGAAGGGAGGATTTCTCAGACCAGACCTTAAAGTTTCTTCCAGGCACAAGAGCTTATGGAGCCCCTGCTCTGTGTTCTGTGTTCTGCAAGACACCAGGGCGGGGAGGACTCTTAGAAATGAGAAACCCTCACTGCCACAAAGGAAAAGTGACTTGTCCTGAAGGCTAATGTCATGGCCCCACCCATGACTGCTGAATGGGTCTTAGGTTCAGAGTAGGGGAGGAAAGGTCCCAGGGCAGCACCAGAAGACTATTTGTGTTTGAAGTGCTTCCAAGGCAGACTGGGCATGTGTTCTTTTAGGCATTCAGTCTACCTGGGCTGTAGGACTACTGGTAGGGCTGAGGGGGTCCCCAGCTACTCGTTGGCCTGGACTGGTTCCCTGCTGTGGTTTCTCTGAGATTCCCCTACCCCCCGCCAACCCTCAGAGTTGCCCTAGCTTCCTATTGCAGCCTCCAGAGATATAGGGGAAGTAGATGGGAAAAAATTATCAGGCACAGGAAAGAGAAAGATTTCAGAATCTTACACGATGCTTCTAGCCTGGCCCTGGGTTGAAGTTCCTGACTCCCTTCAAAGATAAGGTACCTGGAAGCCCACTTTGTTGGGGTCAGGGTAGGATTGGACCCATCAAACTATCCTTTTCTTGCTCTTGACTAAAAGTGAAAGGTGTGTTGTTGGCCCCTTCTTCTATGAAGGGCATTCTTTTCAGCTATGAGCCACAAGAGCAAGCAAGGCCAGGCTCTGGTTAGCCTGCTAATTCAGGTGGCGTGTTTGCCTTTCTGCAGAACTCCAGTGCAATGCCCTTGATTTATCTGGGGCCCCTTGGAGGAAGTATGTATTAATATTTCAGGGTTTAAAATAGGAGATCCAAAGGCTTCAACTGCAAGGGTTGTTTTTCTTTTTCCCCCCATACTGTGGTAATAAGTATATAAGGGAAGACCTTATTTATTAGACCAGAATCATATAATCCCAGAATTAGAAATAACCTTGAAAGAACTGGTCACTAACCCATCCCCCACACTCCCTTTTTCACTTACCCCTTGGTTTATCTTTTCTGATGATTTTCTGAGCAGGTTGGTGCTACATGTGCTTTCTATAGATCACTCATTCAAATATTGATAACTGAACACCTACTGTATGCCAGGTACTGTTCTAAGCACTAAGGTGCCTGTTCTCATGAAGATTATCTTCTAAGGTGTCTGTTCTCATGGATATGGATGTTAAACCAGTAAATAAGATAACTGTAGGTTGGGTTGTCTGCTTAGGCTGGGGTAACTTGGAGAAAGGGCTGAAATGCAGGCCATGATTGAGTCAGTTGTGCTTTTTTCTACAAATCAGGAACATACAGACCTATTTTTGGTGTTGCATCCTATTTTATTGAGCTCATCCTTCTCAGAGCTCATCATTCTATAGTACAGTATTAGCAGTTTGTAATACTTTAAGTAAGACATTAAAATTTACTATCCTTCGTATGACAATAACTACAGCTGTGTTTATTGACTGCATGGTATGTGCTGTACTGAGAGTTTTATGTGTGTTCGTTCATTAATCCTTACAACAACACATGGGGAGTGTAAGCCTCGGAGAAGTTAAGTAACTTGCTGAAGGTTACAGAACTGATAACAAGAGCTGGGTTTTGAACCCAGATAGGCTCCAAGAGTTTAATTTCTTAACTACTTTGCTGTGCTGTCTTCTGTTGTATTTGAAGATGTCTCCCCAGATTCTTGATGTGAACTTTGATTTGTTTTTCTTTTTCTCATCTTGACGTGAACTTTGAGAGGCTTTCCTGATAAAATTACTAGCACTTTACATTTGTACAAGGCCTCAATTTCTCTAATATGTTGGCAGATTTTTATAGGGTAAATGGGAACTAAATCCTAAATGTAAACTGGGTATTTTTTGTTTTTTCCCAAACAGTTTCTATTTTGACTAGCAATAAAAACTACCAACCTAACTACAGGTTACTGAAAAATTATGATTCATTGGGTTTTGGTTAAGCAAAGTTTTCTTAGCATACGTTCCTGATAAAGTCAGTTCTGATTCAGTAAAACGGGAGTACCCTACTCTCCAACCAGTCCCTACTCCTGGCTGTTTCTTATCCCACTAGGGGTTTCTTTAAGCATTTCTGCTTTTCTGCAGATTGATGACCTATTCTTTAAGCATTTTTTAGTGAGAAAATTTAAAGTTATATAGGAGTAATATTATTTTTTGAAGTTTGGATGGAAAAAAGTGCTAGCCATATCATTTTTGCCCAGAAGCTACGGTGTACATTAGAATTGTATGGGGAACAATTTGAAAATACTGATGATGCCCGGGTGGGCTTCAGTTGCAACATTGCTTTGGTATTGCCATTCTAATTTTTGCTTATCACTTTTTAGTCTTTGTGTAATATACATTTTGCCTCTTTGCAATAGTCATGAAACAAAAATTGGTCTACTTTTTTTTTTTTTTTTTTTTTTTTGAGATGGAGTCTTGCTCTGTCGCCAGGCTGGAGTGCAGTAGCATGATCTTGGGTCACTGCAACCTCCAACTCCCTGGTTCAAGTGATTCTCCTGCCTCAGCCTCCTGAGTAGCTGGGAGTACAGACACGTGCCACCACGGCCAGCTAATTTGTGTATTTTTAGTAGAGATGAGGTTTCACCATGTTGGCCAGGGTGGTCTCGATCTTCTGACCTCGTGATCTGCCCAGCTCAGCCTCCCAAAGTGTTGGGATTACAGGCGTGAGCCACCACACCCAGCCCACTTTTTACTTTAAAAAATCCACTTCTCTCTATCCAAGAAAAACTTCACACATAAACCATTTGGAAGTGAGAAGTGCATTTTTTTTTCCAATTTAAAAATGTCTTTTCTAATTAAGGAAGTATGACATGTCCACTTTAGAAAATTTGGCAAAGAGGCAAATTTTTGAATCTCAAAAATAAATTGGTTTCTAAAGAAAAGCGATGTGAACCAGAGCAAAGAATTCTGGGCAGATGTAAGATGGCCCCTGTCATGGCAAAGCTGCTTAGACGCTGGAAGGATTGACAAATGACTGGTGTGACCTTTCCTTTGGATGAAGTCCAAGGTTCCTGAGCAGGGAACTGAGCAACTCCTTCCAGGTTCAGTCCTTCCATGTAGATGAAATGGTTCCTCAAAACCTCATGGGAACTTTTCAGTCAAAAACATGGGTTAGTGTGAGTTTTTAGGGGAAGGTGAGAAACTGTCCTCCCTGAAGAGTTTTTGCAGCTCCACTCCTGTCAGAGAGGGGAGAGGGGAGAAGGGGAGTCGGCGTTTTAGTCATTGAAATTGCTCATTTCACCCCTCTCTCCCTGCTCTGTGTGCAGTGGTCTGACGCCCCCCAAACGCAGCCGTGGGAAGCCAGCCCTGTCTCGAGTGCCCTTCCTGGAAGGTGTGAACGGAGACTCTGACTACAATGGCTCAGGTGAGGAGCAGTGTTCAGGCAGAACTGAGGGGGCCAGGCCTTCTGAGGAGCCAGCTCTTCAGGCTGCTGCACTGCTGGGGCTCCGTACCAGGCAGCCAGTCCTTGAGCTCCCCCAAACTCTTGGGCCCTTGGGCAGGGAGATGGCACTCTCCCAGGCCAATCATACTCTTTTTTTTTTTTTAATTGCATCTTAAATTTGAATAGGTTGTACATGCCCATAGTAATAAAAATCAAAAAGGTACAAAAGAGTGTATAATGAAAGCTAGCACTCCCCTCCCTGGAACATCAACTGCTAGCATTTTCTTTTATATCTTTCCAGAGGTAATCCATATGTATACAAGCCAAAACTTGCATGAATAATTAAGAGAGTGAGTGGAGAAGCCTAATATGCACATGTTCCTCTAAACCATTCCTTTTTTTCCAGCTAATAATATATCTTGGAGATCCTTCTGTGCTTTTTATTGGCTTCCCAGTGTCCCATTATATAGGAATGCTATCATTTGCTTAGCCAGTCCTCTAAAAGATGGACGTTTAGATTGTTTTCATTTATTATCGTAACCAGTGTTGCAGTGAGCAACCTTATGCATAGATAATTTTATATCCATAGGGAGCCTATCTATAGAAGTGGAATTACTGAATTGAAGGAAGTGTGTGTTTGTAGTTTTCATGGATACTGCCTGTCCCCATTCACAAACGTTATCAGTGATAGCCTGTATCACTGAATCTCGCACATACATAACCCTGTAGTTTTATGGGCCTTGTCTCCTTGGATAAAAGGAATAAAGGGCAGGGCAGGACCTGGGGGAGAGGCCTGGGGTGGTGCTTAGGTGGGACAGGTGCAGAGCAGGCTGTTCTCTGAGCTCATCTCTGTCCAGCCCTGCTATACAGGGGTGTGTGCTCCCTGGATGCCCTGTCTTTGAAGTGTCCATCTAACACACAGGCTGCAGGGCTTCTCTTCCTTCGTTCCTTTACCCAACTGCTTTATTTTCCCTTAGCATCAGTTTCTTTCTCGTATGTGTGTTGATGAATGCATGCCTGTGTGTTTCATTGCTTTCTGTAACTGTCAGTTCCCAAAAGGTCAGGCTCATGTCTAAATGAATTTGTACAGCATCTCACACAAAGCCAGGAGTGGATTGGCACACTTTGTGCTTCTGGTGGTGACATCTTATTCTTACTTTTAAAACCACATGCTTACTAAAATTACGCCAAAGGATATTGACCTCCCATAGTTCCATCACTGTAACATGATTGTCTTCATTTTTCTGTGTTGCCTTCTGTTTATTTCAGGCACATTTTTAACAAAATGCTGACCCAAACACATGCACTTTTGTATTCTACTTTTTTCAATTTTTTTTTGTACTTTCTTCATGTTGACACATAATCTTTATATATCTCATATTATTGGAACAGTGTATCTAACAATGCATTATAATTTACTTAACCATTCTATTGTTAGGCATTTGGGTTGTTTCCGGCTTTTAGCATTATATGTAATGTAGTGAACCCATATTTTTGTTTAAAATCCTTTTATTCATCTTTAAAGTTATTTTTCTCAGAATAAATTCCCAGGGAAGGAATTTACTGGAACAGGTGGTTCATACATTTTTTAAATGGCTCTTCAGACATACTGCCAAATTACATTCCATAAGGATGGGTTTGGTCTGTAATTGCATCAGTAGTATGTGATTGCACCAGTTTCTACTCAGTCTACCTCTTTGGTATTGGATTTTATCTTTTTATTGTTACTGCTATTGATTCAATAGGTGCAAAATAGTATCTTATAATTTTAATACATTTTTAAAAATTACAAGTGGAGTTAAGCACAGTAGCTCATGCCTGTAATTCCAGCACTTTGGGAAGCCAAGGTGGGAGGGTTGCTTGAAGCCAGGAGTTTGAGACCAGCCTGGGCAACATAGTGAGATCCTATCTCTACAAAAAAATAAATAAATAAAATTTTTTAAAAAGTGAGGTAGTAATATTTCCTTAGAAATAACAATTTCCACCCTGTTAGATTTGGACTTTTTTCCTTGGTTGAGTGTGGTCACCTGCCCATTCCAGTGTATAGATGTGGGGAGGGAAAGAGTGGTTCTTCTGTGTGTTCAGAAGCATCTGTGAAGCACTCATTCACATGTGTTAGTGCGTTGAGTGCAGAGCAAAGTAAGATGAAAGGATGCAGTGCCTGCTCCAGGGATACCCAGTCTCATTTCTGACAAAAGAAGGCATGTGAAGGACTTGCAGACTGCTTAGCTCTGCTGAGTGCCGTGCATCCAGGTGTCCTAGATGGCTAGGTGTGACCCTGTCAGAAAATAACTCAGTTAGCAAGTAATTTTACCAGGATGTCTTCCCTGGCATCTTTGTCCATGAAGCCTCCATCATGAGGACTCCGCACTCAGGGAGGCCCAGAGAGCAGTATGTGGCATTGCCCAAGCTGGATTATGGCCCTTCTCCCTAAGGCCATGAGGATGAAGCAGTTAACATTTTTCCAGGGAAAGCTGTCTTAGGGTTCTAGTTCAGAGGTCGGTAAACTATGGCCTGTAGCCTATTTTTGTATGGTCCATGGGCCAAAAATGGTTTTTACATTTTGAAATGATTGAAAAGAAAATCAAAAGAAGAATGATATTTCATAACATGAAAATTACATGAAATTCAAATTTCAGTGTCCAAAAAATAAAGTTTTATTGGGACATAGCCATGCTCATTCATTTATAGATTGTGTGTGTGGCTGCTTTCATGCTATAACAACAGCAGTGTTGAGTAATTGCAACAGAGGCCGTGTTGCCCACAGAAGCTAAAATATTTACTATTTGGCCCTTTACAGAACTAGTTTGCTGACCCCTGATCCAGTCTAACTTCTAAGGAAAGGAGAGGGAAAAGGAAGGGTGGAGGGGATGTTGTGACTCATTCCTGGGTTGCCCCAGTCAAGTGGAGGCCACAGGCAGGCCTTTTGGGCACCATTCCAAGTCCCCTTTGGGTGCTGTCTCCTCCCCTCCCCCACCCCCAGGCAGAAGCCTCCTGCTGCCCTTTGAAGACCGCGGAGACCTGGAGCCCTTGGAGCTGGTGTGGGCCAAGTGCCGAGGCTACCCCTCCTACCCTGCCTTGGTGAGTCTGCCCCAGACGCCACCCTCCTATCTCCCCTGCCTTGCCTTGGGGGCTAATCTGATTGGATTAAGCCAGCAGAGTGTGGTGGGAGTCAGAGTGTCTTTAGCTGTAGAGGGGAGGGGGGTTTTGCCCCAGCCTGAGTGGGTCAAACTAGCAAGGCTCCCAGCTTGGAGCACTAAAAATAGGCTAAAAGTATGCAGATCAAGGCCAGGGTTCTTAGAGTTTTAATAGCATTTATTTATTTCCTTATGCATAAAAGTAACAGGGCCCATTTTAGAGAATCTTTAAAGCTACTGATAATGCTTAGACGTTTTATTAAATATTTGTCATGCTAAGTCCTTGAAATACTGAGGAAAGTATGATTATTACATTTTGTAAGAAGAAAACTGATGATTTGTGGTCATTCAGCTAATAAATGACAGGGTTGGAATTTGAGCCCAGGGCTTAAAATGTGTGATGTCAAAGCCTGTGTTCTGAGCCACTGAGTTCAAAATCATCCACAGTCCTGCAGGGATAACTTGGGGTGTATATCCACTTACTCTTTTACAAAAAATGTATAAATATGCATATATATGAGACCATATTGCTTTTAGCCTCCCTTTCACTTAACAGCATATCATGAACATGCACATCTTATGCCATTAAACATTCTTCATCAACATCACTTTTAATGATTGCATCGTCTTCAGTTGTATGCATGTACCATATTTTAACCATTCCCTAGTTGGTCACTTACATTGTTTTGAATTTTTCACTATGATAAACAGTTGGCAATAAACATCATTGTAGTTTTACCCTTGTGCACATCCATGATTATTTCCTTACAGTGAATTCTTAGGAGTCCCTTCTTGGGGCAAAGTCTATGCAGAATTCTGATACAAGTTGCCAAGTTGCTGGAAGTTCATTTTGGTTTATACTCACACCAGCAGTAACTAAACTTTTCATTTCTGTCATAGTAGTAGCAGTTAAAAATTCAATTTTTACCACCTTGATTGTTATTTCTGAACTCTTTCTCAGTTGGGGAGGTAGTGTCCACCTAGCTCTGGAAGATACCACTGATACTAAACCTTTGGGGCATGTCAGAATAATCTGTGGAAATTTTTAAAACAATACCCATATCAAGTCACCTCCACCCCAGCGCTATCAAATTAGACTCTCTGAGGCCAGACTGAGGCATCAATATTTTTTAGAAAACATCCTAGATGATCTGTAGCCAGGGTTGGGAACCACCCCACCAGCCTCTTACATGTATACAGGACTCTGGGTTTCTCCTAGCCCCTTCATATCTGCAACTTTTAACAGCAGCCTTTTAAGATAAGGAGAGGAGGAATTCTGATCCTGTTTGGTCAGATAAGGAAATTATAGCTCAAAGAGGTTGTATTAATACAGTTTGTTGGAACCATATTGGAAACCATGTTGCCTACTCTACTCCCTCCTTAGCAGTAGCAGGTGGGGAAAATCCATACTGTGACCTAGCAGCTGAAGAGTTAGGGCCTGGGGCTGCCTGCCTTCACAGGGCTCTCTGCCCTGCCAGCGGTGAAACCGCAGGACTCCCAGCTCAGTCATTAAAGAAGTGATTAAGCTGTGCAGGTTTGGATTTAAAAAACAAACAGACAGAATACCTCACAATGCAAAAAAACTAGTCTAAAACTCGTCTTTTTTTTAATTACCCTCTTAATTATACATTTTGTCATGATTAAAGAAATTCAGCCACCACCTGAACACAACCTGTGTTTTTATTTTGGTGTATGCTCTCCTAGTCTTTTTCCTATGCATTCTTCAGTATGTATTTGCATCCATAAATAGTGGATATAAAGTTTTTAATTTTTTCTGGCTCTTGTCTTTTTTTTCTTGTCTTTTAAACATTTTTTCTTGTTTTTGTTTTTGTTTTTGTTTGTAAGAGTAATATACTGCATTATAGAAGTTTGGAAAAATAGAGGCGAAAAAACACAAACCCCACCATTCTAATGTTGACTCCAAGCATTTTGTATCGTTCTATTTATTGTTCGCATATTCATATTATAGTTGTAATAATAGTGTATGTACACATATGTTAAGTTTTATCACAAACTTTGTTACCATGTTGTTTTACATTTGCATAGTATTCATTGAATGAATGGACCATTTATTATTTTGGGACACAAAAGCTGTCCTCAGTTGGCAGACTTACCCACCTTGCTTTTGCCCTCAGGGGAAATTTTTCACAATCTACCCTCTGCAAGCACCCTGGGTTCCAAGGCAGGAACCAGCATGCCTTAGTCAAGAGGAAACATATCAGAGTAGCCTCACTGTCTTGTTTGGTAATCAAGGAAGCTTACAAGGGCTTGTATGGTGGTTCTCCTTAAGACCCTTTACTTCAATCCCAGGAGGGACAGACAGGCTGGGAGAGAGAGTTTTGATCAAATTACACACCTGGTGGGTGGGGTAAGGTGGTTCTTCCTTAGAGTAAACTCCTAACCAGAACAGCTGCTTTCAGCTGCTTATCTTGAGAGGGATGTAGTGAAATTGGCAGACAAGCAAAGGTAAATAATGAGAGCAGTTTATTGTAAGAAGGGGCCCACTGGGACAGCGTATAGGAAGTAAGATTGCTCTGTCTCTGGAGAAGGCTGCTTCCTCAGTAAGTTCCTAGTCTTTGCTCCCAGAGCTATTAGCTGTCTGCTCTGGAAGCAGGGGCTGTGTAGGAGGCAGTGGGCTGTGGAGGCCCAAGCCTTGTTTGGTTTTAGTACCAATGTGGTTTTAGCCAGCTACATTCTGCTTCTGTGCTTGGTGTTTTCCTCTTGTCAGCTAACACCTGTTAGCAGACTTCTCAGCATCAGCAAGAGATTGAAATGAGATGATGTGTGAATAATTAGGAGCTTTGGAAACTTTGAAAGTGCTCCCTAGACCTGGATTTTGATTGTTGTGTTGATGCTGCCAGGCATTTTGCTGAGCACCTGCCGTCTCTGAGCCAGGCAAGGTGGGGCTGGATGCCAGAAGCAAACCTGAAGGAGAAGGGCCCAGCTGCTGCCCTTGTGGAGCTTATTGCCTCAAGGATTAATGCCTCCAGTGGCCCTTGTTTCCACCCACATCATACCCCCCTCTCCATCAACCTCCAAGCTCATTCTCTAGCTATACACTGAGCCTCCTCTCTGATCTTACCATGGAGGTGTCACAAATATATCTGGTCCATGTATCAGGAAGGATTGTAGTCAGACAGGAAGGTAGTGGGTAACCAGAGACCTCGTTAGAACCAACTGGATGGCCTTCCCGATGCAAAGCCTTCTTCATAGCCGTGGTACCTAGGGAAGGCCCCCAAACATTTGAGGTGAATTGCAAAGGTACTAAGGGGAAATTGACAGGAAAAAAAAAGTGACCTCTACTCTTCTGTCCTAAGGGACATTGGAGGAAGGGGTTTGCCTGTCTGGTCTGGACATCAAAGATATCCCACTCAGGCCTGATACTCCCCTGGTGTGGGTGCTTCAGCAGTTGGTCCTGCAGCAGGGGCACTGCTCACCCTGGCCTCCCTCACTGAGTGCCCATCTTCTATTCTGCCTCCAGATCATCGATCCCAAGATGCCCCGGGAGGGCCTCCTGCACAATGGCGTTCCCATCCCTGTCCCCCCGCTGGACGTGCTGAAGCTGGGAGAGCAGAAACAGGCAGAGGCTGGAGAGAAGCTCTTCCTTGTCCTCTTCTTTGACAACAAGCGCACCTGGTTAGTGGGTGCTGCTGTGAGGGGGCTGAGGGGCACGCCAGGGGTCTGTGCCAGTGGTGCTGTGCTAGTGAGGTGTACAGAGGGGCCATGGATGTTACCAGTTACCCTGGTCTCCACTTGCCAGCAACAGGCCTGCACTTGGCATGTTAATAGTAACTGAGGGGTGTTGCAGATCAGATTCCCTGGGAAACACTCTGAGGTCGAGACTTGCATCAGGAGGCTATTGAGGAGAGCTGTGGGGCGGGAGCGATGCAGCACTGGGCAGAAGTTGAACTACAGCCCACTTGCTGCCTCAGCTCATCCACTGGGCACATCTGGAGCTGGGTGGCTCAACAAGATAAGAGATGTCAGGAATTGGGCCTGTGCCTTTTTGCCCTGTGCCAACTAGTTATTCAATGCCACTGCCCTGAGGGAGGGGTGTGGCCTGGGCCTGAGGCTTCCATGGTGGAGAGTGATTCCTAGAGAGGGACTCAGATGAGAGCCTGTGAGCTTCCAGCACTTCCAGTAGCTTCTGGGAAGCATGTTTCCGTCCTGAGGGGGGTTCTGGCCAGTGCAGTGTCCGCTACAGGAGACTTGCTCATTTATGGTTTACAACACTTAAGGTTTCTCTTAGCACCAACAAGAGAGTGCTTTCACCTTAGCTTCTATAGAGTGAGGAGGGAGAACTAGCTAATAAAAACAGTGATAATAGTAGCTGCCATTGAGTGCTTACTCCATGTCCTTATGCAGATTGCTTTATATATCTGATCTCTTTTAATCCTCATTTAAGTCTTCATTAATCCCCTCATAATCCATTTTGCAGATGAGGAAGTTGAGGCTCAGAAAGTCCAGACCCTGTAGCCAGAACTAAGATACAAAACAAGATCTTGCTCCAAAGGCTGTATCCTTAGCCACATGTTATATTCACCCGGGGAGCTTTAAAAACACATACACAGTGTGCAGGTCCCACCACAGATGAGTTTATCAGTTCCTGGCATCAGCTCTACTTCCTAGCCATCGCCCCCTAATTCTCCAACGCAAGGCGAGGCTCAGAGCCCTCCAGGGTGGCTCAGCTGGCCCCAGAGGGCAGCAGGTGGGCCTTTCTTAGCCTATGGACCCTTACAACTCTCCAAACAGAGTAAGGGCCCAGAGAAGGACCTAGCTGCAAAATTGATTCCATGCCATTCCCCCACCCGACTCCTGCATATCCTGCTTGCTGTCCTCACCTGCTAGGTTCTTGGTGGCCTCCTGCATGGAGTCCCCCAATTTGCTTCCCTCTGCCCTGTACCCTCTCCCTGGCTTTGCTGGTCCTGGCCAAGTGGGGCCACAGGAGCCCGAGCCCCCTGTGAGACCCACTACTGCCCAGCCTCTTACTGTGCTTGCATTTCAGGCAGTGGCTTCCAAGGGACAAAGTCCTGCCCTTGGGTGTGGAAGACACCGTGGACAAGCTCAAGATGCTGGAAGGCCGCAAGACCAGCATCCGCAAGTCAGTGCAGGTGGCCTATGACCGTGCGATGATCCACCTGAGCAGAGTCCGGGGGCCCCACTCCTTCGTCACTTCCAGCTACCTGTAAGGGCAGGGCTGGGCCTGCATCCGCTTGCCCTGCCTCCATCCCGCAGGGCACAGAGAAGCCTCTTCTGCCCCTGCCAGATGTATGGCCGGCAGCTTCCCCCTCTCATGGTAGGCCAGGGACTGGGCTTTCTCCCCACTAAGGGCAAGGCCCCAGTTTTGACCAATCGCATGGTTCTCCTGGCAGGCCTGCTGTGTGCCAAAAACTCCCACCCAAGGTCCCTCAGGGGATATTTCACTGAAGAACCAGTTAGAAGTAGAAACAGCTGTGGGGCTTGGGCCCAGCTTAGGAGATTGCCCAGATGGCAAGAGGTCCTGGGCTCCTTCTTGAGGGGCTGCCTGGCCCGCTCCATCCTACTCCCACTAACTACACCTCAGGGCGGGTGAGGTTCCGACACTGATCCCAGAGATGCCGTGGATACGCCAGGGTCCCAGGGGGAATCTCCCCAAGCTCACACTCTCTCCCGCTTATCGCCTATTCTCACACCTCTTCTCGGTCCCATCTTCTGCACCCATTGCCCAGTCTTGCTTTCTCTTTCCCATATTCCTTTTCTTTTTCTCTTGTGCCAAACTGACAGAAACCGTCACCACACTGGTCTTTTTCTTTAATGTCTCATTCCCCTTGAGGCCAGCTGCTATGCCAGGTGGTGTCTCTGCCAGGCTCCTCAGGCCCAGACAGAGGCCAGCCCACAACCTATGACCCCCTCCCCCAGGACACCACCTCCCACCCACAGACCTTCCCTTTAGCTGTTGACACAACTTCCCAGCTCTGCAAGTGTGCCCCCTGGATCAAGGCGGGTCCCCTCTTGTTTTTTTCTTTGCTGCCACGAGGTGGTCCAAGCCTTCAGGGTGGGCTCCTATCAGGCTGGGTGTGCGAGTGTCCATCTGTCCACATGGATGTCGAGGGTGGTTTGTGTGGAGCTGTGCTCGTCAGCTGGGTCTGCCCTCTTCCCCCTTTTCTCCTTCTTCTCTCCTCATGGACTTTTTCTGCAATTGCAGTCTTAAGCTTCACTCTCCACCACCTGGATGGCATGGCGCCTGCCACCAAACATCTTCCTGGCCTGCGCTCTGCCCTGCCCTGCCTAGCCTCTGCTACTCCCACTTCCCAACTCCAGGGAATGCATTACTTTTATTTCAAACCCTCTGCCTCCTTCCTTCTTTCTCTTCAACCCCCTCCCCACCTTCACCTTCTCAAAAATGGAAGGAAAAAAAAACTGTGAATGGGGAATGCTGACTGACAAACCAACACAACTTTCAGAGGCTTCAGTGTCTGTTCTCTGGACATTTCTTTTCACCTCCTGAGCACCAAAGTCGCAGGGCCAGTTGCAGGCCGCTGATTGCCATGTTGATTTTTAACCTGATATTCTTTTTAATTGTTTTAAATTTTTCATAGGGGAGTTTTGGACAAAACAGTCACTGGGGAGATCACTGCCATTTTTACACACTTGACTTTTTAAAAATACAACCAACCAACCACCACAACTTCTTATACATTTGGGACATGAGCCAGAGTTTAAAAGGGAACCAACAAAACACTATAACTTAAAAGGATGGGGTTTTGGATTTTGTATAATAATAAAAACAATACAGCATATGGCTAGGGAAGGACATGGTGTATATAATTGTAAAATACTGTTCTAAATTATTCAGGCCTATAGTTTCCATTACTGGAGTCCTCCATTGTGTGGCCACACAGTGTCGTTGATTTAAAGGAGCCAGTGCTTCCCCTCTCCCCAGGTAGTTGGTCAGCTGTGGACTCTGTGACCTTTGTCTAAACCTGTGTTGTAAGATCTTGGGACTTCCTCTCTTTCTATGTCTATCTCTTCCCCCCAACACTTTCTCTTCTTAGTCTCTCTCTTTATTTTTCAATCTCTGAATATTTTAGTCTCTCTCTGAGTCTCATTTTTTAAAATGCTCTTTTAGAACGGGAAACGGCTCAGATCCTGCTGTGGCACGGGGCCTATGTGTCTCTGTCGCGTCTGCTGTGAAGCACATGATGCTCTATTTATTGTAGAGAGTGACTTTATTTGCTTTCTAGAATTGTTTATAACAGATGGTATAAGAGAGGTAATAAACAGAGAAAAATCTATGCTTGTAAAGAATACAAAAGTTAATTTTACCTACTATAATATGACTGTCTGAAACTTATTTTCTCTCTGAGAAATAAATGTTCTAATGGGCAGTAGTTGCTGTGTTGTGTTTAATCAGTAGGGGCCTACCCCTGTCTTCCCATTCCCTACAGCCTCCTCCTCAACAGGCCAGGACCATTAAGAAAGTTTCCTAGCTAGCGAGGGCTGTATCTTTCTTTTTTTTTTTTTCTTTTGAGACAGCGTCTCTGTTGCCCAGGCTGGAGTGTAGTGGCATGATCATAGCTCACTGCAGCCTCGATTTCCTGGGCTCAAGAGATCCTCCTACCTCATCCTCCCCAGTAGCTGGGACTACAGGCACGTGCCACCATGGCCAGCTGTTTTTTTGTTGTTGTTGCCCAGGCTGGCCTCAAACTCCTGGACTCAAGCAATCCTCCCGCCTTGGCCTCCCAAAGTGCTAGGATTACAAGTGGGAGCCACCATGCCCAGCTTCTGTCTATCTCTTGGACCCCTAGGAGCAGTGTGAGGATGTTCTCTGACTTTGCTTCCCTCCCGGACAGCGCTGGCACCTTCTGGGAGCTGTTGGAAGGTCCATCCTACCTTCCCATGCCTCGCCTTCCCTGTGGCCATGTTCCTTTAGGAGCCTCTGCTCCTCATTCAGAAGGAGAGTGACCCTTTGGACACACCTGACTTACCAAGCTTGCTGAACTTGAGACTCAAGGATGCTCACACCTCTTATGTCACTGCTGCTGTTTTAATTCTGTAGATGGGTAGCTGGGACACACACAGGGGAATATAGGCCTCACTCCTCTTAAAGCTGGAAGGCATCCTTAAGCCTACCTGGTCTTCATTTTACAGACAAGGAAACAGACCAGCAAAATTAAAAGACCAAGGTCAGCCAACTAAGAAACTGTGGCATAATTCTGAGACAAGGATCTGGCCAAGGCTTTGTTTATGGGCTCCACAGCATTTCAAGACTCCACTGGCCTATTCTGTATCGTGTTCCTCTCTCAGTGGCTGTGGCTCTGGCATTTCTGGATAGGAATGTCCTGAAGAGCAGAAGCAGAGGGGAGTTCCCAGAGACAAACTGCTTGGTTGCTGGGCATAGAATAGCTTTTCCCCTGTCCCTACTCCTATCCCATTCTGGTCCTACCTGGCTCCTATGCTTGTCTCGGTGTGGCTGAGGACTCGGGTCTCTTGATCACTTCCTCCACGGGGCCTTTGACAGCCTTGTCATTGAAGTCAAAAAAGTGTCAAAGTTCTCATTTTGGCCTAACACTGACAAAGTACTGCCAATGTGCTGATAATCCTTGTATTACGTGTTGGGGCTGCAAAGACACACACCCCTGGTCTCAAGACACTCACAACCTGATTTATAAGATACATCTCACATAACGCCGCATAAGGCCAGTGTGAGGGTCCCAGATATGTGGAGGCGTTTGGGAGAGACATGTTTGGTTGGGGAGTAATGAAAGCCTTCAGAAGCAGCAATTAATTCAAGCCTTGACAAATGGGGTTAGGAAAGACTTTATTTATGAATTGTAAGTTGAATTACAAAGACGTTTGCAAAATATTTACAAAATATTTAGGGTGAAATTACAAGCTCATTCTATAAACCATTTTAGAAATAAAAGTGGCCAGATGGGTAGGATTTTAGCAGGCGAGGCTAAGAAGAGGAGACAAAGTCATGGCTCAGAAAGAGATTGTGCATATTCCAGCTCCAGTGACTAGCTGACCTCCCACGTGACTGGAACCCACCGAGGTGGCGAGCAGTATATCGGGCTTAAAAGCCCTGTCACTGTCACTCACTCTGTGACCCTGGGCCTCTCTGAGACTGACGTAATAAAGGATCCCAAAGACAGGGCAAGGTGGGTGCCATTCATATATGGCAGGTAGCAGCATCCATTGAAAGATTTGAACAGGGCAGAGACTTGATTGGAGCTTGGCAACTAACTAAACATCAAAGTTAAAAAGCAAGAGTGTTAAGACAGGATGCTGGGTGGCTGCTGGAGGGATCGCTGTGGGTTTTGAAGGGAGGAGAAAGTGTAGGTTTTTTGATGAGTTTGTGTTGTCTATGGGACATCTAAGAAAAACCTCCAGCAAACAGATGGGAGTTGAGCCCAGAATTCAGGAGAAAGATGGGAGCAGATGACAGAGATGTGGGCACAGTGGAGCCCACCTAGGCAGTTAGAAGAATGGCCAAGGACAGCAAGGAAGGCGAAGGACAGACATGAGGAAAGCCCCTTACACTTAGAGTCTGGGGTTGGGGGAAAGGGGGAGACAGCACCTTTTGAGGGGTCTGTTCTCCAGGGAGGGCCTCACAGGGAATGTCAAGCCCTCATGCCACAGATGGAGGAGAAAGGCAGGTCAGATGTGCTTAGCATCACAAGGCAGGAAAAGGCAGGGCTGGACCAGAACTCAGCACCCACTCAGCCCTTTCTGCTCTCCACGGACTTATATATTACCCAAAGTAGGCAAAAGTGTCCTTAATAAATTTTATCAATGATGTGACTGAAATTCATGAACTCAAGTCTAAAATGATACTGTAATATTGGGACATGTGTTGGAGACACTCTGACTCTCGGAATAGAGAATCCCATTCTCCTAACAAGTTAAAAAATATCATTGAAAGCATTTGCCAAAATCCCTTGTCAGCTTGGCTGCTTCCATTAATATATTAGATGCCATTAGCACCTGAGTGTGAATGTGCCAGTGCGTCAGATGGGCTCTCCTGACCTGGCTAGGCTCTGAGTTTCACTTTTAGAGAAGAGGTGGGGCTAGTGGCAAGACTGCCAGGCTCGGAGTAGTGCTGAAGGAGAGAGGGAGGGTGTGGGCCTTGACTACCCTGAGTCTGCAGGCCTCCCACAGTGTCTGCAGTCGGGCAATGAGTGTGCAGGTCTCTGGTCCTGCTGGCTGCAGCCTTCTGGCCTCTACTGAAGCTGGGATGAGGGAAGGAGGTCTTTGGAGGAGGGAAGTGGTTTCTCCAAAAGGTGGGGCAGAAGTTTCTTACTCTGTGATGAGGAAGAAGGGCCAGGGAGATACGTGCTGGGCTAGAGCTGGAGAGGAGTGCTGGATCCACCCTGGTGATACGAGAGAAGGGCAGGGAAGTGCTGGGTAGAGAAGAATGGGGTCCCTGGTGAGGGCTTCACCCTCAGGCCTGGTCCACGGACCTAGGTGAGGACAGGCACCCTTGTTTTTGAGCCCAAATGTTGCATTTTCCAAGACCACTCTGGCCCGCCACGCCCCTGATCCTGGGCCCGTAAAAACCCCGAGACCCTAGCGGGCACACACACACAGCCGGCTGGAAGTCCAGAGAAGCAGAACACACCGAAAGGCACCAACAGATGCCGACAGGCTATCGACGACGCCACGATGACGTGAAATTTGGCACAGCGCGGTCGGAGTCCAGCTGCCGGGCAGCCCAATTCCAGGTGAAGACCACCTTCCCACTCCATCCTCCTTCTGGCCTCCCCATTCACCTCACTGAGAGCTACCTCCACTCAATAAAACCTTGCACCCATCCTCCAAGCCCACATGTGATCCTATTTTTCTGGTACACCAAGGCAAGAACCCAGGATACAGAAAGCCCTCTGTCCTTGTGATAAGGCAGAGGGCCTAATTAAGCTGATTAACACAAGCTGTCTGCGGATGGCTAAACTAGAAGAGCATAATGTAACACACACCCACTGGGGCTTGGGGAGCTGTAAACACTCAAACCTTAGACGCTGCAGTGGGGTCGGAGCCCACACTCCCCATGACCTGCCTGTCTGCATGCTCCCGCTAGGGGTTTGAGCTATGGGGTACCAAAGAAGTGAGCCACACCCCCATTGCATGCCCAGCGAGGGGGATAAGAGAACTTTTCCCATTTCACTGGCACCTGGGGTGACCTTCTGTCTGCCCTTTCCCTTCGAGGGTGGCAGAAGGTAATTGGGGATAGACGAAAAACGTCCGTGTGTGTGTGTGTGTGTGTGTGTGTACATATACATAAGTATTCTCTTCAACTTTAATAGGGCCAGGACTCACGGGCTACATGCAGTCAAACACTCTACTACTGAGCTCTACCCCCATCACAGGCTACATAGAGTCAAAAAAGCTAGTTGTCCCCAAATTTCAGAAGGGCCGTGGTGCTGTTTCTGAGAACATTTTATGTCCTTTGCTTGACACCTGTAAGGCTGGTTGGAAGAGGGTGGATTCAGTTGAACTCCTGAAGCCGTGTCTCAATCCCTTCCTCTTCCTTTCTGCCTAGTATTCGTCCGTTTGGGGGATAGAGAAGCCATACTGGGGATGCGACGTTGATGGTTCCTCATGGGCAGGGAGTATCACATAAGGGTCCAGGGGTGGGCTCCTTCCCTTCAGCTTCACAGTCCAGAGTGACGCCTGAAGGAGATTTTATCTAAGCTGGTCAGGAAAGATTATAAAATCCGTGGGGGTTTTTTGTATGTAATATGGGAAAATTTTTAAGTGCAAAGAAATTAAGAACTACCCTTTTTCTGACCACACAGAAACTACCATTTTAATGTAATTCCTTATAGTCTCTTGTTTTTTCTAGGTAGAGCATGTATTTTAGTTTCTTGTACTAGGTAGTTGAGTAGTCTGTTACCTCTCTGACATCACTGCGGAAATTCATGGTACGACTGGGATGCAAGTCCTCCCCACGCCTCCTCAGCCTAAGTCTGGCTTTTTCTCACTTGCTGTTGTTCATGGACTGGCCTAAACCAAGCATTGCCTGTTAGTTCCTCTGTTTTGTTAAAATACTGATAGTCTCCATAGCATTTGAAATTAGATGGGAGCTATATATCTTCCTCCCAACAACTTTGCTCTCTTGGGTAAATTTCCATGGAATTCAGTCCTAGACCAAATTCTGCCCCATGTACAAACATCTAATGAGTGAGGAAGCCACCATATGGCCATATAATTCTCCTCTTGATTGAGAAGTTCCCACCTCTGCTTTTGGGTACAGCCACCAGCATCGGGAACGAAGATCACTCCACAGCAGATACAACATGCTTCCGAGGTCAGGACCAGTTAGTGGAGTAGTCAGGTCAGGAGCAGGAGGAACAGACCCCGAAGTTTGAGTATTTTCATATTTTAGATATAGTTTTACATACAGTAACTCTGGGACACAAATCTTAAGATTAATCTCTATGAGTGTTTATATGTGTACCCACCCATGAAATTGTGATCCAAATCAAAATACAGAATGTTTCCAGTGCCCTAGAAGGTTCCTCATGACCCTGTCCAGTCAGGACCCCTGCTGCAAGTGTAACTACCATCCAGACTTCCATTGCTGTGGGTTAGTGTTGCTTGTTCTTGGACTTCACATAAATGGAATGACACAGCTTGCGCTCTTTTGTGTCTGGCTTCTTTCATTTAACATTGTGGCTCTGAGCTCCACCCTGTTTTGCATGTAGCTATAGTTTGCTTTTTGTTGTTGCTGAGTAATATTCCATCATCCAAACACACCACAGTTTGGGTATCCATTCTCCTGCTGATGGGCACTGGGTTATTTCTAGTTTAGGGCTGTTATAAATAACACTGCTGTGAACATTCTTGTACATGTCATTTGATGGACATAAGTGCTTGTATGTCCCAGGAGTGGAATTGCTAGGTCACGGGGCAGATATATGTTTAGCTTTAGTGGATTCTGCCAGTTTCCCATTTGGTGTTCAATTTATATCCCCTCCTGTATGAGTCTGATCTTGCACAGCTCCCCACCTGTATTAGTCTGATCTCGCACAGCTATAAAGAAATACCTGAGACTTGGTAATTTATAAAGAAAAGAGGTTTAATTGGCTCACGGTTCTGCAGACTGTATAGGAAGCATGGCTGGGGAGGCCTCAGGAAACATAGAATCATGGCGGAAGGGGAAGGCGAAGCAGGCACATCTTACATGGCCAAAGCAGGAGGAAGGGAGCAAAGTGGGAGGTGCTACACACTTTAAAATAACCAGATCTGAGAACTCACTATCGTGAGAACAGTAAGGGGGAAATCTGCCCCCATGATCCAGTCACCTCCCACCCGGCCCCTCCTCTAACACTGGGAATTAAAATTCAATATGAGATTTGGGTGGGGACACATATCCAAGCCGTATCAGAGTATAGTTGCTTCACATCTGTGCCAACACACAGTACTGCTGGTCCATGATGTTTGCTCCAGACCTGCTTGTTGAATGACTTCCATTAAGCTCCACTGTGCAGCCAGGCTTCTGTTATCCTTTACAGCACTTTCTGGCTTTAGAGGGAGAATTATGAACTGCCAAGGTGCTTTTCAACTGGGGAACCCTGATTGAGAGGATGGTGAGGGGGGAGAGCTCCCTGGAGTGGATTTGCTGCTGATCCTGTCCTGGACTCCAGGGCATGTATGCACCTGGCTGTGCAGCCCAGGCCTCTCTTGGCACCCACTTCTGTACTATGGTGCCACCCAGATCCCTGCATGGGCTGTTTGGGAGATAGGGTCACACTGGGCAGTCCTTTTTAGTTCAGAGTAACACTACCTTTCCCACCTCATCCTCCTCATCACTGTCATTGGGCTCTGAGGGACCCACTTTTGCTCGAGGATTGCTTTTTTACTTTCTGTTTTTGTTTTCTTGAGATAGGGTCTCACTCTGTTGCCCAGGCTGGAGTGCAGTGGCTCGATCACAGCTCACTGCAATCTCTGCCTCCTGGGGCTCAAGCGATTCTCCCCCCTCAGCCTCCCAAATAGCTGGGACCATAGGTGTGTGCACCACCATGCCCGACTAGACTAATTTTGGTATTTTTTGTAGAGATGGGGTTTCGCCATGTTGCTCAGGCTGGTCACAAACTCCTGGGCTCAAGGGATCCGCTGGCCTTGGCTTCCCAAAGTGCTGGGATTATAGGCGTGAGCCACTGTGCCCGGTCTGAGGGACCCACTTTTGAATACAGACCCCAGCCTGTGTCCTGAGGTGTTATGGTTACCGGTGGGGCAGAAGGGACCCCTGCATATTGCACCCATTTTGTCCTTGTCCACTGGCTGTTGCCCAAAATTCTACCCTTAGTGCTTTATGCTTTTACCTCTCAAGGGCATGATACTTAGGGACTTGGCAGTGACCCTGGTTAGAGTGGGCCTGTTTTCCTTTAAATGACCGGTATCCCAGTGTGAACAAAGGATATGTGAGCAGGTTTTGATAAGGCAATACAGCAAGGACACTGAGTCCTTGAGGGGAAGGTTTAAAAGGAGATGAAAAGGGCCTACTTGCTGTTGGCTGACCTTGGTGCCACAGACGCACATTTCAGAGTCATCAAGGATGAAGGCTCAGAAGACTCTGAAGCAACTTCAAAGGAATCGCTTGGATCACAGGTGGGGTGAAGGTTGGAGATAAGAAGGCAGGGCCAGGGAAAGAGACCCAAGGGAGCCTCGTTTGGAAGCAAAGCTCTGGAAACAAAAGACTGCAGAGCCAGGGTCAACCTGGGCAACTGTTTGAAGCCAGCCCCGTCCTCAGGTGCAAGAAAGAGCATTCTCTGGGTCTAAGCCTGAGTTGTGCGCGGAGGACACAGGCTTTCCTGGGCAGGACTGCAGGCTTCTGGCTCCACTCGTGCCTGTGGCACACACAGGTTTTGATAGCCAGAGCCTGGCCAGTCCTCCTCTTTCTGCTCCCTGTCCCTCCTGGGACCAGGACTTGGCCTCTCCCCTCCACCCTCCCTTCTCTTCCTCCTTCCCTTCTTTGTCTCCTTCTCCTTAAATTTTGTGATTTTTAATTTCAATTGATTTATTGCCCCTCCTTGTCCCCAGCCTCCCAGTTCTCCTCCCCAGAGGAAACCAGTTTCACCAGTTGCATGTGTAAGTTTCCAGAGACACTTTAATCTATGCACATGAGTGATGTGTGTGTCCACTTTTTCTATACAAATGGTAGCATACTTTTTATAGTGTTCTAGGCCTCATTTAAAATTTTAAAATTAAATATTGAGTAGATACAAAAATAGTAGTTATAGAATATATATACATTTTAAAGACACCCACAATACAATAGACCAGTATGGGTACCCACGCCCTGTTTTAGACAAAGAAGCTGGGCTTTTGAAACCATGTGCCTCTCTCCAGCCCCACCCTCCTCTTCCCCTAAATACTATCATGAATTTTACGCTTATCCTGCCCTTTTTGTCTTTTTATAATCCTACTACTTGTTTATAATAGATTATGATAAATATACTATATTTTTATACTAAGATAAATGTAATAAACATTATATATAACAAGACATAAATATATATAATAATTGAATATGGTATACTACCTTTTTGGGATTATGAATAGAATAGTTTTCTATGGCTGGCTTTTGTCCCACCCATAATTATAGTTCTGAAGTTCAGTGTACTGATACGCATGTCCGGAGTTAGTTCATTTTCACTCTTGTATAGAATTCCATTGCATGGAGATAGTATGATTATTTTCATTGGACTATTTTATTTATTAATAATAATTATTATTGTTTTCTAATTTAATTTTATTTTTTGAGACAGGGTCTCATTCTGTTGCCCAGGCTGGAGTGCAGTGGTGCAATCATGGCTCACTGCAGCCTCAACCTCCAGGGCTCAAGAAACGATCCTCCTACCTCAGCCTCCCAATTAGCTGGGACTACAAGCATGAGCCATCACACCTGGCTAATTTTTAAAACTTCTTTTATAGAGACAAGGTCTCACTATGTTGCCCAGGCTGGTCTTGAACTCTCAACCTCAATAATCCTCCGGCCTCAGGCTCCCAAAGGGTGGCTCATGCCTGCTGGGATTACAGGCATGAGCCACTGTGCTTGGCCTCAGTGCTGGCCTCAGTTTTGGGGTTCTAGGAACAGAGCTGGTGCAAATGTTCTTAATTGTTTCTTTTGGTGTGTGTTGGGGGGAATGGCGGGGGTTGGGTAAGAACTTCTCCAGGGCATTTGCAAGGCCATTGGGAAAGTACATTGTCAACTTCAGTAGATAATGCCAAAATTTTAAAAAGTGGTTATAACCATTCGCACACCCACTAGTAGTTTGAGCATTCCCCTCACTCCACTTCTTCACCAACACCTGCAATTATCAGCTTTTTTTTTTTTGTAGATGGATCTGTGTGAAATTGTAACTCACTGTGGTTTTAGTTTTCATTTCCCTGGTTATGCATGCTGCCTTTTTTTTACTTAAAATATGTCTTGGTGACTGTTCCGTATCAGAGCAGTGAGGACTTCCTCCTCCTTTCTTGGCTGGAAAGTGTTCCATCGTCATATGGAAATCTTGTGGTCGATTTAACCCGTTCCCTATTGATAGACGCTGTGTGGGCTCCAGCCTTTTGCAGTCGACTCTGCGATGCATAACTTCGTGTATAGATAGCAGTCTGCAGCTGCACGTGGGGGTGTGTGCATGTAGGTTTTTCACAGGAACCTCCTGAAATGCTTAGAAGAAAAGGAAAGATAGTGTTTGCTCCCCCGGCCCTGTGCCTCCCTATTTTCAACAAATTCCCTTAATTCCATGAGTGCCCCAGGGTCAGAATGGTATCCACCCTGTCCTGTTTGCACCGTACCATCTCTTCTCTCAGATGATGATGTTCATCTCCCACCCGCTTCCCTTCGAGCCACCCCCACCTCATAGACTCCTCAGGAATTGTCTCTACCCGGCATCTCTCACTTTTTCTTTCTTTTTTCTTCCTTTCTCTCTTTCTCTTTCTTCCTTCCTTCCTTTCCTTCCTTCCTTCATTTCCTTCCCTTCCTTCCTTCCCTTTCTTTCTGTTTCTCTCTCTCTCTCCCCCTCCCTTCCTCCCTTCCTTTTCTTTCCTTCTTTCTTTCTTTCCTTTTTTTTTTTTTTTTTTGATCAGGGTTCTTGCTCTGTCACCCAGGCTGGAGGGCAGTGGTGCGATCATGGCTCACTGTAGCCTCAAACTCCTGGACTCAAGCGATCCTCTTGCCTCAGCCTGCCAAATAGCTAGGACTGCAGCTGCTCGCCGCCATACCCAGCTATATTTTTTGTAGAGACAGGGTCTCGCTATGTTGCCTTGGCTGGTCTCAAACTCCTAGGCTCAAGAAATCCTCCCCCCTCAGCTTCCCAAGTCACTGCCAGACATCTTTCTTATTGACATCCCCATCTCGAGAATCCAAGTTAGTATTAACTGAGGGATTAGACTTTGCCTTGCCCTGAAAGAGAGAAAAACAAACTGACCACCACTCTAGAGACTGTTTAGTCTCAAAAGTCGGCGCAGTAACACACACACACACACACACACACACACACAACCAACCAACCAAAAAAAAAACAGGTAAAGGCAGACAAATTCCAACCCATCCCCTATGTGCTGTGCCCTGGGCAAACCCTCTGACATCCTTCAGACTCAGCTTCTTCCTCTATGAAAAGGGACAATAACACTTACCTCTTGTGGGTGTGGGGCAGATGAGGGCCAATGTTAATAAACCACTCACATTCATGCACTCACTAATCAAAGCTTTCATTGTTATCAAGGATAATTCTAATTCAAGTAAGCTATGAAGATGGCATGACAGACACAAAATCAGCCAGGGGGAGCCCACATTGGAGGGCAGTCCACAATGGAAGGCTTCTTGGAGGAGGAGATGATTGAGCTGCTTCTACTAAGGTAGGCATCGTTTAGGCAAGTGGGAAAATGTTCATGAATGCATGGTGGGGGGTGGTGCGAAGATTCTTGAAGGAGAGATCTACAAAATCAGAAGCATGGAGAGTGAGGGAGGAAAGATTTGGACATGTTTGGGAACCAGTGTGTAACTGGGGAGAGATGTGGATTGTAAAGGGTGAGGGACCTACTGCCTGAGAGGTGGCAAGAGCTCCATCTTTGACAACTCAGTGGGCAAAACAAAGTCCTGGGGTGGGCCCAGGAATTGGCCCTGCACCAGAAATTCAGATGCGCACTTGTGTTTGAGAATTGCTATTTTCATCTGAGGAAGGAGGTGCAGCCTGGGATAAAGGGATGTGGGGTTCAGTAGAGCAGGACCCTACTACCAGAGAGCCCAGCAGTTAGTCTGCAGGGGGCTTTGCTCTGGGAGGAAGCATGGGGGCTGGTATCGCATTTGACTCAAGACACTCACCTCCCCCAACTCTGCTTTGATGTGGTATCCTGCAGGCATAGGGAGTGCCATGGACTGGTGCCTGGGGAATTGCATGGGAAAGGAAAAGATGAATTGCATGTGCCCTCCAGGAAGTTTGGAAGCTGGTCTGGAGAGTGTGAAGCCAGGGCTGGCTAAACATCTACAGCAACCATTTCTAGCTAAGAGCTTTAAACTCATTAGTCTCAATCTCCCAACAGTCCAGGTGGGTTGGAGGCATTATGTAATTGTCATGCCCCTTTCCTGCACAGATTGAGCCCCAGAGAGGTTGAGTAGCTTGGGCAAGGTCACACAGCTGGGAAGCAGTGGAGCTGGAATTCACAAGTCCGTCTGATTCTAGAGCCCATGCACAGCGTTTCTTTCTCTCCCTTCCTCTTCCACCTCCTTTTTCTCCTCCTCCTCCTTCCTCTCTCTCTCTCTTAGATAATTGCATTTACATGGTCTCAAAATCAAAGGGTACAAAAGGATATACAGTGATAATCCTCTTCCTACTATTTCCCAGTTTTCCTTCCTAGAGAAAAGTAAGGGTACTAGTTTCTTGCAACTAGCTTTAGAATATTCAATTCATATATAAATGAGTATATTCCATAGATATTCTTCCCCATTTTTTAGACAAAAAAAATGGTGGCATCCTATATGTACTGTTTGGCACTGAGGGTTTTGTTTTTTTTTTTAACTTAGTATTTCTTGATAGTCTTTCCCTGTCAGTTCATAAAAAGCCTTTCCTTATTCTGCTTTATTATCTGCATACTCAACTCATCCTCTATTTGGTGGATGTAGAGGGGGCTCCCGACCTTATGCAGTTACAACCCATTCTGTGTGAGCATCCCTGACCTCAGGTGCAGAAGGCATGAGCAGCACATCTGTCAGATAACACATCTGTCAGATGACACCCTAGAAGGGGAGATGCTGAACACACTTGGTGCCATTCGTTAGCTTCTCCTCAAATCTGCTCACAGACTTAACCATAACGATACTTCTTTCTTCTATAATCTGGCTGCTCCAGCATGTTCCTCTGACAGCACTTTCTCCCACAGACTCTGTTGCCAAACTTGGGTCTGCCCACCAGGTGCAGCAAAGCCAAGCACTGACATTGGGATTTGCAGCAAGAGAAAGTGAGGCATTTACTGCAGGGTGCCAAGCAAGGAGAATCGGGCAGCTCATGCTTAAGCCCCGAACTCCAGGGTGGCTCACAGGTAAGGGTTTTTAAAGGCAGGGAGGCAGAGGTTACAGGCAAAGTCATAAATCAATACATGGAAACTGTGCATTGGTTTGACCTAAAAGGGTGGGACATCTCGAAGCGGGGCCCGCAGGTCATAGGTGGATTCAAAGATCCTCTGATTTGTGATTGGTTAAGGAGGCAAAGCTTTGTCTAAAAACCTGGGGTCAGCAGAAAGGAATGTTGAGCTCTGGCCTGTGGGTGTGACTTCCTCCAGGCCCCTCAGGAAGAAATGTTGAACAAAGAATGGTGGTCTGAGTTCAGTCCTCGGCTCCCAACTGAAGTCTCTGTGCCAGTGGATGGCATTTTCCATTTGCTGGGGGCCTGGGTTTCTGAAAAACAACTCAGGAACATATATTAAGATGTTATCTTAAGTTTCAATAGGGAACCAAGTATTTTGTGACTCTAACTTCCTTGGCTATTTTTTTTGAAAAGCTATTATTTCCTTCTTGCTTATCATGTTGTTCATTTACTCTCAGGGCTAGCTAGGTGCCTGGAACTTCCCTTGAAAGAACTCAAGATGTTCCTTTATTTCTATGCCTGGCGAGGGAGTTATGCCTGGCAGGCCCTTAAACTCTGTCTCAACTCTGGCTATCAGGATGCTGGTCCTGCCTTCCAGGCACTGCTGCAGGGAGGGGTGGGTGGCTCTGCCCCTGTGCCCAGCACACAGTAGGTGAGTACTCAGCACAGGGGAGCTGCATCCGCTCTTCTGTGGCATTGTCATTTATCTTCAAGGAGCATTTCCTCATTCAGTCCTCACAACAGCCTTGTGGGTACCTGGCAGGAACCGTCATCCCCACGTTACAGGTAGGCAAACAGGGGCTCAGGGACATCCTGATTTGGCCTTGGCCTCATTGGCTGAGGAGGAAACCCAGGCTCCCTGACTCCCCGCACAGTTTCACTCCCCGCCCCCCGCCACACTGCCTCCCAGCGGCTGCTGAAATGCAATTAGCCAGGGAGGGACCTGCTTTTCAGCTTTATACTGTCTGTTATTCCACACACAGATATACGAATGGCACAGGGCCATCTCAGCCTGTTTTTGTTTGCCAACAAACATGAGAAAGATTAGGATATCTAGCCAACATTTTGTGAGTCCTCACAACACTGCAGGCAGGTCTCTGTGCACATACACGCTCATCTACTTCTCAGAAACAGAGGGGTGAGGGCTGGTATCACCCCTGCTGCACAGATGAGGGTAATGAGTAGCAGGGAGCAGAGCCAGGGTTTAAACAGATCCCACATTTTTGGATTTTTTTTTTTGACGAGGTCTTACTCTGTCACCCAGGCTGGAGTGCAGTGGTACAATCACAGTTCACTGCACCCTCCACCTCCCAGGTTCAAATGATTCTCCCATCTCAGCCTCCCAAGTAGTTGGGATTACAGGTGCGCCCACCACCACACCCAGCTAAATTTTGTATTTTTACATGTTGCCTGGCCATGTTGCCCAGGCCGATCTTGAACTCTTGAACTCAAGTGATCCGCCCACCTTGGCCTCCCAAAGTGCTGGAATTACAGGTGTGAGCCATGGTGCCCGGCCAGATCCCGTGTCCTTAACTCCTCCTATCAATCAATTACATTAGTTATATGATACTGATAACTTGTCATTATCAGTATAATTCAAGCCTCTGCTGAAATGGTGGCATCTACTTGGTATGATTTCAGAGACAACAGGAAGGTCCTTTATGCATAAGAAACTAGACGCTTTCCCACCCAGCTTCGAGTCACTCACAATTGCACAATTCGAGCTCCGTCCTTTTGCCACGGCTTTGAGCTCTGTTGAAACAAGATCCTCCCAGGTGTTTCTCAGTCTTCTAATGCTCAGGCCTGCTTTTCATGACATAAACAGCTCTGTCCCTTTCTGTAGTTCTAATTACAAAAACAAAAGGTTCTTCCCACACGTAAAATTACATAGTACTCTTAAATATGTCTTCTTGAACGCCATCGCCCCATCCCAGACTCAGGACCAGCCTCCCCGCGCTCACTGCTGTCACTGCTTTCCGCACTCCCTGCGGATTTTAGGATTTTAGCTCCCATCTCGCGTCCTCTCTCCAGCTCCTCCTGCCCCCTGCCTGGTGGTTTCACCATCCACTTACCAGCCCGCCGATGGTGCCCTGGCCTCCCAGTTCTTTGACCTCCTCTCCCCAGTGATCTTCCAGGGCTCGGCACTCAGTTTCCTGGTCAAGCTTGAGCCCTCCAGAGAAGCCACTGTCAAACCTCTTTCCGGCTCGTGCCTTGGAGCCATCGCCCCTCAGGGCCCCACAGACTACTGACCTCACCCGCTTTCAAATCCCTACTCCCTCCTTTCCCAGCCTAAATTCCAGGGTTAGTTATTCTAGTCCCTACCTTTTCTATACCCTTCCCTCCACACTCCAAGTTGGACTGTACTTGCTTGGCAAAACCCCAACCCAGTTAGATCCAGTTCTCCGCCAACTCTGCCTGCTCTACTGTGTGTCTTACTTGCTTATTTTATTACCTCTGACTCCCTCCACCAGCATGTTGACCCCACGGGGACAGGGGCTATGTCCCTGCTGCTCTGCCCTAGCAGCCAAAGAATATCTGGTACATAGTAAGTGCATATTCATTAAAGTGTATAGTCGATGAATGAATTTTTCTAGGTGTGGAGAAAGATCTGAGAGCAGGTTTACCATAGTATCTGGGGAAAAAGCAGAGGGGGGACGTTGTGTTGTGTCCAAGGGGGCTAGAGGAGGGTCAAGGAGGAAGGCATAAGGAGGCCAAGCCCAGGGGCTCCTCCAGTTTGCCCAGAGAATGCCACCATTCTTTCCTAATTAGCTCCTTTTGGTCTGGGAGAAGCTCTTAGAAGAGTATTTCATTCTCGAGCCCTAATCACAGGATTCTGAACCCTTACTAAACTGTTGCTTCCTGCAGTCTTGGTTACTCAGGGCTCCCGAGCCAACGTTTGGATGGCTGTGATTATCTGGGATGTCTCAGGAATGACCTAACCACTTACCTCTTCCAAGTTCTGAATTTTACAACAGGAAATTGAGGCCCAGAGAACAGAAGGACACATGGGTGCTGCTGGTAGAGCCCGAACTGGAACCCAGATCTGCCTCCAGTCCCGGGCTCATCTGCCACCGTGTACCATGCCCTCTCTCTGTTGTCACATGCAGTCACTTGCCCGATTGTCCACACCCTTAAAAGAAGCAGAGAAAATGTTTGGTGTAATCCACACCGAACACTCAGATGAACAATGCTGTGGGAGGAAGGGAGGTGATTTAAAAAAATAATAATAAAATAAAAGAAAAATGCAGTGGAGAACAGATATAAGGATTCGACAAGGCTCTGGTGAACCTGCAAAACTTGCTTCCTGAGCGACAGGACAGTTCTCAGGGCCCTGCATGTAGCACCTCATCTACTCCTCCAACAGCCCTCTGAGGGAGGCTCTGTTATTATTACTTCTATTTTATTGAGACACAAGGAAATTGCGTAACCACACACATTATTAGGAAGTGACACAGCCTAAATTCAAACACTGCTTCACTCGGGCTCGTGCTTATAACCTTACCTAGGTGTCTTAAATGCCACACCAAAATAACTTCTCATTTTTTTTTTTTTTTGAGACGGAGTCTTGCTCTGTCGCCCAGGCTGGAGTGCAGTGGCACGATCTCGGCTCACTGCAAGTGCCTCCTGGATTCAAGCAATTCTCCTATCTCAGCCTCCTGAGTAGCTGGGATTACAGGCACATGCCACCATGCCCAGCTAATTTTTGTACTTTTAGCAGAGACAAGGTTTCACCATGTTGGCCAGGCTGGTCTTGAACTCTTGATCTCAGGTGATCCGCCCACGTCAGCCTCCCAAAGTGCTGAGATTACAGGTGTGAGCCACTGAACCTGGCCAACTTTTCAATTTAAGCAAACGTCCCCCCACCAAAAGATTGAGTCCTATTGAGAAGAACTTCATCTTCTGAAAAAGGGGGGGTGTGGGCAAGGTCGGCACTGCTTGTTGCACTGGATGCTGGCTGCATATCTGCCCTAGAGAGGCCCAATGGGGAAGGTGCAGAGGCCAGGGGAGAGGTAACTTGCTCTTACAGAGTCCCACTTCATGCCAGGTGTTTCTGTCCATTAGTGCTGCTTAGTTTTTGCTAGGGGCCTAGTCATGGGATCCCACAGCTAGGAGGTGGTATAACCTGCATACTTTCTCCTCCTAGAGACTTCCCAAGGCTTGTGTTACACAGGACATGAGTAAACATTACTAGTAAGGCATTTCTGGGTCATGAGCTTGGGGTTGGAAGTCATCTCGGTACATCCCAGCTGAGGCTCTGACCTTACATTCTTCCTTTTATTTCCTGAGAACTAAAAAATATTATACACACTGGAGTTTCCATTGAGATGAATAAAAGAGTTGGAACCAGCTTATCATCAGGTTTTGACTCCAAAAAAGGAAACAGCTTGTTCTAATTTGCCAAACCTTAAGTCAAATACAGTTCTATTTTTGACCGAATTGTCCACAGGATTCCAAATTTGACATTTTGTCTTTTTAAAGATGAGTGAACTGATGTGGAGTTTCTAAACAGAGGATGCCCAGTGTGGCAGAAAATAAAACAATGGCCTGGGTGTTGGGACTCGTAGGTTTTGGGCCTGGCTCTGACTTAGGGTTGTGGTGTGACTTGGAGCAGGTCACCAGCCATCTCTGGACCTCAGCTTCAGCACCACGTAAGTGAAGGATTTGTGTATGATGAGCTCTAGGCTCCCCTGAGATCTAACTAACGTTCTAGGATAGGGACATGGGCTCTGGACTCAGACCATGAGAGTTTACATCCCTGTTTCATCACTTACTAGCTGGTAAGTGAACAAGTTGGACAAGTTGCTTAACTACTCTGAGATCCAATTTCTTCATATGTAAAACAGAGATTGATATTACCTCTGTCCTAAGGTTGCAAAGATAGAAGAAGAAAATTCATATAACTTGCTTAGCACAGAGTTCCGGATGAACAGAAAACGTGGTCAATAGTGGTTAGTTATTGCAATGATGAGGGTTCTTTATATGCTACTACAAATAAAGGAAGAACCAGACCATAAAAATCTGAGCCTCCACTAATAAATATTTATTAAGCACATACTCCTCATTTGCAGTGAACGCTTTCGGTTGGCTACCCAAACCATTCCCAGCCCCTTCCTTGTCATCTCCAACCACAGAGATCGGAAATCCAGATATTCTCTTTCCTGGCCTTGTTCTGCCATGTGATCATGCTTTGGCTGTGAGATGCGAGCTACTGGGTGGCTTCTGGGAGGCCTTTTGTTCCCGGCTAAAGCAACAGTCCCAAGAGAAGAGCCCCCTGTGGTCCCTTCTGCTTCTCTCACCTTAAATATGAATACTGTATGTTATTTGGAGATGTGGCAGCAGTCCTGTGATCATGAGGCACAGTCACAGGAAGGAAAGCCCAAAAGCTGAGAATATCATGGTGTAAGGCTGGAAAGAGCCTAGGTGCTGGGTGACATTGCTGAGCAGAGAAACCAACCCCAGCAGTTATTGGGTGTTAGATTTTTTGCTCTGTGAAAATACCACCACCACCCATGCTTGTTTAAGCCAATGATAGTTGGGCATCTTATTCCTTGTAGCTGAGTTCATCCTGTCTCATACATCATTCAACAAATATTTATTGAGTGTCTACTAGTGCTAGGCACCATTCTAGGTATTAGGGTCATAAGAAGAGATAACCGTCTTTAAGGTTTTATAGTCTACTCAGGGAGACAGGCAAGTTGGTGTTTTAATGCAATAGAAATGTAAGAGGTAGGCTGGGTGTGGTGGCTCACACTCTGTTGCCAGGCTAGAGTGCAGTGGCGTGATCCTGGCTCACTGCAACCTCTGACTCCCCGGTTCAAGTGATTCTCCTGCCTCAGCCTCCCAAGTAGCTAGGATTACAGGCATACGCCACCACGTCCAGCTAATTTTTGTATTTTTAGTAGAGCCGGGGTTTCACCATGTTGGCCAGGATGGTCTCGATCTCCTGACCTCGTGATCCACCTGCCTCGGCCTCCCAAAGTGCTGGGATTACAGGTGTGAGCCACAGCGCCCGGCCTGTAAAGGCTTTCAGAACACATACTTCGTTTTGCTCACCAATGCATCTCCAGCAAGGAGAGAAGGCAAAGGGGCCGTTTCTAGTAAGGTAGGGAACCAACAGTTCTGCCTCAAATTTCCTCATCTTGGGTCTCCCCACCCCCTCACTTCATTCCTGATACTGCCACTATTCATTCACTCATTTAACTAACTATTCATTCATTGCATTAGTCAGCTTTGGCTAGATCTTTTTGTGTTTTTGGAGACAGGCTCTTTCTCTGTCATCCAGGCTGGAGTACAGTGATGCCATCATAGCTCACTGCAACCTAGAACTCCTGGGCTGCTGGGTTTGGTTTCTCTGCTTAGCAATGTCATAATAGATGCTTAATAAATATGTGTTGAGTGTGGTAACTGTTACTTCTGTTCATCCTGCACAAAGGATGATTGCTCTTCTATGCCCTTCTGAAGTTAGGTGTAGCTATGTGACTTGCTTTAACCAGTAAGATGTGAGCAGGAATGATGCATGTCAAGTTCAGGTGGAAGCATTTCAGAGCTGGCACAGATCTCTTTTTCTCTTCCCCCTGCTGCCAGTGAAGGTTCAGTTGATACCATGGCCAAATATGTAAACTTGTTATTCCAAGCTACTGGTAGTTCAAGATTGTTTGTTACCACAACATAACCAGGGAGTGGCTCACACCTGTAAATCCCAGCATCTTGGGAGGCAGAGGTGGGAGGACTGCTTGAGGCCAGGAGTTCGAAACCAACCTGGGCAACATAGTGAGAGACCCGTCTCTACAAAAAAAAATTTTTTTTTAATTAGCCAGGTGAGGTGGTGCAAGTCTGTAGTCCTAGCTACATGGGAGGCTGAGACAGGAGGATTGCTTGGGCCCAGGAATTCTAGGTTACAGTGAGCTATGATGGCACCACTGTACTTCAGCCTGGATGACAGAGCAAGACCCTGTCTCCAAAAAAACAAAAAGACCTAGCCAAAACTGACTAATGCAATGAATGAACGATTAGTTAAATCAATGAATGAATAGCGGCAGTGTCAGGAATGAAGCAAAGGGGTGGGGAGACCCCAGGTAAGGAAGTTTGAGGCAGAACTGTCAGCTCCCTATCCTAATAGAAACTGCCCCTTGCCTTCTCTCCTTCCTCCAGGCAGAGACTGCATCACTGTAGAGATGGAAAATGCCAAACAAGGGCTTTCCCAGCCTCCCCTGCAGCTCAGGCATGGACACATGACCCAGTTCCAGCTGGCAGATCCTGAGGACTTTCTGGAGGGCTTTCTAGAAAGGGTTTTTTTCTCCCCAGTAAAACTAGTCTTGTCATGTAATCCACTGCACATTGAGTTTTCTGTAACTTGCAGCCCAGAGCAGCCTAACAGAGACAGCATGGATTGCTGCAGTAACGCAGCAAGGAGATGAGGCAGCCCTGAGCGCAGACCTTCACGGAGGGGACAGAGAGGCGGGGATGGAGTAAGGAAGCCAGGAAGTGGAATCAGTAGGACTTGGTGAGCGACTGGGTTCAGGGGTTGGGCTGTGTGTGTACATGGCAAAAGGGGTCAAAAAAAAAAAAAAAAACCCAGGCACTGATGTCAGGGAGCCCAAGGGAAGACACAGGTACTTAATGAAGACACCCACTCCACAAGACAGTCTATCTGAGGACCAAAGTGTGCTGTCGGAGTTGTGAAAGGAGGGCTGAGGACTCAGGGGAAGCCTCGTGGAGAGGACAGGACATGAAGCATGGCTGAGCTTCAGATCTGAGTGGATAGAAGAGACGGTAATGTCTAGGCAGGCCCTTCCTGGTATTATCTTAGACCAAATGTTACAGCTAGCACTTCACAAAAAATCTTTGCCTTGCAATTTTCATTTTTAACTTTGTTTCAACCATTTTCATCTGTTGGACGAAAGGCAATAGAGGGCCGGGCGTGGTGGCTCACGCCTGTAATTCCAGCACTTTTGGCGGCCAAGGCTGGCGGATTGCCTGAGCTCAGGGGTTCGAAACCAGCCTGGGCAACACATGAAACCCCATCTCTACCAAAATACAAAAAATTAGCCGAGCGTGGTGGCATGCACCTGTAGTCCCAGCTACTCGGGAGGCTGAGGCAGGATAATTGCTTGAACCCGGGAGGCGGAGGTTGCAGTGAGCTGAGATTGGGCCACTGCACTCCAGCCTAGAAGACAGAGCGAGACGCTGTCTTCATAAACAAATAAATAAAGGCAATAGAGGGGAAGTCTAGTTCAATACCAAATATACTATGAATGTCAACATCATTTAAAATATGGCTACTCAACATAGCATTGGGTGGATACACTGTAGATCATTTTACTACTCCCTTACTCTGCAATGTAGCTTTACAATGCTTGAGTAGTTAAAATAATGCGGTGAGCTCTTTTGTTTAGAGGTAGGTTATTTCCTTAGAATATATTTCCACAAATGGGTTAACTAAGTCAAATATCGAAAACAGTGAGTCTCATCTAAGACACAACTGTTATAATTCTTGATAATTTTTTTTTAAAGACAGAGTCTTGCTCTGTCACAGACTAGATGCAGTGGTGTGATCATAGCTTACTGTAGCCTCAAACTGCTGGGCTGAAGTGATCCTCCTGCCTTAGCCTCCCAAGTGGCTGGGACTACAGGAATGCATCACTACACCCAACTAATTTTTTAAAAAATTTTAGTAGAGACTGGGTCTCGATATTTTGCCCAGGCTGGTCTCAAACTCCTGGCCTCAAATGATCCTCCTGCCTCGGCTTCCCAAAGTGCTGGGATTACAGATGTGAGTCACTGCTCCTGGCCAGAGTTCTCGATAAATAGCAAATTACCTTTCAGAATGGTTCTATCATTGCACATGAGAATTTTGTTCAACATTTAAAGTGCAAGACTGGCTCACCTGAACCAGGAAGAAGTTAACGTGTCTTTCGGCTGTATTCTCCCCGTGTGAGCTTAGCCCTCAGCACTGTCCTCATCTTAGATTCCTTACAGTCAGGGTATGCTGCTCCCATTCCGAGGTCATATGGTCTGACTACAGAGCTAAAGTTGTAGCTACTGTTAACTGAGCTAGAAAGCAATATGTTTTCTCACCTTTAAAAAAAACAAAATTGCAACCCTTTATTAAACAGCTAAACAACCATTAAATAGCCAAGTAAAGAATGCATCATCAATTGTTTTTACAAATAAACCTTTAAATAATGCTTAAATTTCTTAAAAACTAATTGCTTCTGTTCTTTTCTGACTAATCATGAATTCTTTTCAATCACATCCTAATCCCATCCTGGTCTTGGTTCCCTAATTGATTAGATTGGGCCATCCTAGGAAGGGTGGGTGGCTCACAACTGTAATCCCAACATTTTGGGAGACTGAGGTGGGAGGATTGCCTGAACCCAGGAGCTTGAGACTAGCCTGGGCAACATAGTGAGACCCTATCTCAACAGAAAATTTAAAATATTAGCCAGGCGTGGTGGGGTGCACCTGTAGTCCCAGCTATGCTGGAGGCTGAGGCAGAGGATCACTTGAGCCCATGAGTTCAAGGTTGCAGTGAACTATGATCACAGTACTGCATTCCAGCATAGGCGACGGAGGAAAACCCTGTCTCAAACAAACAAAAAAAAAAACAAAAAACAGAAAAAGAAAAGAATGGGCCATCTTAACTGGAGTGGAGTTTAAAAGTCCTTGCAGGCTGCTGTAGGGATGGACCTGGCTTTCTCAACCAGGAATTTGTTATTGTGGCCATTGGGTCTACTTAACTCTGAGCCTTGGATTCAGGCCCCTCTCAGGGGCTGAGACCTCTCTGGGCCATTGGTAGACAGACAGAAGTGGCTGCTTGTGTGACCTGGATTATCATTTCTCTCCTTCTGGGGCACAGGATAGCCCTGGGCATTGAGAGAGGAGCAAGATCCAAGTAGAGACTGCAAAAGGATGTTCAAAGGGAGGGCAGGGGCTTGCCTCCGAGTTTAATTGGGCATCAAATGCCTGCATCATTGAAAACAATGACCTAGTGCCCGGACAATGAATTGCAACTTCTTTCCCAACTATGCAACTGATCATAACTTAACATAATCTGTCACTTTACTTTGCTGAATCTTATTTCCTCTTCTATAAACAGAGGTTTTAAAAAAATCTAATGCCCGTAATCCCAGCACTTTGGGAGGCTGAGGCAGGTGGATCACTTGAGGTCAGGAGTTCGAGACCAGCCTGACCAACATGGTGAAATCCCTTCTCTACTAAAAAAAAATACAAAATTGGCCAGGTGCAGTAGCTCACGCCTGTAATCCCAGCACTTTGGGAGGCCGAGGTGAGTGGATCACCTGAGGTTGGGAGTTCGAGACCAGCCTGACCAACATGGAAAAACCCCGTCTCTACTAAAAATACAAAAATTAGCTGGGCATGGTGGCGCATGCCTGTAATCCCAACTACTTGGGAGGCCGAGGCAGGAGAATTGCTTGAACCCGGGAGGCAGAGGTTGCAGTGAGCCGAGATCATGCCATTGCACTCCAGCCTGGGCAACAAGAGTGAAACTCTGTTTCAAAAAACAAAACAAAACAAAACAAAAACGAAATTGGCCAGGTGTGGTGGCACATGCCTCTAATCCCAGCTACTTGGGAGGCTGAGGCAGGAGAATCACTTGAACCCAGGAGGCAGAGGTTGCAGTGAGCCAAGATTGTGCCACTGCACTCCAGCCTGAGCAACAAGAGTGAAACTCCGTCTAAAAAAAAAAAAAAATCTAACTGACAGCATTGCTGTGAAAGCCAAATGAGATGATTCTGTGAAGGTCTCTGAAATAGCAGGCTAAGAAATTATTTGTAGTAGTTTTTTCTTTAATAACAATGCCGCTAACATCTCTATTGCAGTTTATAGTTTACAGGAGTCCTTCTCAAACTCTAACATGCATCTGAAACACTGAGGGGTCTTGCTGAAATGCAGATCTTAGATTCAGTAGGTCTGGGCTTGGGCTGAGATGTTGCTGTTCACATACCACACTTTGAGTACCAAGAGTTTCCAGTAATTTGCAAACATGAAAATTTCTAACGGTAGGTTCCTAGCAGACTTCCAGTCACCAGTTGTTTGTGTGTCTCACTTGTTATATGGTCAAAATAGCCCGGGCCTTTAATATCCTACAGGTGATATAATTGAATGATGCAGATTTTTAAGGCAGAAACTAGGATCTACACAAGATTTTCCTAAGTGTGCTTGATATGTCAATAGATGTTACTTTAAAAAGATGTGGTCAGTCAGGCATGGTGGCTCACGCCTGTAATCCTAGCACTTTGAGAGGCCAAAGCAGGAGAATCCCTTGAACCCAGGAGTTTGAAACCAGCCTGGGCAACATAGGAAGAACCTGTCTTAGAAAAAAAAAAAATGTAGTCACATACATTTACTGAAACTTGGGTTAAACAAATTAAGCCAAAATCTTTACTTCAGAGTGTTATCACTTATGATGCTCTAAGAAATTATCCCCCATATATATATATTTATTTATTTATTTTCGAGATGGAGTTTTGCTCTGTCTCCAGGCTAGAGTGCATTGGTGTGATCTCGGCTCACTGCAACCTCCACCTCCTGGGTTCAAACAATTCTTCTACCTCAGCCTCCCAAGTAGCTGGGACTACAGGCACGTGCCACCATGCCTGGCTAATTTTTGTATTTTTAGTGGAGACGGGGTTTCACCATGTTAGCCAGGATGGTCTCGACCTCTTGACCTCGTGATCCACCCGCCTCAGGCTCTTAAAGTGCTGGGATTACAGGTGTGAGCCACTGCGCCTGGCCTACTCCCCACATTTCTGAGGTTTGAGAATTTTGTCTGAAATAAACAGACAGTAGACAGATTAATAGGAGAAAAAGCATACCAATTTATTAACATGCAAATGAATGGGAGTCCCACAAAGCTTGAAACTCAAAGAAGGGCAAGATGATTAAAGCTTAAATACCCTCTTCATAGGGGAGAGGAAGTGGGGGGATATAGGCAACTTTAGAAGAAGAGTAAATGATTTTTAGGGGAGATTAACGGTTCTGAAGAACAGACAATAGCCTGGGACAAATTTTGCCTGGGATCTGGGTGTGGTGTCAACTCTAGTCTTCCTTTTTGCAATATGCATCAGTTTCCTCCAGTAGGTGAAATATGTGGGGAGGGGATTCACAACAATTTAATATCTTCCAGAGAAGCTTCTGGGTGGAGAACTTCAGAGAAAACCCTTCCCTGCATTTGCTGCTCCCCAGGTACTCTCAGTTTGAAGTCCAAAACAGCATATTTTAGGGTATCATTTTCTGAGCCCCAACAACGCTTTCTTTCTCATGTTAGTAACATAAAATCCAAACAGAAATTGCTTAAATAAGGATATTTTATTTTTCTCCCAGTACAAGACATTTGGCATCAGGGAAATTCTAATTAGTCCAGCGGCTCAGAGACATGATTAAAGACCCACATTCCTTCTGTCTTCTTGCTCTGCCATAGATGGCACAGCACATAGGCCTTGTCCTCAGGATGGCTATCCTTATGACCAGAAGTTGACTGTGGCAAAATAAACATCACATCCTGATGATGGCCAAAGGCAAAAAAATGGGTTATTGCTTGTTTGTCTTTTTCTTTCAGATGTTGTATTTTTCAGTGCTAGAATTCCCACTGAGGTCTTTTTACAGTTTTTGTTTATCTGCTGAGGTTTCCCTTCTTTTCATTCATTATGAGCATATTCTCATTTACATTCTTGAAAATGGTTATAATAGCTGCTTTAAAATTCTTGTCTGTTAGTTTTTACATCTGAGTTGTCTCAAGGTTGGTCTCCATTGATTCCTTTTTCTCTTTTGTATGGGTCACATTTTCCTGCTTCTAATGTCAAGCATCTTTGAACTGTCTCCTGAATATTGCGAGTGTACAGTGTAGGAACTCTGGATTTCTTTTGTTCTTCTGAAAAGTATTACTGTTTGTGTTTATTTGTTTTAGCTAGCCGTTAAATTGGCCGAACTCTCAAACTGAAAATGCTCTTCCCTCTGATGAATAGGAGCTGAAATCTTTATTTTATTTTTATTTTTGTAGAGATGAGGTTTTGCTACATTGCCCAGGCTGGTCTAGAACTCCTGGTATCAAGCAATCCTCCCGCCTCAGCCTCCCAAACTGCCTGGATTACAGGTGTGAGCCACTGCATCTGGCTGGGAGCTGAAATCTTAGTTTAGATAATTTAGCCTTAGCCATGCAGCTTGGAGTCTGTCCTGCACATGTGGGGTTCAGAGATTTGAGCAGAGTCTATACACAGAATTTGAGGCTACTCATTTATGGCTTCTTCTCCTTTCCAGGATTTCCTTCCTCACTTTCCAGCTGTGTAGTCACCAGAGCTCTGTCCTCTGGTTTTTCACGCCAGTACAAGCGTGAGCTTTACATCCTAGTTTTAACCACCCCACACATCCCTGACTAGGGGCTTCCCTCAGCAAACAAACTACAAAAAATTTTTTAAAAAATCCATTGCTATTCCCTTCTTCCAAGTATTGTCTCCCCTCCAATATCCATGCCTTTTGATCACTCTCCAGAGTTTTCATAGTTGTTTTTTATAATTTTGTCATGTGGGAGGTTTGTGGTCCTATGGGAGGTACTCAGCCACTACTGAATGCAAAATTTTTGTTAGTGTCTTTTTAAAGAGCAAAGACATCTTTCTCAGAATTCCCCAGCAGGTTTATTCTCTATCTTATGGACCAGAATTGTTTTCATCTGCTCTTTCTTAAACTCCTTTGTTCTGGGGTCTTCTTGTCCTGAAGGGCTTGGCTGCCCTGAAGAAGGTAAACAGAATTAGGATTTGTTTAGTCAGGAAGAAAGGGACCAGAATCCAATAAAACTTGCTACACAGAACTTTTCAGTGCCTTTAATATGAAGGTTTGCATTGTCGCTCTCCAAGTGCTTATCCCAATCTCACCTGCAATATTCCTTAAATGTATTTATTTGATTTAGAAGTCCTTTATCCACAGAGATTTGTCAGGACTGGTCTGAATTTCTGGAAGCAGCAGGGTTTCAAGGCCACCCTTTGGTCACAATGCTCAGTGTGCTGCCCCACTATGGCAGTCTGGCCAGCAGGTTCTGGGTTGTATCACCATTTCCAACTCATCATTGTGTTGTGAACCACAGCAATGGTTCAGACCAAAACTTGAGGTCTGAACCAATTGCTGGAACAGACCCTCCTAGTGACCAAGGGAGTATTATCTCAGTTTTGCACAACCTGTTCCTAGAAGGTGGATTTCTCATGAAAAATCCAAAGACAAAGGGTCTTTCCTTGGAACCACAGCTAAATTTAGGGCTCAGGGCTTTGTCAGTTATATTTAAGCTAAACTAAGCTGAGGAGTTGGTGACTTTCATGGGGTTATTGCTTTGCAGGTTATCTGGGGAACTCCTCCAAAACCATCGATTATCTGCTGCAAGCAGTTAAAACTGTGTTTAAAGAAAAAAAATACTGAAAAGGTGAAGTAAATATACTAGTAAAGACTATTTTGAAAAAGAAAGATCCCCGCAATCCCACCACACAATGGTTTTCACTGTACAGTCCCTCTCCACACACCCACATTTTTATGTACTGTATCTCCTTGATTATAAAATACTATCAGTTTCAAGATCCAACATCGATTTAGTAAAAGCTTTTCAGGAGAAAAAAAAAACACTGTGAGAACCTAATAAGAATGAACATTAATACTATACAGCCATAAAAAAGAATGAAATCATCCTTTGCAGCAACATGGATGTTGCCAGAGGCCATTATCCTACACAAATTAACTCAGGAACAGAAAACCAGATACCGCATGTTCTCACTTATAAGTGGGAGCTAAACAGTGGGTACTCAAGCACATAAAGATGCAACAGTAGACACTGGGATCTACTAGGGAGGGAGGGAGGAGGGCAAGAGTTCAAAAACTATTGAGTACTATGCTTAGTACCTGGGTGACAGGATCAGTTGTACCCCAAACCTCAGCATCACAAAATGTACCCAGGTAACAAATCTGCATATGTACTACCTAAATCTAAAATAAAAGTTGAAATTTTTTTTTTAAGAAATGAAAGACCATTGAGGCCAGGCTCATACCTATAATCCCAGCACTTTGGGAGGCTGAGGAGGGAGGATCACTTGAGGCCAGGAGTTTGAGACCAGCCTGGGCAACACAGTGAGACCCCATCTCTACAAAAAATTAAAAATAAGCAGGTGTTGTGTTGTGTGCCTGTAGTCCTAGCTACTAGGAGGCTGAAGCAGGAGGATTGCTTGAGCCCAAGAGTTTAAGGCTGCAGTGAGCTATGACACATCACTGCACTCCAGCCTGGGTGACAGAGTATGACCCTGTCCCTAAAATATAAAAATAAGGATAAAAAATAAAATGGCAATTGATGGTGAGATACATCTTAATATCAGAAACCTTACAACTTGGGGGGAAAATATATGCCTTAGGATTGAGAAATATATGGAAAAAGTATATTTATTTTACTTTTACTTTGCTATGTATAAGAAAGTGTTTTAAATTATTTAAATTTTGAATCAGAAACACATTCACATGGTTCAACATTCAGAAGGTGCAAAAGTATTGTCAGGGACAGGTTTCCCTACTTTCCATCTCTTGGTCCCCTCCCCAGAGGCCACCGATGTTTTCAGTCTCTTGTGTCTCATTCAGAGGTAGTTTATCCTTATATCTGCAAGTGAAGTCTTATGTTCTTTGCCCCCTTTTTTACACAAATGGTAGCATATTATACACCCTCTTCTGAACCTCATTTTGTACTTAAAATATCATACAGATGAATCCACATCAGGTCTGTTTCGATTATTTTTATTTATTTTGTTTTTCTAAGATTACATCACAAGCATTTATCTATCTTTCCATATGATTTTTTTCTGGGGCAGGGAGGAGGGTGCGGGCTCTGTCACCCAGCCTGGAGTGCATGCAGTGGTGCCATCACAGCACACTGCAGCCTTGACCTCCCAGGCTCAAGCAATCCTCCTGCCTCAGCCTCCCAAGTAGCTGGGACCACAGGCATGCACCACCACACCCGGCTAATATTTTGTGTGTGCGTTTTGTAGAGATGAGGTTTTGCCATGTCCCCCAGGCTGGCTTTGAACGGCTGGGCTCAAGCAATCCTCCCTCCTTGGCTTCCCAAAGTGCTGGGATTTCAGGCATGAGCCACCAAGCTTGGCCACGACCATTTTCATGATCATTTTTAATGATTGTTCAGTTTTGTGAGGTGACTAGACCACAATTTAATAACAAATCCCTGTTGTTGGACACTTAGGTTGTTTCCAGTGTTTTGCTATGATAGAGAGCACTTGCAATGACCATCACTAATTCAACAGATATTTTTCTGACCACCATGAATGGCAATCCTCCTGTGTACCGAAGTGTCTTCCCCTAAGGGGCTTACAGTCAAACAGCAGGAACAGCCAGGGAAGTAAATAAGGCACAGAAGTGCTCCCATCCCCTAAAGAGCCTCTGAGGACAGTCTGGGCTCCCACATGAGGAAAAGGGAGGAGGAAAGTGTTGATGGGTTTACCTACGTATTCAGGTCAATGTAAATTAACAAGTTAGGTTACAATTCATTCATCAGGCTTGTGAGTTTGGTGAACGTGTGTTCACCTCAGACGTGGTTCCAATCTTCGTGCACTGACCATATCACAGTCTTAGGGCCCAGCTGTGCTGAACTTACAAAAGCGAGAAATAAAGAATAAAAACAGTTAACACTTGGTAAGCACTTGCCATGTGCCAGGAGAAAACCCTAGGAGGCAAGTTTGATTATTTTCCCATTTTCTAGATGAGAAAGCTAAGGCACAGAGATGTCAAATAATTTGTCAAAGGTGCAACTAACATAGCTGTGTCTTGAACTAAGACAGCTGGACTCCCTAAGTGGCCATACTGTACCGCCCTAAGAAAGGCGGCTGGACTTAACCCTGGCGGCACATCTTGTCTTTGCTCCATGGATGCTGATCTGATCCCTTTCTCTTCTTTTAACCAGGGTAAACTCAGGGTGCCTTTATTTCTTTTTTATTGGATGAACATTTTCCTAGGATGAGCACGGCTTTTTATCCTCTGGGGAGAATCGCCTGCCAGAGCCTTTGAGATTGGGATTCTCCTTCTCCACTGGGGAGGGGGTGCAGAGGTTCTTCCAACCCTGCAGCCAGGCAGTGCAAGGAGACTGAGAGCCTGGGGGTGACCCAGACCTCACACAGTTGGTCCTAGGGCTACAGAAGCCCAGGCTGATCCTCTGGCTCAGACCTGTCCCACCTTCAATCCACTTTCCCCTGTCCCCCACCTCGTCCCACCCTACCTCTGTCCCACAGACAACCCTCCCATCCTCCACTCTCCCACTCTGCCCTGAATCCCCAGACAACAGCAAGCCTAAATCTCATCAGCCAGACGGGGCTACGCAGCACGTGTAATGAAACCTCCTGCCCCATTTCTAATAATTCAATTTCTTCATAGCTATTGGAACAAAAGGCCCTCTTCACCTCAGAATATTCCAAATGCCAAAACAAATAGCAGCGCACAGAAAATGTGACCATCCACAGTAATTCTTCTTTGTTTACTGTAATGGAAGTAACAATGAAAACAACACAAGAGGCTAGCAGTGAAAAATGGGTTTCCCTCCACCCGCAAGCCCCAGTCCCTTCCTCAGAAGTAACCATCCTCAGCGGTTTTATTTCTGAAATGTTACATGCATATACATACAGAAGCTCTTCCTCTACCTTTTAGACATAAATGGTAGCATACTATATTGCCTGAATCCTTGTTTCTTTATCGTTATTTTTCCTTCTTACCAATATATCTTGGAGAACGTTCCCTATGAGCACACCCAGGTCCACAATTATTCTTTTCAGTAGCTGCAGAGAATTGCATTATGTGGCTATACCATCATTCATTTAACTAGCTTGCCATTGATATACTTTTAGGTTATTTCTGGATATTTGCTATTACAATTGATGCTGTATTTAAAAATTCTTTGCATATATTTTTGGAGGACTCCTATGAGTATTTCTGTAGGATAAATTCCTGCAAGTATTGATTTTTAAATAGATGGTGCCAAATTGCCCACCAAAATGCAGCTTTTCAAAGGAGACTGAATGAATAGCTTAGGCTTGATGGTCAAATCGTTTAAAATAACCAAGATTTTATTTTATATGGGAGAGCATCCTGATGCCTTTAAAACATAAACCATAAACACAAAAAAATATAAACTATAAAAGAAAAGAATGACACAATTTATTACATTAAAATTTAAATCTTTTGTATCACCGAAGACACCATTAAAATGTTGACTAAAAAACTGCACACCGGGAGAGGATATTTCCAATGCATTCAGCGGAGCCAATATTAGTACCAACGTCTACATGTTATTAACAAAAAGACAACACTCCCCCTGCCCTGCATTCCCAAATGGAAAAGGCTAAGAACAAGGTATTCAGAGAAAAGGAAACAGGAACAACCAATGAATGAAATGAAATGATGCCTAGCTTCACCAAAAAATAAGGAAAATATAAATTAAACAACAGTGAGATAGCATTTCATAGCCCTCAGACTGGCAAAACGTTTTAAATCTGGTAATAAGAGAAGTGACGTGATTAGGACTCTTATAAACACTCAATGGGAGTGGAAACTGGCACACCCACTCTAGAGAGCAATCGAGCAACTCCTTGCAGAGTTGCAGAAATGCCCATTGTATTAACCATGCTTTCTTATTTTGTGAATTTTTGATGTTCTGGCATTTGTGGCCTCACTGATGGGGGCAAGGCTGCCCCTCCCAGGGCTACCCCATTCTTAGAGATAGCAGAGGGCTGGGGTGGGTGGGGCAGCGGCGCCTCTCATATGTAAACTAGCCCATGCTCTGATCCACCCTCTCTATCTGGCTTTTACACTCCAAGAGGCAAAATCACCCAGAGCCAGGCACCAGTCAACTAGAGACCAACCCTATGACCCAGAGCCCGCCACCTTGATTTGAATCAGCCAGTCCTAAGCTGCTTCCCTGCCCCTAAGCTGCTTCCCCGCTTCCCTTCCCTTTCCCACGGAAAACACCGTAAAGGCTCTGGGCTGTGCTCTCCTTTCGTCCCTTCTGCCCCATGACCGAACCTGGAGCTTCCCCATGCAGTCCTGCATGGCAAGGAAATGTAAGTATGTGCAACAGAAATCTCTTCAATGACACTAGCCTCTCCATGTGGTAACTCAGTCACCTCCATCAACTGAAATCCTGTGGGTACCATTGATAAACCCACATTGTGACCTGAGAAATTCCTATGCAGGGCCAAGGAAGGATGTACACAAAAGGATTCACTGTGGCATTGCTGGTTACAGCAAAACACTAGAAACAACCCAAATGTCCATCAGGAAGAGAATGATACATGTTGTCCCATGGTCTCATAATGGGTCACCAGAAAGCAGGAAAATGGAAAAGACTGGAGCCAGGGATCATAACACCAAGTAAAAACAGCAATTTGCAAAATAAAGGCAATGTGTTTGTTTATGTGAAATTTTTAAAAAGATTTATAAAACGATAGTATATATTGTTTATGAAACATATTAATATACTGAAAGTATAAAAAACATGGAAGGGAAAGAGTCCCTTCAACCTGGAACACTCCCTCCCTGGTTCTCCTGGGAGGGGAAGTGAAAGGTGATATTGATTAGGAAACAGTTTGAGGAGGTTTCACCTTTACTTGTGACGTCTCATTGCTTTAAAACCAGGGAAATAGCTGAGCCAAATGTAGTAAAATGTTAAGATTTCTTCAGTCTGGCTGGTGGGTATATGAATGTTTGCTGCACTAGTTTGGGTACTTTATGCTAGAGCTCTTTCATTATAAGAAAAAAGATACTATTTAGACTGCATGAATAATCTCAAGGTCCTACAAAATAACAACAGCTCAGGAAGCCAGCAAGCTTCTCAACTGTGCCCATCTCAGCTGTGCCAAACTTTCTCCTCTCTCCTTACATTGTACCTTTAAAAATTCCTGACTTTTTGGAAACATTTAAACACTTCTACCCCCACCATGGATATGTCTACATGTTTGGTCAAGTATTCAAAAATTAAGTCACACACCTCAAAAGGCCAGTGCTACAGTGGAGGGCTGTTTAATTAGTTATCAGGACCAGGCATGGTGGCTCATGTCTGTAATCCGAGCATTTTGGGAAGCTGAGGGGGGCGGGTCACCTGAGGTCAGGAGTTTGTGACTAGCCTAGTCAACATGGTGAAACCCCATCTCTACTGAAAATACAAAAATTAGCTGGGCGTTTTGGCACATACCTGTAATCCCAGCTACTTGGGAGGCTGAGGCAGGAGAATGTCTTGAACCTGGGACGCGGTGGTTGCAATGAGCCGAGATAGTGCCATTGCACTCCATCCTGGGCAACAAAAGCGAAACTCTGTCTCAAAGAGAAAAAAGTTATCAGACCCCCACTGTATTTTTCAGGAGGGGTAGGGAAGAGAAAAAAAATCTACTTCTTGGCTTCTAACAAAAATAAGTTGGTAAACAATTTCTAAAAATATATACAAATTTTCAAATTAAGTTTTCAGAATTTTCATGAATCAGTTATTTTACCTACGATAACAAAGTATCTATACCTTAAAGTATTTCTTTTGTTTTTACTAAAAGCAAAGGGCATATTTCATTCATTCTTCTCAAAATAAGGGCTACATTTTACTAGAAATATTTAAGAGCTCTTGCACTGGCCATGAGGTTTTCAGCAGCAAATATCAAGGGAACAGTGACTAAAAACAAAGACATTGAGTTATCTGTCATCATAGGAAGCACACACACAAATGGTGTGGGGGTTGGTGCAGTCACACAAGAATCTCATCAAGGACCCAGGGTTTTTCTTGCTTTCTCTTATACGATTTTTGATGCCTTAGCCAGCCTTCAAATTTGCCCTTGATAATACCCACCCTCTGGTATTCACACTTTTCCTACATTTTACCAGGGCTGGTCTGTGTGACCAATAGAATATAGCTGAGATTACATCAGAGGTTAGGTTATAAAAAGGCTGCAGCTCCCATCTTGGGCTCACACACTCTCCTTCCCTCATTCTCTCTCTCACTCTCTTCATCTCTCACTGAAGAAAGTCAGCTGCCAAGAAAGTTGGCTCCCAATAGAGAGGCCCACTTGATGAGGCACTAAAGCTTTTGTCAACATTGACCAAGAACTGATACCCACTGGCAACCAGAAGGGTGAGTTTGGAAGTGGGTTCTTTAGCTCCAACGAGCCTTGAGATGACTGCACCCCTGGCTATCAGCCTGAATGCAACCTTGAGAGACAAGAGCGAGAACCACCTGCTAAGCCACTTGCAGTTTCCAGACCCTCAAAAATGGTGTGAGGTAATACATGCTTATTGTTTGAAAGTGCCATGTTTCAGGGTAAATCGTCATGAAGCAATGGGTAACCAATACACTCAGTGTGTCTGCCACGTTTCCCCTGATGGATGTAAAACAGTTGTCATAGATCCGCACACCATATGCTCCCAGGACAGTGTCTCTGTCAGGAAGAAAATGGGATGGGGCTACAGGGGTCTCCCTGTGTGCCTTTTACCTTTTATCAAGGAGGGAAATCTTTCCAAGAAGCAATCCAGCAGAGTCCCTGTTACTTCTCATTGTCCAGGGGGGTGGGGTCTGATGATCACCGTGAGCTCATGATTCACCCTTAGCTGAAACCAAGGACCAGGCCTTTCAGCTGCTTTACAGGGAGGTGGGCAAGGAGTAAGTGGGCCGCAGATGGCTGCTGGTAGCCAGCAACAGTCTCTGCCAGCCTCCCACAGGCTCCATTTGTCTGATTGTTTGCACCTGGCATCCTTCATGCTCCATATTTACTGTAAGCTGGAAGTTAGGCCTCAATTAGATTCAGGTGACATCGTTTTGGCAAGAATAATCACGGGTGATGTTGTGACCTTCCTACTCTACCGAATCAAGAAACCACCAGGTTCTTCACTAAATTAACATTTTCAGGAGGTAAGCAAAGGGTGATACCCCATCAGGTAAAAGCCAGTCTGGAGTCTATGTGCATCTTTCTCCCCAGTATCCATCCTGGGTGGCTTCACATATCTTAAACTTATGGGAAGTCCAGTTTCCTCTAGAAATTCATTTTGGGTTGTCTTGTTGGAAGTGTGTGATAAGCAATCTGTTTCTCCCACGTGATTTCCTCAGGGATGGATGAGTCAGACAAGCAGTGTTAACTTAGTTAAAAAACACCTGCAAAGATCATGAGATGACTAAAAATCAAATACAGAGATGCTGGAAAGTGATTCTTCCTCGATGTCATTCGCTTGAAGTTCTTAGGGCGTGAGTAGAGGGTCAGGAACCAGGGCGAATGAAAGGAACCTTCTCAAGAGTTTAGCACCCAGCAGAGGACAGGCTGAGGCCTGCTGCTCACCAGCCCTTGTCAGCTGTGGAGACCAGTCTGCCAGGCTCAGCCTTTGGGGTCCAGGTTAGCAGCTCCTCCACGGCCTTGCTGGGTATAGTCACGGATTTCTGGCTGGCGTGTTTGCATGGAGGAGGCTGTGCGTCATTGCTGTCTCCACGTCCACAGGGAACAGAAACATATGTGCATTCGTGGAAGTCAGCCGGGTCCAAGCAGGTGGGGACAACGGGGGCCATGTCAGGATGCACTGTCTCTGAAGGGGTGGTGGGTCCCCAGCCCCCCAGGTGCCTGAAGCCCATGTACAGCAGGTGGCCTTGCTTTCTATTTCACTGGGATGACCCGGAAAAAGAAACTTATCCATAGCTGTCCTCCCCTCAACATGACCCCACACCCTCCTCCGCCTGCTTACCCTTCTCTGCTGCCTCAGTGGCAGGGATCTCTGTCCTTGGTTCTGGTGCCATCCCTGCCCCCCCCATGGATAGTGCCCATGTCTTGCTGTCATCTCAGATGCATCTTAAAGTAAAATCATCCTCCACCCAGCTTCCCCAGGTCTGTTCCAGTTTCCCCAACTCTGCAGGAGGCAGCCCCACTCCTCCCTACCCCCAGGCTAAAAGTGAGGCCTCAGCCTTGACTCACCCTGCCCATCCAACCAGTCCCTGGCCCTGAGAGTCTTCTGCAGCAATAACTTCATTAACTTGTCTTCCTGCAGCTGCCACCCTGGCCTGGCCACCATCATCCTAGGAGAATGGGCCACCATCCTCCTTCCTCATTCTCCAGCCCCAGTCTCATCTTCCTTCCAAGGCTCTGCATCTTGAGACCTCTCCAAGCTCCTCCTCATGTCGCATGTGGATCAAGCCTTCCCCTTTGGACCCTGCCTTTCTATTCCACCTTATCTCTGGGGTCTATCTGTTCCAGAAGCCTTGACTCTTACTACCCTCTGATAACCACAGACGTGCCGTGTGCCAGGCGTCCTACAGCCATTACCTTTAGCCTTTACAGCTACTGTGCAGCATAGGAATGACAGTATTGTCCCTTTCACAGATGAGGAAAACTGAGGCCCAGAGAGATCATGCACAGGTCACACTGCCTGTAAATAGCAGAGTTGGGATCCAATGTCATGACTCAGAAGGGTTCTCATCCAAAGCCCTTCATCCTGTGAAACAGGTCCCATTACACCCCTTCCCTTCTCTGCAAGGGGCTCTTGCTGCTCCTCGACCAGTGCCTGCCTGCTCCTCCCAGCTGCCTCCAGTCCCGCAGCCCACACCTCCGCCGCACAGCTCCTCAGATGTTCCAGCCCACACTGCTCAGCCCCGCCTCCTAACTTTTCTGGCAGGAATCTCAGCCCTGCACAGTTTAGTACTTAATTATAGATTGCCTTGTACAGTTTTCTGCTTATTTCACATTTGCCTGTCTTGTTCCCAAGAAGCCTGCAAATATCTGATTTGGGGATGGAGCTTCTGTGTGCTCCTGTCCCCCAGGGCCCCGACACAGCACAGGGCTTGGCACACAAGCCCTCAGTGGAGCTGACCTCACCTCCCAGGAAGGGGGCAGGGTCTCTGCTGTCCAAAAGCTGACTGGACTCCACCCTGACACACCCGCCCCCACCCCAGCAGTATGCCTCAGATATCTGCACACACATGCACACATGCATACACACGCATGTACGCACACACACTTTATCTAATCTAAAGCTCTCTTTTCAACCTGAGGCAATGATATGCCTGGAATTACCTACCCAAGACAGAAAACTCCCTCCTAACTGAAGCCTGGCCTTGCCCTCACTGTGGAATTCCCATGCAGATAAGTGAGTCCACCAGAATGGTGCAAGCTCCCCAGAAGCGGGGAAGCCACTGATGTCACATCCTGGATTGGCACTTGGTGGAGGCCTTGGTGTCTTGATTCTGATTCTGGTCCTGTTGCTGTGTGGTCTTTGAGGGGAGCGGGAGACGCCATCTTGCCTTCTTTGTTATATCTCCATGAGGGGACATTTTGTGGGTGTGAGAACCACTCCTCCCCATCAGGACCACATGATACAGCCCCTCAGGGGGCAGAACCGCAGCCCCTGGAGCTAACCCTGGTCCTCTCACACCACCTCCCTTACCAAAACGTCTCTCTGCCCTGACCCCGACGTCCCCACAGGTGACCTCCCCAGCTGCTCCTCCTTGGGGTTAAACATTGCTATCTCAAACTTCTCATTTCTGAGCGGGAAGAAGAACACGCAACACGAAGCCTCACACACTTAGAATGATCTAGATTTCAGGTTGATTTCTTCCTGCACACTTAGAAGATAGCATGAGGGCTTGGGGCTTGTCGAGAGGGCACTGACCAAGGTCACAGGGTCAGTGAAGGGCCCAGGAGAAGAAACAGAGAGAGGTGCAGAGGCGGTGGTGGGTGGGGCCGCCAAAGTCACACTTCTCTTAAAATTTTACCCAGGGCCAATGCTAACATGTAAATAAACAAGTGAATAAACAAAGGGGTGTTTATGTAAGAAAAACAAATAAAAATGCTTGTGTAACACATCACACATACCACATAGCCTGAAGGAGCCCAGGAGGGGCATCTCTTTTGGGGGACCCGTCCAAAAGAGATGGGGTAGGCACCGTCCTCCTGGAGGGAGGCGGGCTTGGAAGCCCTTCACGGCCGCAGCAGCATGTTGGGGAGGGAGGTGTACACCGATAACCATCACGGAGGTTTTGCAACTGAATGTTGCAGCTGAGGGCTGGGCAGAGCCCGCCTCCTTGGGCATGGCCCTGTGCTGGGGAGCAGTGAATGCGCCCTGGTATACCATGGATGGGCAGAGGGCTGAGGATCCCGTGCCCGAGATGAATCTAGCCAAGAAATGAAGCCAGTGGGGGGCTCACAGGACCAAGACCCTGCTCACACACCGGGGGAGCCTTCTGCATCTCATTCTGGGGCCCCTTTCCAACCTTTGGAGTTGCCTCCTGGCGGAGCTTAACAGGCTGAGGCAGCTTCCTGAGCAGCCTGTGGTTGCTCCAGCCGGGTAGAGACAGCCACATTCCAAGCTCCGGGGTGGCAGGGAAGCTGGGTAGGGAGTTCCTACAGGGAGCGGCAGCCCAGGCTCGGGCAGGCAAGTGCTGAAGGGTGGCTCCGCCTTCCGCAGAAAGTCAGAGGCCGAGGAGATGGAAGAACAGGTGTTCAAGGGGGACCCGGACACCCCTCACTCCATCTCCTTCTCGGGCAGTGGATTCCTCTCCTTCTACCAGGCGGGGGCTGTGGACGCCCTGCGGGACCTGGCCCCCCGGATGCTGGAAACAGCCCACCGCTTTGCGGGGACATCGGCAGGTGCTGTGATCGCCGCCCTGGCCATCTGCGGGATTGAAATGGGTGAGGCCTGTGTTCTGGGTCCCCTGGGAAGTCTCTTGGGGGATTCCACAGAGACAGAAGGAGCGTGAGGGAGGCTGGGGATGCTTTGGGGGACAAAGCCAGGCCTGGGTGGCAGGAAGGGAAGGGAAGAGCTGGTTGGAGTAGGATAGCGGCAGCTGTGACGTTTGAAGGTTGGGGTCTGCCAGGCCCCAGACTCTAACATGCAGGGTGAGCCTGGACCCCTGTCCCTCTCCCTCAGTGCCCTTACCTGTGAGATGCTCTGTCTCCCAGTGCCTGGGAGAGTAAAGGACAGTATCTCCCTCGAACATCGAACATGGTGCTGTCAGAAGCTACACCACGGCACAGTCATACATTGGGGTTCAGTGTTGCTCCTGCCTGGCCTCTTTCAAAATGCAAATACCCTTGGGAGAGGCAACTCTTCAAATCTCTATCACCCTGATGGGGACGTATTGTCCACCATTTCCAGGTGGCTGGAAAGATGAACGCCCTGAGGCTGGAGGGGTAGACAGGAGGGAGCCCAGAGTGGGAGAAGAATAGGAAGGGGTGGGGAGAGAATACAGAAGCTCTCACTTCACCTTCTGTCCTGCTGGTCCAGGAGCCTCAGCGAGAAGAACTGCTACACTGCTAACCCAGAGAGAGAAACACTGTCCCGGACAGCAGATGCATCTAGCAGCCCCAAGGAACAAGCCCAACAGCCTAGTGAGCTACCTTGGAGGGGCATTTATTCATTTACAGAGCTCCTATTCTAGACAGAGCTCTGTTCCAGGCACTGAGGACAAGGTCCCCGCCCTTGTGGAGCAGAAATTCTAGAGAAAAGAAACAGATAATAAACATTCAAACAAGGCACCTTCTAGTGTGAGGTCGGGAAGTGATATGATCTATGAATAAAATTAAAGCAGGAAAGGGACTGAGAATGAAATGGAGACTATTTCAGGAAGGTGGTCAGGGAAGCCTTTCTGAGGAGGTGACATTCAAGCCTAGAGCTGGGTATAGTGATAGAACAAGCTACTGGGAGCTCCTGAAAAGGAGAATTCCTGGTGGAGGAGCAGCCACGAAGCCTGCGGTGTGGAAAAGGTGGTGGGAGGTCAACAGGGGCCAGGTCATGTGGCCTTAGCCACAAGCTCTCATCTCACCTAAGGGAGGGGGAGCACAGACGGCTGTGACAGCAAGTGGGGAGGGGGCAGAGGGCGTGAGCTCCTCAGGTGGGATCCCAGCTCTGCCATTTCATGATGCATGCCTGAAGTAAGTTATTGAACGTTCTGCGCCTCTGTTTCTCCGTCCACAAATGGGAGCTCCTAATAGCGCCTAGTTCCCGGCATTGTTACAGCAGCGGTCTCCAGTTGACACCAGCGACTGGTTTTGTGGAAGACAATTTTTCCACACACCAGGGTTGGTGGGGGATGGTTTCAGAATGATTCAAGCGCATTACATTTGTTGTGCACTTTACTTCTATTATCATTATGTTTTAATATATAATGAAATAATTATACAACTCACCATAAGGTAGAATCAGAGCCCTGAGCTTGTTTTCCTGCAAGTAGGCAGTCCCATCTGAGGGTGATGGGAGACAGTGACAGATCATTAGGCATTAGATTCTCATAAGGAGTGCACAACCTAGATCCCTCCCATGCACAGTTCACAATAAGGTTCACGCTCCTATAAGAATCTAGTGCTGCCACTGATCTGACAGGACGCGGAGCTCAGGCGGTAATGTGAGTGATGGGGAGCCGCTGTAAATACAGAAGAAGCTTCACCTGCTGCTTACCTCCTGCTGTGCGGCCTGGTTCCTAACAGGCCACAGACCCGGGGCCATGGCCTGGGGGTTGGGAACCCCTGGTTATAGGATTGGCTGAGCTAATATGAATACCTGCTTAGAACAATACCTGACATATGGCAAGTGTTGAGAATGTGGCAACCATCTGATTAGGCTTCTTAAGATCTCTGAACGATGGGCAGAGTGTGTTTGAGGGAGCAAGGTGGAAACTAGATAAGGGAAGAGATTGGATTCAGGACGTGCTTTGAAAGTAGAGCCAGTGAGACTTTCTGAAGGGCCGGCTGGGCTGTGTGAGGGAGAGGCTGCAGATAATAGCCCCCTCCCAGCCCAAGCAGGGTGCCTTCCTGGCTGGGGACCTCTATGCTGGGTGGAAAGTCTTTATTTTAAAGAATAATAGTAATGCCCATTCACTGAGTACCTCTAATGTATAATATAATTTTTTCTTTTTAATGTCTCACAAGTAATAAACACATTTTTCTCACTGGACAAAATTCAAACAGTGCGAAAGTGTATAGAGTAAAAGTAGAAAATAGAGGCCAGTTGCAGTGGCTCATGCCTGTAATCCCAGCACTTTGGAAGGCTGAGACAGGTGGATCAGGGGTTCAAGACCAGCCTGGCCAAATGGCGAAACCCCTTCTCTACTAAAAAAATACAAAAATTAGCCAGGCGTGGTGGTGCACACCTGTAGTCCCAGCTACTCGGGAGGCTGAGGTGGGAGATTGCTTGAACTCCAGAGGCAGAGGTTGCAGTGAGATCGCGCTACTACACTCCAGCCTGGGTAACAAAGCCAGACTCTGTCTCAAATAAATAAATAATAAATAAATAAATAAATAAATAAATAAATAAAGAGTAGAAAGAAAGCCTCCATTTGCCCGGCTGCCCCTAATCCCCCACTCCCTCCTCTAGCCAGTGTTAAGGGCTAGGCATGGATCTTTCCAGATCTTTTTAATGCACAGTCTTCCTTGAATGCAGCCATTAATGGCTCTTCCCCACTGAACTCCAGGCCTTCAGAATGGGGGTAGGGTGACAGCCCCCACTCTGTCCTGGAGTCACCGAATTCCTGCCTTGGAAACACCTGGTGCAGGGATTCTCTCTCCTTTTCCGGGCGCCTGCGTTGCTCATCTGCTCCATTACCCTCACTCTTCTGTCTTTATGTCATCTTAAAATACAGCATCTGGGTGCAGTGGCTCATGCCTGTGATCCCAGCACTTTGAGAGGCCAAGGCAGGAAGATTGTGTGTGGGTCCAGGAGTTCAAGACAAGCCTGGATAGTACAGGAAGACCCCATCGCAAAAAAAAAAAAAAAAAAAAAAAAGATGAAGAAAGAAAGAAAAGATTTTTCAGACCTAATTTAACTCATTCAGTTTGATGAATACTGCTGCAAACCTACTTGGCCGGGCTGTGACGGTCATGGACGGCAGTGGTAGGAACTAAAACCTGTAAAAAGGACATCAAGCAGTGGGGTGTAATCAAGGACTAGACTGTGGGCTGCTCGTAATTATCGCAGAAGTCCAGGGAAGGGTGAGGGAGGTATGTGTGGGACTCACGCTGTCCGCTCAGCAGCATGTTTATGAGACTTGTCAATGTCACTCCAGTCTAGTTCATTCACTCATTTTAACTGCCATACAATTTACTCTTAACTAGCACTTCCTTTTATATCAGGCACCGTTCTACCTCTGGCATATTAACTTGTTCAGTCCTCACAACAGCCCTCCCAGGTGAAAACTGTTATTATCCCCATTTTACAGAGGAGGAAAATGAGTCACAGAAAATTTAAATAACTTGCCTATAGTCACACAGATAGCACTTGGTAAAGCTAGAATTCGAACTCAGTCTGGCCAAAGTCTACATTCTTATCCTTTAAATTGCCCTGCTTAACAATGCGATGTTAAGGGGTGAGGAGGCAGGGTCGGGGAGTCTCTCTGAACAGGTGGAATTTCCACACAGACCTGACGTGGGTAAGGGAATGAGCCCAAGAATATCTTGGGAAGAACATTCTACGCAGAAGCAAAAGTCTCATCGTTAGTTAGAAGCCGAAAAGGAACCAGGGCTAGATCTTTTTAGTTAGTCATTTTATTGATGGATCTGACCAGTTTCCTTGTCGTTACAACCATCCTTGTTTGTGTCTCCCATGCTCACATGACATGTATATCATTCTAGGGTATTTGTGTCATTAACTTTGTTAATGACTTTGATAAGTTACTCTCCAAAGCAGTTGTACCAATTTAATCACAAGCAGCAGATATGAGTTCTAATTTCCCCACAATGTCACACTTGAAAATCTTATGCCAACCGAATAAATGTGAAATTGTGTCTCATCTACTGTATTTAATCTACCTATCCTGACTGCTAGTGATGTTCAGCATCCCCATGTACTTATTGACCACTAGACGTTTCCTCTTCTGTACTGTGCCTGCTCACCACCTTTCCCTGTTTTTTCCTACTGAGTTATCTTTTTCCTTTAATGTGTAGGTGTTCTTTATATATTCTGTACACTTATCTTTCACCAGTTATGCACAATGCACCTCTCTTTTCCCACTCTATTTCTTGTATTTTTATTTTGCTTCGATGTCTTTTGTTATTCAGATTTTAATTTTAATGCTGTCAAATGTATCCATCTTTTCATCTTACAACTTGGGTTTTGTTTTGTTTTGTTTTTGAGACTAGGTCTCATCCTGTCACCCACATCGGAGTGCAGTGGCACATTCATGGCTCACTGCAGCCTCGAACTCCTAGGCTCAAGTGATCCTCCTGCATCAGCCTCCTGAGTAGCTGGGACCACAGGTGCATGCCACCACGCCCGGCTAATTTTAAAAATTTTTTTGTAGAGTCAGGGTCTCACTATGTTCCCCAGGCTGGTCTTGAACTCCTGGGTTCAAGCAATCCTCCTTCCTCAGCCTCCCAAAATGCAAGAGTTACAGGCCTAAACCAGTGCGCCTGGCCATCCTCTTATAATTTGTGTTTTAAAATATCTTTATTACAATGATTTCTTCTACATTGTCTTTCAAAAGTTTTAAAATTTTCATATTTAGATTAATTCCTCAGGAATTTATTTTGTTGATGGTTGAGGTAGAGATCTAATTTTTAAATTGTTTTGCCATGTGATAGCCAATTAGAGGCTATCTCCACACTTACTTGAAATGCTGCTTCTGGAATATTCAAGTGTCTCTTCTATTCTGTTGGCTAATTTGTCTATTTCTGTTTTAATCATTATAGTCTTATAATAAAGGGTTCATCACATATGACAAGCAATCTCCTCCTCTTCTTCCTCCTTTTTTCTTCTTCAAATATTGCCTCCATTATGTTTGGCCCTTTCTTTGCCCCATGTGAAAAGCTCTGCTGGGCTTTCGACTGAAATTGCATCTTTCCATTTGTAAATATAGTTGATCTTTCTATTCTGGTCTTTTTGTGTCCTTCAGTAAAGATTTTGTGTGTTTTATTAGATTTACTTTTCCCTTGTAGTTTTATTTTTTATTGCTACGGGAAATGGGACCTTTTTTACCTATGGCATTTTCTTTCTTTCTTTCTTTCTTTCTTTTGAGACAGAGTCTCGCTCTGTTGCCCAGGCTGACATGCAGTGGTGTGATCTCGGCTTACTGCAACCTCCGCCTCCTGGGTTCAAGAGATTCTCCTGCCTCAGCCTCCCGAGTAGCTGGGCTTACAGGCACCCACCACCACGCCCAGCTAATTTTTGTATTTTTAGTAGAGACAGGGTTTCACCACGTTGGTCAGGCTGGTCTCGAACTCCTCACCTTAAGCAATCCACCCACCTCGGCCTCCCAAAGTGCTGGGATTACAGGCGTGAGCCACCGCACCCAGCTAGCATTTTCTGAGGCTCTTCTCAAGGCCACTTCCCCACTTTTGTAGCCAGTTTGGGGCTTTTCTATCCTGAGATCCTGTGTTTTTTTCCTGTGAAAGCTGAGGTGGCAGAGGTGCAACTTCTGGCGTGTATGCCCAGTTCTGTGACTAGGCCAGTTCAAGGCACATGAAAATGTTGTAAAAGCACTTAACATAGTGCCTGGTTTTTACTAGAGATGTGGTAACCTTCATTAATCCATTCATTCACCTAGGAGGGGTGGTCTCCGTGATTGCCACTGGGGGATCCAGAATTTCCAATCTTGTCAGAAGTGGGGTTGGAAACGTGCCTCAAAGCTGCATTTGCATAATTTTGAAAAACAAAATGTTTCTTATGGAAGAATAGTGATTTGGCAGACTTAAAACCCTACTCCCACTTAAGCTACTTCTTGGCACCTTTCTCCCCATAAAAAACTGGCAAGCCAATCTGTCCGTCCCTTCGTTCCTTTCTTCGTTCGTTCGTTCCTTCCTTCCTTCCTTCCTTCCTTCCTTCCTTGCTTCCTTCCGTGTTAGTTGAGCACATACTAGGCCCTGCAGAGGATGCGAAGATACAACACAAAATGAAACTCTGATCTTGCTGCAAGGAGCTTACAGTCCACTCAAACTTAAAGGCACCTACCAAACAGTTATAATACAAGAAAGTTCCTATTGAATGTTAGAGAATTATAAGGCATAGGAGTGCAGAGGGATGGAGAAAACACTTCCAAACATGGAAGGCCTCATAGAAGCGGCATTTGAGCTTGTCCATGCTTGAAATGTGAGAAGTTGGACAGGTAGAGACAGGTTGGGCAGGAACCAAGGCTTCCAGCAAGGACATAGCATGACAACACGACAAAGCCACACAGTGGGGAAACATGATGCCTCCAGAGCATGGTAAACAGTGCAAGTCAACTGACGTCAGGAGTTGAAAGGCGTTGCCTTTCCTGTGGTCCAAGAGCCCCCTGCCATATCTGCACTCCAGCTAGTCGGAAAGGGAAAAGGGAAGGGCACAGTCCTTTAGAGCAGGACTTGGAGGTAACACATGTCCTGTCAGCTACATCCCATGGATTGGAATTTAGTCACATGGTCACACCTGACTGCAAGAGAACCCAGGAAATGTAGACTTTATTTTTGGGAGGCCATGTGGCCAGCTAAAAATTGGAGGTTCGATTACAAAGGAAGAAGGGGAGAATGGGTATTGGGGACAACCAGTAGTCTCTGTTGCAACAACCATAATCAATGGCATGAGGATCCTGGAGAAACTCTGCCCCTGCCTGAGACCAAAACCATGACTTCCTAATCACAAAGTTGGCCAGATGCAGTGGCTCGTGCCTGTGAGCCCAGAATTATGGGACGCTGAGGCGGGAGAATTGCTTAAGGCCAAGAGTTTGAGGCCAGACTGGGCAACAAAGTGAGACCCTGTTTCTACAAAAAATAAAATAATTAGCCAGGTGTGGTGACCTGTCCCTATAGTCCCAGCTACTCAGGAGGCTGGGGTGGGAGGATCACTTGAGCCCAGGAGTTTGAGGCTGCAGTGAACTATGATTCTGCCATTGCACTCCAGCCTGGGTGACAGACAGAGACCATGTCTCTAAAAACAAACAAACAATCACAAAGCCAAGTCCAGTTTGTTGTCTGGGAAAGGGCTCAGCTCTGGCCCACCAGCAGCTGCCCCTGTGGCAGTGGGAGCATGAGTGCCTCAGTCTTGCAGCAGGGGGCCTGGGCAATGCACCATGGCACCTACTGTGTCTCCTGCCTAGAATGACCCTCTGCCCCCCTTTCAGAGAGAAAACCTCCTCTCCAGACACCATCCCATTTTACCCCACTCCATCTCTCTTTTCCATGATGTCTAGTTTGCCCATAAAATCTGCCCACATATTCTAGCATTTGATGTTGTACGGTCTTAACTGTTTCAGATACAGTGTCTCATTTCATCAACTAGATTGGTTGAGCAATCTGAGATCTTGTGGGTCCTATGGCTCCCACAAACTGCTCATAAAACAAGAACTCCTTGATAAACTCCTGGTGTTTGCTGGCTATTGGCCAGTGTGATACTGAATGTGTCTTTGCTATCTGTATTTTATAGTTTCCCTGGCTCTTGGATAATTTTCTGTAGTTATGGATATGAGATATAACGCTAGAATGTTACAGTGTCAAGGTCAGTAAGTCCAGCTCCCTCATTTTGCAGATAATTGTATTTAGACCCTGGGAGAGAAAGTGACTAGTTGGAGGCAGACCTCACTTAAGCCAATAGTTTCCAAACTGTGTTCCAGGGATCCTTAGGGTTCTGCAGATGGGGAGGAAAAGCAGGGGACAGACACGTCTGAAGCCCCGGCTGCACTAGTACAGCCCCGCTGTTGTCCATCTTATACATGGGGGATCTTGCTAAAATTATATGTAAAGAAAATCTTTCAGTAATTTCTTTTAAAGTTTGAGAATCACTGTTTGAGCCCAGTTCCCTCAAGATGCAGACAAGGAGTTTGAGGATCAGATTTTGGCTGAATTACGGTGATGAAATAGAACATTCATTCGCTCATTCATTCTAGGTCCTGGGGATCTGGCAGTGAGCAAAGCAGTGGATGTCCACACTCATGAAGCTGATATTCTCTTGGTGAAATTAAACCATAGAAAATTAAGCATATAAAAAAGGTCAGCATGCGTGCTCAAAGGAGAAGATAAAGCAGGGGAAGGATGGGAGAATGACACAAGGGGCACAGTGTTGGGTGGGCTGGCCAGAAGGCCCCTCTGAGGTGGATGAAGCTAGGGAGAGAGCCACGTGCACTGAGGGAAGAGAGTTCCAGGCTGACAGGTCTGCAGGTGTAGTTGCCCCCCGGTGAAAACATGCTTGTGTTCTCAGAAAGGGAGATGGCTTGTCCCTCTGGACGGGAAACAGGCTTCAAAGGGATCTTGCAAAACACATGAGAGGTCCAGAGGAGCCATGTGTTTTGCCCCCTGCCCCGCAAATGTGTGCACAACAGGACCCAGCACAACTTCTCCCATGGAGACAGAGCACTGGAGAAGTGTTTTGGTTGGCCTCCCACACTAGGGCCAGTGCTACCTTTGGCAGCTCCTGCCCACCCAGTAACTGAAATTCTCCTGGGGCCCTGGAGCTGAGGCTGGCTGGTTATTGTCATTGATAGGTGGCTCAAGGTGTATTCTGGTCCACTGGGGCTGGCACTGGGGAGTCAAGCCTTCCTCTTTGAGAACCTCGCTTTAGTAACTCCTTTCCTTTGTCACTCATGCACCTATCTTTGTTACTCAGTTGAGGAATGAGACATAGCCAGGATTAGTGGAGAATAGAGTTCCCAGGAAGGAGGAGGGCTAGGGCTGAACTTCCAACTCTGCCCCCAAGTTCTGTAGGTTCTTGGCTGGCCAGGGACCCATCTCGCCCTTGGTTTTGCCATCTGTAACTTGGGTGATTGGAAACACATCCCTTGGACATTATGGTGAAAGACAAAAGAAGTCATGGATGCATTCCTGGCCCAGTGCTTGGCAAATATTAGTCACAAAATAAGTCTTTGAAGAATGAATGTTGAATGAATGGATGAATACGTGAAAAGAAAATTACCTTGAAATAGAAAAGCATAGATAAAGCAGCACTTTCCAAAGTCAAGAATGTCCCAGAGAACAAATTAAACTTTATTAAAACAAACAGGCTGGGCGTGGTGGCTCACGCCTGTAATCCCAGCACTTTGGGAGGCCGAGGCAGGCAGATCACGAGGTTAGGAGATCAAGACCATCCTGGCCAACACGGTGAAACCCTGTCTCTACTAAAAATACAAAAATTAGCTGGGCGTGGTGGTGCGTGCCTGTAGTCGTAGCTACTCGGGAGGCTGAAGCAGGAGAATTGTGTGAACCCGGGAGGCGGCGGTTGCAGTAAACCAATATTGCACCACTGCACTCCAGCCTGGCAACACAGCAAGACTCCGTCTCAAAAAACAAAAACAAAAACATAGATGACTGGAATCCAGCCTGGCCTGAGCAATGTTTTTCATGGTAATTGTGAGCTCATCTGCACAAGGACTTGGTTTTTTTGCAGGAATTCTGTGTGGCCCCGGCAGTGGAAGGACCCATCTCAGCTAGTTTGCATTGGCTCCGGCCAAACACCCTAGGATTATTGCTGACTTGGGACCAATTTTCATGTTAATTACTCTGTAGGTTGTATCAATTCAAGCTCTAAACCATATGCAATACAGATTTGGGTCTTTCATTTTTTATGGGAGGCTGTGTTTTTTCACCCAGATCCCTGGGCAGACACAAGCCACTGGCACCTTGTAATAGCCCAGCAGCCTTTGGAGGGTCCTAGCTTTAAGCAGAGGTCTCATTTCACCCAGCCCAAGAACGTAGTCCCTGTCCCTGCCAGTTTCTTGTCTGATAACAGTCCCCACAGTTACCACATCATCAGCTTTCCTTCTCATGCCACTGGCTTTCAGTTCCCTCTTCATTTCTTCCTTTCTTGTGAGTTCAACCATGTCTTGTAACTGTTTTATATTGTATTTAATATTGGGCTTTTCGTTGTTATTGTTGTTGTTGTTTGAGGCAGGGTCTTTCTCTGTCACCTAGGCTGGAGTGCAGAGGCGCCATCATAGCTCACTGTAACCTTGAATTCCTGGGCTCAAGTGATCCTCCTGCTTCAGCCTCCTGAGTAGTTGGGACTATAAGCACGTGCCACCATGTCTGGCTAATTTTTAAAATTTTTTTTGTAAAGACGGGGTCTCACTATGTTACCCACATTAGTCTCGAACTCCTGGCCTCAATCAATCCGCCTGCCTCCGGCTCCCACATTGCTGGGATTGCAGGCATGAGCCATGGCACCTGATCTCTTGTTTCTGAAGCTGGAAAGGTTCCTCTTTAGCTCAGCCCACCATACTACTGGAGCTGGAAGTCTCTCCAGTGTTCCTTAATACATGAATGAGAACCTCCATTTTTTCCTGTTGCAGGTGTGTGGGTGAGTGTGAGTGGGTGTGTACGTGTATATGTTGCCCAGATGTAACTTGGATTTCAGTCCTGGCTGCTGGGTACACTTTCAGAATCAAAATGTCTTCATTAAAAATCACTCCCAAAATTAGTTATCTGAGATGGAAGTGTTTTCTGTAAAAAGGTATTCTGCTCAAATTCCCATCCTAGTGTCTTTTGAATAACAGCTATTTACCAAGCACTTAGAATGTGCCAGGTCCCGTGCTAAGTGCTTCATATGCATCATTTACTCTAATCCCCTCACAACCCTATGAAGCAGACACTATATTTATACTCACTTTACAAATGAGGAAACAGGGATTTAGAGAGATTAGATAATTTTCCCAGGTTTATACAACAGAGCCAAGACTGGGATTTCTCTAAATGTCTACATTCTACATCCTCTCTAATCATGATTTCAGAAATTGCTTTGCAAGCAACATGACAGCTTTCTTGTTACACTCCATGTGTCAAGCAATTATTTATACATTGGTTAAGAAAGTGAGATCTGGCCGGGTGCAGTGGCTCACACCTGTAGTCCCAGCACTTTGGGAGGCCAAGGCAAGTGGATCACCTGAGGTCAGGAGTTTGAGACTAGCCTGGCCAACATGGTGAAACCTTGTCTCTACTAAAAATACAAAAAATTAGCCGGGCATGGTGGTAGGCATCTGTAATCCCAGCTACTCGGGGGGCTGAAGCAGGAGAATCACTTGAACCCAGGAGATGGGGAGGTTGCAGTGAGCCGAGATCGCACCATTGCCCTCCAGCCTGGGCAATAAAAGTGAAACTCTGTGAAAGAGAGAAAGAAAGAAAGAAGGAAAGAAAGAAAGAAAGAAAGAAAGAAAGAAAGAAAGAAAGAAAGAAGGAAGGAAGGAAGGAAGGAAGGAAGGAAGGAAGGAAGGAAGGAAGGAAAGAGAGACAGAGAGAGAGAGAAAGAAAGAAAGAGACAGAGAGAAAGAAAGAAAGAAGGAAGGAAGGAAGGAAGGGAAGGAAGGAAGGAAGGAAGGAAAGAAAGAAAGAAGGAAAGAAAGAAAGAAAGAAAGAAAGATCAAATGGCATGACAAATACAAAAGGACTTTTTATACAATATTATGGAAATGGTGTCATTGTGCGATAGTTGTTGTAGCTCCCACTACCATGTTGGAACCAGTATCTTCCATCTCACTCAAATGAACTTATGCTTTACATGTTTAAACGTCTCTATCCAAATGGATAAAGATTCATTTTCCCCAAACAATCCCTTGGACTTTTTAGTAGAAGAGCATTGAATGGAAGATCTGGTAAAGCTTTGAATGTGTTGGTTACACAGTAGAAACATCTATTTGGAAAGCAACTCATGTAGGTGACATATGTTAATCCATCCACCTGGTATCAGCAGGTGCTAACTGAGCCCCTGTGAGTGCCAGGCACTGTATCCCTAACAACCTTGCTTGATCTGTGTGTATGTGTGTGTTTTTAATTTAATTTAACTTTTTTGAGACAGAGTCTTGCTCTGTCACCCAGGCTGGAGTGCAGTGACAAGATCTCAGCTCACTGCAACCTCCACCTCCTGGGTTAAAGCAATTCTCCTGCCTCAGCCTCCCAAGTAGCTGGATTACAGGTGCATCCCACCACGTCCAGCTAATTTTTGTATTTTTAGTAGAGATGGGGTTTCACCATCTTGGCCAGGCTGGTCTTGAACCCCTGACCTCGTGATCTGCCCACCTTGGCCTCCCAAAGTGCTGGGATTACAGGCATGAGCCACCGCACCTGACCTGATCTGTGTTTTTTTAAAAATTTAATAATAAACTTTTTATTTTGGAATAATGTCAGCTTCACAGAAACTTTGCTAAAATAGTACAGAGCTCTGCGTATCCTTCACCCAGTCTCCCCTAATGTTAACATCTTACATAACCATGGTCCATTTGCCAACACTAAGACATCAATATTGGTACATTCCTATTAACTATACTGCAGACTTATTAGAATCTCACCAATTTTTCTACTAATGTCTCTTTTCTGTCCCAGAATCCAATCCAGGATTCCACACTGCATTTGGAGGATCCATTTTTAAACCAACTCACTTAGACAGTATTAAAATAGCATTGTTTTCTTTGCTTCACTTTGGGCTCAAATTCAAGAAAGACAGTTGAGCTCTTTTTCCAATTCTAGGGGGAAGACAGCCAAACAAATGGTAAATAAACCTCCAGACTTTTTTTGGTTCCCCTGAGTTAGGAGTTCACCCATGAATCCTGTGGGTAACCCAACTCTGTCCTTACGAAATCACCACGTAAGGAAGAATCTCCTCAGCTGGGCATGGTGGTGCACCTGTAGCCCCAGCTACTCAGGAGGCTGAGGCAGGAGAATCACTTAAGCCCGGGAGTTCAAGTCCAGCCTGGGCAATGTAGTGAGACCCTATCTCTAAAAAAATTAAGAAAGAAAAAACAAAAAAAGAAAGAATCTCCTCCTATGCCCTAGCTCAGAGTCTAGTATGCATCCATGTGGGAACACAAGTTAGAAGCAGGATTGACAGAGCACACTGCCTGTGGTTTGCCTCATCAGACCTCAAGTCCAGCTGAGTCTTAAGACTAGGGGGTGACTTAGTTCACAGCTGTTGCATCATCCCAGTGTCCCCTTGGTAGTGCATGGAGAATCTGTACGGCAGGATAGGCCACAGCCTAGATGAGAGGCAGAATTAATTTCCACCTTGGAGCAGGGCCCCAAAAGGACTTCTGGGTCCACCAAAGAAAACAGAGAGAAAAGAGCAGGGGCAATGGCCCTGAATACATGATCATTTCCAGGGAACTTTCTAGATGCATTCCCTCTCTGCCTGTTTCACCTCAGGGTGATCAGTAAGAACCTGCAGTGGGATGTTGGAGGTTGTGCCTGGATTCTGGGGGGAAAAGCTCATAGTAGGGTGAGGGCTGAGGCCCCAGGCCCTCTACCTGAGGGCAAGCAAAGAGTCCTGTGGACACCTTGCTAGGAGCACAGGTGATGAATCAGCAGAAGACACTTCTGTTTCCATGACAATCGGATATAAGCCAGTCTGAACTTTTAAATCCAATTATTTAGTAAACTCTTAGGGTTAGAAGAAGGTCTATGTGGAGGATTGTTATTATCCATTAAAGATGTTGTTTTGTTTGGTTTGGTTTGAAGTGCTGAATAGGTCAGAGTTGTTTTGCTGTTGGTGAAACCCTGTAATGCATTTAGGGCAGAGCAGCAAAATGTGAGTTTTCACATACATTCTAGTTCTATTTCTGCAAACAAAAACTGTGTGACCTAGGTCCTAGGGTATGTCCTTCCTTTATCCATCCATCCATCCAACCAACCATCCAACCATCCATCCACTCATCCATCCATCCATCCATCCATCCATCCATCCATCCATCCATCCATCCGGCTGACATTTACTGAGGCTCATCTTTTTCCTGGGCAAGATTTCTTACCTGTAAAATGTGAGAATTCATTGGGACTTGTATTTCTGACCTAGGATCCCAGAATCTTAGGAGTCTCAGGGCAGTGTTTTGGGGGCTACCTTCCTAAGGTGGGTGGGGCGATGGGACAGTCTCAGAACAGCCTCAACCCAGAACAGCCACATTTTTAGCTGTTTTATATATTGGGTTTCTACTTAAGATTTCTTTCGAACAAAGCCTCCCTTACTGAAAACTCACTGCCCCAGAGGGTCTCTGTAAACCTTCTAGTAGTGACACTGTAGCTTCAAGCCAAATTGTTTTTCAATCAATACCCCTGCAGTGTAGGGCATAGAAATAAAATGGTAAATAAACCAGGGTCACTGCTCCTCGGAGGCTGGCTGTCACTGTGAGGATAAACTGAGATAATAGGTGGGAAAGCCTGTTTAGGGAAACGATTGTTGTTAAGATGATAACAATTATTATTACGTTGGGGTAGGGTATTCAAGATATACCCACAGGAAAATGCAGATTACAATTCAGTCTGCAATTAGGGACCAGATAGCAGCCAACTCTCAGGTGATCCATGCAGGGATTCTGAGCATTCGTCGGCGCCTCCCCAGGGGCTGCTGCGCCCCCTGCTTCCCGCGCGCCCACCACGCACGCTGCTCTGGGAGCAGGGCCGGCGGCGCCGCCGCCTCGCAGCGATTGGTTGAACCGGAGGTTGTTGCTAGGCTACCAGTGCGCCCTGAGCCTGGGGCCCCGCAGTCCCATCCTCTGTGGCAGATCCATCCCTCACTGCAGACCTAATTCCGGTACCCTGTGAACGGCATCCTCAGCAGCTTAAATTATCAGCCCCAACTGCCCGCCTTTCTATGATTTTTCATTTCGCAAGAGGCCATGTGGAGTTGGGGAAGAGAAGCCTTCTGTTTTTATCCTCTGGGTCATCTTGAATAGCGACTTCTCTCTCTAGACCTCAGTATCCCGCTTCAGTTTCTGGAGTTCATTCATTCATCCATTATTCATGCCTGCGTGCATGTTTCTTAAGTGCCCACCGTATTCCAGGCACTATATTGAGTGCTAGGGACAAAAGAATGAACAAGACAGAGACCGTCCTTGCCCTCGTGAAGAGGGGAACATTATCCACCTAAACAAATAAAATAAACGCATGTACAATTATCCCTTTTCTTCCCCCTTTGATGATTTTTCTAGCCCCTCTTTCCCCCTACTATATCTGTAGGGTCCCCCAACTTGACAGGAGAGGGAGTGTCTCCCAGTCAGGCCTACACTACTCTGAAACTGGGGTGCACCCTCTTACTCCAAGCTCGTATTTTGCTCTTTTGATTCCACACATGAGCCTGACCACACCTTGATAAGGATGTGGGGGCAGGGATCACTGTCTCCTGTTCAGATGAGCAGTCTGAGAGTCTGAATCATCAAAATGCCTTGTCACATAAGAAATTATTGCCATACCCAATATTTGGTCATTTACTATGTGCTGGCACTTTAAAAGCTGTCTGCCTCATCATAATCCAGTAAGGTAGGTATTCTTATACTAATTTTACAGGCAACAAAGTTGAGGATGAAAGGTGTTATTTAAGTGGCCAGTGATGATCTAGATAGCATGTGGTGAAGCTGGGATTTGAACCAAATCTGCCTGGCTCCAAAGCCTAAGCTCTTTCCAAGAAATGGATGTGGTCATGGAAAGACTCTCTGATCAGCTGGGCACAGTGGCTCATGCCTGTAATCCCCACACTTTGGGAGGCTGAGATGGGAGGATTGCTTGAGCCCAGGAGTTTGAGACCAGCCTTAGCAACAGAGTGAGACCCTGTTTCTACAAAATAAAAAGAATTATCTGGTATGGTGGCACATGCTGTAGTTCCAGCTACTCAGGAGGCTGAGGTGGGAGGATCCTTTGAGGAGCCTGGGCAACAGAGGGAGACCCTGTCTCTAAAAAAAAAAAGTTTAAATTAAATTTAAAAAAGAAAGACTCTCTGAGTGGCTGAAACTTGGAAACATAGCTTCCAAGTGCCGTTCAAAAATCTCCCAGTCTCAACATCTTTTTACATTTTATTTTTTAGAGGCAGGGTCTCACTCTGTCATCCAGGCTGGAGTGCAGTGGTGCAATCATGGCTCACTGTGGCCTCGTCCTTCCGGACTCAAGTGATCCTCCCACCTCAACCTCCTGAGTAGCTGGGACTACAGTGGCATGCCACCATGCCTGGCTAATTTAAATTTTTTTTTTTTTTGTAGAGACAGGGGTCTTGCTATGTTGCCAGAGCTGATCTCAAACTCCCGGGCTCAAGCGATCCTCCCATCTCAGCCTCCCAATGTGCTGGGATTACAGGCATGAACCACCACACCCAGCATTGACCCAGCATCTTATTTACTTATTTTTCTTGGCACATTAGACTCATAAAACCTGGTGAGCTGACCACAGTAATCAATATTGTTAACTCTCGCTGTCTATCCATCTATCTGGGATGATCTCGCCTTCAAGCTTTTATTGGGTAATTAAGTCAAGTAGCTCTTCCTTGGGGGCATCTCCATTGCTCTCAGGTTTTTATATTCCGTTGTTCACACACTGAGAGCCTTGGTGGGCATAGAATATGGCCCATCTCTCCCCTGGAGGAATTTCCAGCCCTCAGGGGAGGTTTCTGAGGAGCTTCCTATGGGCAAAGCTCAGTGACAGGCTATTGTGAGAGGAGGAGGAGAACCAGATTTACCCTCAGAGAATCCCCTCCTCTGAGCAGAAGTGGATGTGCCTAGGGTGGGCTGAGGGGTGGGAGCAGTCAACCTTGAGTACCCTGATCAGGACACATTGGGTCCGCGGTGCTGCTTCTAATAACCTTGCTGTGGTTAGTGTGGGACTCTGTGTCTCAGAGCCTGGCAGCCTGCAGCTCGGAAGGAGGCCTTTAAATGGGAGAAGGTGCTGGAAAATATGGTAATACATAAATAAGCTAAATTTATCCCCTTTCTCAGCACCCAGCAATTGCTGTGCTTAACACTTAACTTTCTACCAGCATAGATTTGTTTAACCAGATTAGTTGCTGGGAGAGAGAGAAAGGAGAGAGATAGACAGAGACAGAGACAAAGAGACACAGAGAAAGACAGTCAGAGACTTTGAAGACAGACAGAAACACACACACACACACACACACACACACACACACACACACCCCTGGAGAGAAGTAAGAAGATGCAGAGATAACAGTATCCTTTGGTGTGTGGCTTCAGCCAGCAGCAGGAGAGCTAGACTGAGAGAATCAGACAACTTCCTGCCCTCTTCCTCCCAGGCTACATGACTGGCTAGAGCATTGCTAATTTCCAGATAGCACCATTTTCAGATGTGAGTACTTTGGAATGTCGACACTGTTTGCATTATTTTGTCCACTGTTTTGTTCCTGTCACCCAACCCTACCCCTGAATAGGTGAGAGTTGACTGTAGATGAATAATATACTAAAGCCACCATTAAAGTAAGCATTATAAGACTTTAAATATGCGTGCCTTTGACCTAGCATCCTCACTTCTAGGAATTTATCCTAAGGAAAATAAGTATATGGATAAAGAAGCTAGCATGAGATTGTTCATTGCATCGTTATTTAGAAAAGCAATGAAACAAACTAAATAGCCAACCACTCTTGGTTTCCTGATCAATAAATAATGGTATAACCTTACAACAGCTTTCCATACCGCTTTTAAAATTAGATTATAGGCTGGGTGCAGTGGTTCATGCCTGTAATCCCAGCACTTTGGGAGACCAAAGTGGGAGGATTGCTTGAGACCAGGGGTTCAAGACCAACCTGGGCAACATAAGGAGACCCTATTTTTTTTTTTTTTTTTTTTGAGACGGAGTCTCGCTCTGTCGCCCAGGCCGGACTGCGGACTGCAGTGGCGCAATCTCGGCTCACTGCAAGCTCCGCTTCCCGGGTTCACGCCATTCTCCTGCCTCAGCCTCCTGAGTAGCTGGGACTACAGGCGCCCGCCACCGCGCCCGGCTAATTTTTTTTTTTTGTATTTTTAGTAGAGACGGGGTTTCACCTTGTTAGCCAGGATGGTCTCGATCTCCTGACCTCATGATCCACCCGCCTCGGCCTCCCAAAGTGCTGGGATTACAGGCGTGAGCCACCATGCCCGGCTGGAGACCCTATTTTTAAAAAAATAAAAAAATCAGCTGGGTGCGGTGGCACATGCCTGTAATCCCAGCTACTCAAGAGGCTGAGGTGAGAGGATTGCCTGAGCCAGGCATTCCAGGGTGCAGTGAGCTATCATGGTGTCCAGCTTGGGTGACAGAACAAAACTCTATTTGAAAAAACAAATTAGGTTATAAATGGATATTTGTTGACCTGGAAAAACATTCACAACATATTAGGTGAAAGAAGCAAGTTACAAATAGTGTGTATTATATGACCCCTTATAAGTATGAATAAAAATAAAATATTTAGCTTAAGAAGACAGACCAAATGTTAGTCTCTAGGAGGAGGGATTCCAAGACATTTTAATTTTTTTCTTTCTGCTTATCTGCATTTTTAAAAGTTTTTCCACAATAAGCATGTCTGATTTTTGTAATAAGAACAAATTTCCTTGCTTCCCTCCCAGGGGTGGCTTCTGCTGGGAGATCAGGCGTTCCTGGCTCTCAGGCCTCATGGGAAAAGCCATTGACCCTTGCCAGGTGTTAAGCTGCTCACTAAGAATTCCCTGCCCTGGCTTGACTCCCCATCCCAGCTGGTGTTATGGGCGAGACCTCAGTGATCCAACACCTTGGTATCCAAATGAGCAGTTGCCGCATCACCTGTGAGTGGGTTAGCTGCTGCCCTCCCTTGAAGGTAAACACTGTTTACCTCTGTTGGCACATGGTAAGGCTAACCTCACTAAAACCGTAGGGCCTTTCTGCCTCCCAGGAGCACCCTCCCCTGTAGGAGGGTGACAATTACGATGCTGCATTGCTCAGGGAGGTCCCTGCTACACATATGCAGGTGTGATTCTGAAGGTTCGAAAAAAAAAAAGGCTGTCACCATGGCAACCCAGGCTTGCTCAGCCTCTTCATTCCTGAGATCAGTCCAAGCCCCAGGGAAAGAAGGTGGGGTATGGAGTCAGAAAAATCACTGCCTGGCTGCCTGACCTCAGGCAAGACACTTAGCTTTTCTCTGTGTCAGTTTCTGCGTCTGTAAAATGGTGCTGAAGCTTTTCTTACTCACCTCCAGGACTGGGGTGGAATAATCGGTAAACCATAAAACACAGGAGGAGTAGGGCATCCTTAGTTTTGGCTTGTCCCCAGATTGCCATGTGACTTTGGGTAAATCACTTAACCTCTCTGTGTCTCAGGTGCTCTATTTATAAATAGGCGAGTAAGGCACACTGATTACTTCCCGGATATATTGCAAGGTGCCTGTGAGAATCCCAGAATCTCAAAGTTGGAAGGAATCTTAGCCCTTAGCACTCATGCAGGAATCTTTTTGATAAACTCTCTGACAGAGATACTTGCCTAGCCTCTGCCTGGTTACCTCCTGTGGCAAAAAACTCATGACCGCACAGCTTCCCATGTAGCCATTGCTACATGACACTAACCATAAGAAAGTTCTACCATATAGCGTATCATAGCATATTTTACAAATAAATGTTTGTTTTAAAAAAGTTAGCAATCCTTTCCAGAGCTATTTTCACTCCTGATTTTCCCAAAGGCTTGCACAGGGTAGAGATGAGCAGGGGTCAGCAAAAAGCAGGTGTGGGCTCGGCTGCAGAAGAAGCTTTTGGCTTAGTGTAATAGCAGGAGCCTGGGCTCTGGGGTCACACATCCTAGGTTGAAATGCTACTTTACCCACTTACAAACTGGCTGACGCTGACCCTGGGAAAGTTATATTACCTATCTGAGCCTCAGTTTCCTGATCAGTAAAAGGAAGATAGAAATACCTACCTCCCAGTATTGTTGTGGGAATTAAGCAAGTTAGCACTTCTTATTAAGCTTACAACCCAGACTTCCCTGGTGGGGTTCTGGGGACTTGGGGTGGGGAAGATTACACCCTCCTCTGCCACCCCCGAATAGCGCATCTGCCCACTGAGCAAATGGCACAGGCGAGCCTTACATAGTCCATATCTCAGGGTCATCTCCCTCTCAGACCTGGACCAGGGCCATAAAGGAAAGATGATGCAATGGTTTCAAGACAAAGTTCACCTCCTCCTCATGATTCACCGGCCCAAGGCCAGCACCCCTTCCCTGCCCACAGACTCAGTGGGCACCAAGCAAGTATCCCAGGGCGTCACTTAGGAACAACTTCCAACTGCACCAGTGTTTTAATAGGAATCTCATACAGGACCCCAAAAATGTCATCTGGCAGTGGACTTCCAGGCAGAGTGACAAGAAGTTAGGGAAAGCTATTGGGGGTTGGGCTAAAGTGTTCCTTTAGCTGTTGATATGAAGGTGTCTGTCACGTAATGACTCCTGGACAAAGGTCAGGATGCCTGGGTCCAGCTCCATCATTGCCTAGCTCTGGGCTCTCCGGAGCCAGCGACTTCCTTCCTCAATATCTTGCTTCCGTCATGTGCAAGACAGCAGGCCGATTCCTGGGGTTTTCCCAGCTTCCGAATTCTAGGTTTCCCCATTTGTTGGATTCAGAGATGAGTTGGAGAAACCACCCTAGACCTCCCTTGGCCCCTGGCCACTGGGTGGCACCGACCACCCCCTCTTCTCTGCTTCCTTTGCAGATGAGTATCTCAGAGTCCTCAACGTGGGTGTGGCCGAGGTGAAGAAATCCTTCCTGGGGCCCTTGTCCCCGTCCTGTAAGATGGTGCAGATGATGAGGCAGTTTCTGTACCGGGTCCTGCCCGAGGACTCCTACAAGGTCACCACGGGGAAGCTCCATGTGAGCCTCACCCGCTTAACGGACGGGGAGAATGTGGTGGTTTCAGAGTTCACGTCCAAGGAGGAGCTCATTGAGGCAAGGGGGCTGGGCTGGGAGGGAGGGACACGGAGGGGGCGGGGGAGGGCGGCTCCTGCTCTTTCTCCACAGCTCAACCCGATGCCTTATCCACCTGCCTCACTTCCCTAGTCCTTCCCTTCCTTCATGCCCCCAGAGTCTCGCTGTGCAAGGTGCAGTGCTAGATGAGATGGACACAGAAGCCCAGGACGAACCAGGCTTGACCGCCACCCTCAATGCTTCGGCCTTCACATCCATCCTGCCCGGCCCCCTGCGCTAAGCCTGGAGCTTCCCAGAGGCCCAGGTGTGACTTGCAGAGGGCCTGGGTCTCCTTCAGGGCCTTCCAGGCTGGGCTGCCATGCATCCCCCCAGAATTACTCCCACTTTGTGGGAACGGTCAGGGGAGAGGGGCCCCCATGTCCCCTTTCTGCCCCCTCTCTTCCAGTGGCCCTTGATAAGGGATTGAATGGTTACCAAATCAGTTAACACTTAGAAAAGTGCACGCTAATCCTGAGTGCGCTGCCCTAAGCTCATTAATATTAATTTTAGTTATGAATAATGATTGCTGGAAAGGGCCGCAGGTAGGTCCCAGTGTCTTTCGGGACAAAGGGGTTAAGCTGTGTGGCCTCCTTCCCACATCTCCACTCTCCTTCCTTCCCCCACATACAGGGGCTTCGCCACTCCATCCTCATCCCATACTGGCCTGGCAGTAATCCTGGGGATGAGGGATGAATAGGCAGTGGGCACAGACACCACCTCCGTCCCTCAGGCCCCCTGGGTTTATCAGCAGCCAGCTCTTCCAGATCTGCCTCCTCACGCCCACCCCCGTTCTGACTTCACTGCCCACTGCTGCAGTTTTCTCTTCCCGGCCCTCTCCCCCACCTTCCACTCCTACCATGCCAACCCTAGCAAACCACACACAAGCCAGGCCTCTGGGTCTTTGCACCTGCCGCTCCCTCTGCCTGGGATCCCCTCCCTCCTTCCCACACTGCTTTGCCTGCTGCTGAAACCCAGTCCCTCCTGCCAGGGCACTTCCCTTCATCCCCTCCCACCCTGCCTGCACCCCTCTTGTGGAGCCACGGTGCCCATGCTCACCTCCACCATGCCCCTGTCACCCCACTGCACCGTCACCCACTTGCTCACTCCCTCTCATAGGGCACTCCCAAAGGTGGGCCTCTCAGCCTCCTTTGCTTCCAGGGCCTGGCCCAGGGCTGACACACATTAATGGTTGTTGAATCCCACTGGATTCATGAAAGTTCAGCATCAGAAGGAACCCCGAAGCTATGGAGGACCCCCTCCTGCTTTAAAGCTGGGACATCAGGGCCAGATGGACCAAGCAGGTTACCAAGGACCCAATTAGTGAAGGCCAGGCCAGGAACTGAACTCGGAGCTTTGCTTCCCAGTGTGGCACCTTCACCTAGAATTTAAGGAGGTCTGGGCTGGTGGTGGGTGGCCCAGGGGCTGACAGGTGAGCTGTCCCCACCCCACCCCCGGGCCTCCAGCATCTCAGCCCTGTTCTCTCCGCACAGGCCCTATACTGCAGCTGCTTCGTCCCGGTGTACTGTGGCCTCATCCCCCCGACTTACCGCGGTGTGGTGAGTGCTTCGGCATGGTGAGGGGTGAGATGGGATCCAAGGGACCTCGGGTCCCTGTGACTCACACCTGGGGGAGCAGGGGGGTGGTCTCAGAATGCAGCGGGAGGACCTAGAGTTGGAGAGTTTCTCATGTTGTTACTCAGAATTCCCAATGTAGGTGGCTTTCTGGGCCTTTAAGATGAACTTCTCCAGCTGGGGTGGGTTCCTCTCTGGACCCACCTACCCACTGCCAAGCCGGGCAAATCAAGGCTCCATAGGCTTGGCAGGTTTTCCCAGACTTGACAGAGCAGAGGAGATGAAGCACTGGGACCTGGAAACTCAAATGATGAGGATGTTTTCTGAGGCCTGTAGGCCAGGGCCTTACAGACTTTAATGTGCCCTTGAATCACTCGGGGTCTCGTAAAATTATGCAAGTTCTGATCCAGGCGGTCTGAGGCAGTGCCTGAGGGTCTGCGCCCCTAACCAGCCTCAGGTGCTGCCCGTGCTGCTGGTGGGTGGGCCACACTCTGAGTGGTGATGGTCTAGCTCATGCCCCCTCCTCATTTTATATGCAGAGAAAGTCAGGGCCAGAGACTAGGATTCAGGTAGTAGATGGAGCTTGTATTGCATGTCAGCCAGCCCTGAGAGTTAGAGCCTCAGTATTTGTTGTCCTTCGTTCATAGGTGAGAAAACAGAAGCCCCAGAAAGGAAGGGGCTTGTGGGTGAACAGGTGGTGGGGCTGTAGCAGAGGAGCACGTCTCCTGCTTTACCCAGAGTATGGGTCCCCTGCACACAGAGCCCTGGGAGCCCCAGTCTCAGCGCCACTAAGATAGTGGAGGGAGGATCAGTGCAGGACAGAGCACCGGGCTGGGAGTCCAGAGGCCAATGCAGACTCACTAAGTGACCAGGGGCACACCACGCACCCACCAGGACCTCCGTCTCCAGGCTTATCCTGAGGGGTCTTCTGGATCTTCCTTGATGGGCCCTTGAAGCTGGTGCCATATCCCATGGGCCATTTCGATGTACCCCGAGTGGGGCTGAGAACTCTGGCCCCAAGTGGGCATTTCTCACTCTGCCCCCACAGAGGTACATCGATGGGGGCTTCACGGGCATGCAGCCCTGTGCCTTCTGGACCGACGCCATCACCATCTCCACCTTCAGTGGGCAGCAGGACATCTGTCCCCGGGACTGCCCGGCCATCTTCCACGACTTCCGCATGTTCAACTGCTCCTTCCAGTTCTCCCTGGAGAACATCGCCAGGATGACCCACGCATTGTTCCCCCCGGACCTGGTGGTGAGAGGCAGGAGGGGTCTGGGGAGTAGCAGAAGGTACCAGGGACTAGGGGTGGGGTTAGAGAGCCACTGGGGCCCACTCAAGTTCCATCTGAGTCTCCTCCCCTCAAATGGTCCTTTAAACTTCCTCCTAGACCTGCATCCTGGCCTTGCTGCTAACTAGCTATGTGACCTTGAACAAGCGCCTCAAGCTCTCCCAGCTTCAACATTCTCCCCGGTAAAGCGAGATGATGCCAGAAGTGCTGATAGAAATATTAACTGAACCCATCCATTCAGACAGTTCATGTCCCAAATCAAAGGTCGGCAAGCTGCAGCCCACGGGCCAAATCTAGCCTATGGCTTGTTTTTGTACAGCCTGTGAGCTAAGAAAGGGTTTTCCATTTTTAGAGAGTTATGGGGGAAAGAAAAAAAGAAGAAAAAGAAAAAGAACATTAGGCAGAGACTGCATGTGGCCAGCAAAGCCCAAAATAAGTATTTACTATCTGGCCCTTTACAGAAAAGGCTTTGTGGGCAGTAGCTCATGTAATCCTCTAGCATCCTCTATGATCAATATTATAACTGTCCCCATTTTATAGATGAAGAAATTGAGGCTGTGAGAGGGGACAGCAACACAGCCAATAAGGGGCAGCCCAGAGACCTGAACTCAGGCTCCAAACTTTGCTCTTCATATGGCCCCAGTGCACCTGGTTCTGCCATGAGCACCCCACACTTTCCTCCCAGGGGAGGCCGAGGCTCCACCATGAATGGTGTAACTCATGAACGGAGCATCACTGGGGCGTGTGATCAGGAATTGCTCCTCGGTTCTTCTTAGCAGACAGTGAGGGATGGGACACTGGATGGGTACGTTTTGAAAAGCCCATCAAATAAAATTCAAGAGCAATGGGAGTAGCTGCCCTGGGTCGGGGGAACTGTGGCTCCCTTCCTCCCCGCAGCCTTGGTAATTCTCCTGGTGCCTCCGCCCACAGATCCTGCACGATTACTACTACCGAGGGTACGAGGATGCAGTTTTGTACTTGAGGCGGCTGAGTAAGTACCGGTGGGGCCCCAGGTAAGGGCAGTGTTGGAGGGTAGGGAAAGTTCAAACAGTAGAAGGGCTGAATGGAGGGGTATTCCCCCCAGATTTGTGACCCGGAGACGCCCTTCACCTGGGAGAGCTGGAAATGGGGGTGGGGACCTAACAGGCTGCATCGCCCAGCCCAGACCGCTGGGTCCAGAAAGTAGGATCTCCATGTAAAGGGGGCTTTGGGGTTAACTAAGGGCACAGTGTCTAGGACAGTTGTGCATGTATGCTTATGAATGTAAAAACTCTATTTAGGAAATCCAGAGTTCAGATCTTCCTGGAGAATTCCATTTTCATGTAATTTCATTCTCTTCCACTTTATTCTCTTTCTAGTAAAATCACATTATTAATGTAGAATTGGATGTCACTAGTTTATATTTGTGTAAGACTTTGAGTGACCTATTGATCAGCAAATCACAGAGAAGAGCCCTTGCCCTATGTAGGTTTGGAATGGTGGTCCCTCCACCTATATATTCTCTGTGCTTTATCAGGGTGGAAGAAACAATTCCAATGACATGTCTTTTATGTGCTAACTCCATGGCAAACATCTTTGTTAAAAGAAATGAACAGGACTGGGTGTGGTGGCTCATGCCTGTAATCTCAGCACTGTAGGAGGGCAAGGCAGGAGAATCACTTGAGCCCAGGAATTTGAGACCAGCCTGGGCGATTGTGAGATTCCCAGCTCTACAAGAAATTAAACAATTAGCTGAGCATGGTGGCACACGCTTATAGCCCCAGCTACTTGAGATCAAGGCTGTAGCGAGCCATGACTGCACCACTGTACTCTACTCTGGGCAACAGAGTGAGACCCTGTCTCTAAAAAAAGAAAGAAATCAACAAAAGCTTTGCCATATTTAGAATCAATTATTTTCAGAAAAAGGGATCACCAGGTCAAAGGGTTTACCTAATGTTACATCAGAAGCATTTTCCTTGTTGCCACATGTCTTTGTGACTGTCTTTTTTGGCAGTTGTATAATATTCCATCATAGCTGTGCAGAAAAATTTGCTTGATCATTCCTTTGAGTTTCCAAATGTTCGTGATTATGAGTAATTCTGTGGTAAACTTTTTGTGTATGTAGCTTTAAAAAATACTCTGTGGGTGAGATTAAGGGGTTGGATGAGATTTTCTTCCTAGGAGGTGCTCACTTATTTTTCCCTTCTTCAAAATTCCTTCCTGCTTCCCAAGCTCCCCTTATCCTGTCTCTACTTTCTCCTGGGTCCTTTCTCCCAACAAGGGGGGTGGAGAGGCTGGACGGACAGGAGAGCAGGATGGAGAAAACCTGGGCCCTGGAGGCAAGTAGCTCTAAGGCCCCCATCCCACCCACAAGCTGTGTGACCTCCGGATAATTGCTTCCCCTCTCTAAGGCTTGGTTTCCTAATCTGTAAAAAAAAGGGGGTTTAGATCCTAGCTCCTGACACCTACTAACTGTGTGATATTGAGCAGGTAATTAATCTCCTGGGGCCTCAGTTTCCTCATCTGTAAAAGGGGCCTTATGGTTTTATTTTGAAGATTAAAGGAGCAAAGCCACAAGCCCTTATCACAATGCTCAAATAAATGGTAGCTCTCATGAGAACGTCAAAGTGCTGAGTCCTAGCCACAGTCAGTCCCGCCTACTGCTGGGTGAAATCTGATGGTGGCACTTCAGGAATCTGTCCCCAAAATTGAGCCAGTATATGGATGGGGGCAGGCTTCTTCAATGGCCCTGGAATCACTCCAAGTAGGAACAGATACAACTCCTAAAGGAGAAATGGTCTCGTGCTGACTACCAGCTATTTTTGCTTCCTCTTCCGATTTGCCAGTGTATGGCACGGGTTTCTCAGCGCAGATTTCACCTCCACCACCTCAGTCCTCTTGGATTTGGTGGGACTGGATTTTTCTCTCTGCATCAGATGTGAACAGGAACTACTGACACATACTGAGAAACTGCAGTTGGTCTCCAGAGCCACACTCTTATCCCCACCTGCCATCTGGGAACAGAAAATGGGAGTCCGCCCAGCCTCCCCTGGGCTGCTTTCTGGGTAGGGGTCACCTCCAGCAGGAAACTACACCCCAAAAGGTGTCACCCTCCATTCCTCAGCTCACATTCTCACAGCCTCTTTCTCCTCCCTCCCAAGGGAGGAGAATTAATTATTCTTGCTGCCAGGCAAGCCACTCTGTCTACACTCGGCCCATCCTTGCAGCGGCCTTCTGCCAAAGGGAATGGCAGCGCAGGCTGGCGTGCTTGAAAATCCGCATTCCCCACACAGATGTGTGAATGTGGGTGCTGAGTGAGGTTGGAGCTCAGAGGATGCCATGTCTAAAATATCCATCCGGCATTCAGGCATGCCTGGCCAAACCTCTCTTCCGCCCTCCTCCCCCACTCCCTTCTTCCCTCTCACAGTTTGGTAAGTGACTCTGTCTCTCTGTACACACACACACACACACACACACCCTGTGAAACCATCACCACAATTAAGTTAGTGAATAATTCGTCATCCCCAAAATTTCCTCATGCCCTTTCGTGATCCCTCCCACCTTCCCTCACCCCCCGCCATTCCCAAGCAACCCCTGATCTGCTTTCTGCCATTATAGATTAATTCACTACAATGTGAACTCTTTTTTAAAAATCTGAATTCTTTCACTCTGCATAATTATTCTGAGATTCATCCATGTTGTTGAATGTATAAATAGTTTGTTCCTTTTTACGTTCCGTGCCACTGTATGAATGTACCACAGCTCATCTACCAAAAGAGTTGAATATACCACTGTATGCATATACCACAGCCCATTTACCCAGTCCCCTGTTGATGGACATTTAGGTTATTTTCAGATTTGGGCTATTATGGATAAAGCTGCTATGAACACTCACGCATGAGTCTTGGTGTGGACATATGCTTTCATTTCTCTTGGGTAAATACCTAGAAATGGAATGACGGGATTGCATGGTACATTCATGTTTAACATACATACACAAATATTTTAATTGTGGTAAAAAAACACGTAACAAATTTTAAGCACACAGTTCAGTAGTGTTAACTATTTCATATTGTTGTGCAGCAGATCTCTAGAACTTTTTCATCTTGCAAAACTGAGCCTTTACACACATTGATCAACAACTCCCCCTTTTCTCCTCCTCCAGCCCCCAGCAACCACCATCCCACTTTCTGTGCTGATGATTTTGACTACACTAGGTACTTCATATAAATGGAATCATGCGGTATTTGTCTTTTTGTGACTGGCTTATTTAACTTAACATAATGGCCTCAAGGTTCATCCATGTTGTAGCTGTAGCATGTGACAGGATTTTCTTCCTTTTTTGAGACGGAGTCTCGCTCTGTTGTCCAGGCTAGAGTGTGGTGGTGTGATCTCAGCTCACTGCAACCTCTGCCACCTGGGTTCAAGCGATTCTCCCGCCTCAGCCTCCTGAGTACCTGAGACTACAGGCACACGCCACCACGTCCAGCTAATTTTTGTATTTTTAGTAGAGACAGGGTTTCACCATGTTGGCCAGGATGGTCTCGATCTCCTCACCTCGTGATCTGCCTGCCTCGGCCTCCCAAAGTGCTGGGATTACTGGGGTGAGCCACCGCGCCTGGCCGATTTTCTTCCTTTTTAGAGCTGAATATATTCCACATGTTCTTTGTCCATCCATCTGACAAAGGACACTGGAGTTGCTTCCATCTTTCGGCTATTGTGGATAATGCTGCAGTGCCCATGGATGTCTCTTCCAGATCCTATTCAATTATTTTGGATATATAACCAGAATATATGTTTGACTTTTTAATAAACTGCCAAATTGTTTTCCAAAGCAGTTGTACCATGTTTCATTCCCACCAGCAGTGGATGAGCGTTCCCATTCCTCCAAAACTTTTGGGGTTTTTTTTGTTTTTTTGTCTGTTTTTTTTTTTTTTTTTGAGATGGAGTCTCGCTCTGTCACCCAGGCTGGAGTGCAGTGGCATGATCTCGGCTCACTGCAAGCTCCACCTCCTGGGTTCACACCATTCTCCTGCCTCAGTCTCCCGAGTAGCTGGGACTACAGGCGCCCGCTACCACGCCCAGCTAATTTTTTGCATTTTTAGTAGAGACGGGGTTTCGCCATGTTGGCCAGGATGGTCTCGATCTCTTGACCTCGTGATCCACCCGCCTCGGCCTCCCAAAGTGCTGGGATTACAGGCGTGAGCCACTGCGCCCGGCCAACTTTTGGTATTTTTAATTAATGCTCAGAATTTTTCATTTTAGCCCTTCTAACAGGTGCATGTCGGTAACTTATTGTGGTTTTAATCAGTATTCCTCTAATGACTAATGACTTTGAGCATCTTTTCATTTGTCTATTTGCCTCCCATAGATCTTCTTTGGTGAAGCATTCGTTCCACTCTTTTGTACATTTCTCACCTAGACTCTTAATAAGCTTTGTTTTTTTAGGGTAGTTTTAGATTTATGGATAACTTGTGAAAATAATACAGGGTGTTTGTCTCACATCTGTTAGACGTTACAGAATGATACATATATAACACGGTATTCAGTCCAGTACATTTGTTACAACTCATGAACCAATCTTGACATATTATTAACTAAGAGCCATTGCTTATTCAGATTTTCTCAGTTTTTACCTAATTTCTTTTTCTGTTCCAGGACCCCCCACCCAGGGATCACATTACATTTTGTTGTCACGTCTCCTCAGTTTCCTCTTGCCTATAACAGTTTCTCAGACTTTTCTTATTCTTGTGTGTGTGTGTGTGTGAGAGAGAGAGAGAGAGAGAGAGAGAGAGAGAGAGAGACAGAGTCTTGCTGTGTCACCCAGGCTGGAGTGCAGTGGTGCAATCTTGGCTCACTGCAAGCTCCACCTCCCGGGTTCATGCCATTCTCCTGCCTCAGCCTCCCGAGTAGCTGGGGCTACAGGTGCATGCCACTACCCCCGGCTAATTTTTTGTATTTTTAGTAGAGATGGGGTTTCACCGTGTTAGCCAGGATGGTCTCAATCTCCTGACCTCATAATCCGCCCGCCTCGGCCTCCCAAAGTGCTGGGATTACAGAGACTTTTCTTATTCTTGATGACCTTGACAGAGTTGACTATCGGTCAGGTATTTTGTAGAACGTCCCTCAGTTGGGGTTTGTCTGATGTTTTTCTCAAGATTAAGCTGGGGTTTTGAGTTCTGGGGAGGAGACCACAGAGGTAAGGTGCTATTCACATCACGTTACCTCATGGGCACGTGCTGCCAACATGACGTATCCCTGCTGATGTTGACCATGACCGCCTGGCCGAGGTAGTGTCCATCGGGTTTCTCCATTGTGAAGTACTCTTTCTCCCTCTATCCTTACTGCAGTTTTTGGAAGAAAGTCACTGTGCACAGCTCATATTTAAGGAGTGAGAAGTTATGCTCCACTTCCTAAAGGGTCAAGCATCTACATAAATTACTAAGAATTCTTCTGCAGGGGAGCTTTCTCTCTTCTCCCTGATTTACTTACCTACGTAATATATGTTTATATCAGTATGGATTCATGGTTATGTTATACTTTGGGTTATTATTCAATACTACTTTATTGTGTTCTTCAAATTGTTCCAGCTTTGGCCATTGGGAGCCCTTTCAGTTGGCTCTTTCACACATTTTAAAAACTGAATTGTTTGTTTTCTTATTTAAGGGCTGTTATGTGGCCTAGATAAACGCCATCCCCCCGCCCCCCCACCCACCCACTATTTTTGAGACAGGTTCTCACTCTGTCACCCAAGCTGGAGCGTAGTGGCACGATCATGGCTCACTGAAGCTTCAGCTTCCCAGGCTCAGGCAACCCTTTCACCTTTCTCAATGAGTCTTACAGCCACAGTGACCTTCTCAGAACCAGCCTCAGCTGATTACCTCCCCTGCCTAAAAGTCATGCTACAATAATGCTTGCCATGAAAACTAAGGATCCTAGCTGCTGCCTACAGCCCTGACATGGTCCGGCCCCTGCCGCCTCCTCAGCCTCCTCCCCCAGCACAGTACCCCCGCCCCACACTGACCTTTCAGGCCCCCGACCACCTGGTGTGTCCTCAAACTTTGTGGCCTTTGTGTGTGCTGTTCCCTCTGCTGAAACACCCTCACCACCCCGCCCTGACCATCCTGGGCCACGTACCCTTCAGATCTCTACTCACTGCCAATCCCTCAGATGACCTGCCCTCTCTCACAGCACCACATTCCTCTCTTCCTGCACTTGCCTCAGTTGAAACTCTAGATAATTTGGGTGGGCAACGCCTGCTTCCCCACACTACACCGTAAGTGCCAGAAACCATCACGTTTGTTTTCACTCACTGTAAATTCAAGTAAGTACAGAAAGACCTTTGAAAAGCACTGTTCCTGTTTAGGAAAATAACTCAAGAAACCATTTTTGCAAAGGCCATGCTGCTGCCAGGGCTGAGTAACACCCCATGCTATTGTTTATCCTAGATGCTGTTTATCTTAATTCTTCCTCCAAGAGAGTGATTTTCCCCCGGGTGGAAGTGTACTGCCAGATAGAACTCGCCCTTGGCAATGAGTGCCCTGAACGCAGTCAACCAAGCCTTCGAGCACGGCAGGCCAGTCTGGAAGGAGCCACACAACCTCACAAGGAGTGGGTTCCCAAAGGGGATGGAAGGGGCAGCCATGGTCCGCCTGTGTCCCAACCTGTGCAGACACTTGAATTCACATGCGAGTCACCTGTTTCAGCACCAGTCTCTCCACTTGAGCAGCCACCTGCACAGCCACTGGCCTCTTCAACTCCACTTTCTCTAAGTGGCATGCCACCTGTATCATTCCCAGCTGTGCACAAGCCACCCAGCTCCACACCTGGTTCATCACTGCCCACCCCACCACCTGGACTGTCACCTCTGTCACCTCAGCAGCAGGTACAACCGTCTGGATCACCAGCCAGATCCCTACACTCTCAGGCACCCACTTCACCCAGGCCATCCCTGGGGCCTTCAACTGTGGGGGCACCTCAAACACTGCCCCGAAGTTCTCTTTCAGCCTTCCCTGCTCAGCCACCTGTGGAGGAACTAGGCCAAGAACAGCCCCAAGGTATGGACCCTTCTGGCTTGTTATGACTTTCTCATGCCTGGAGCCCCTTGGCAAGCGAGCAAGGACACCAGGGCTGATAACCGCTTCTTTAGGGGTGCGTGGCTGAAGTTAGCAGTGAGCTTTAGCATCTCTGTCCATTATGAGGACAGTCCGCCACAAGGGGGCAGTGTAATAGACATTGGTTCATTTCCCTTGGTGCAGTGCTTCTCAAAGTGCGATCCCCCTACCGGCAGCAAAAGCATCACCTGGGAACTTGCTAGAAATTACAGTTCTCAGGTCCTACTGCAGACCTACTAAATTACCAACTTTGGAGGTGCGGCCCAGCTGCCTTTTTTACAAGCCCTCCAGGTGATTTTTTGCCTGCTCACATTTGAGACCGCTGGGCCAGTAGATTTTTACTGTGAAACCTGCTGTGCTGGGCGTGCTACTCAAAGAGTGGTCCGCAGACCAACCCAGCCCTCAACTGTGTGTTACTAGCCCACCACGGAGGGTGTGCAGAAATTAAGAGTAATCATTTAGAAACGTTTATAGCACTAAGGTATTTCCACAACATCCCGGAGCTTGACCATTTTTTACTAATTCATTTGCATTGTATTTCACAAAATTACTAGTTTGTTATAGACTACAAAGAAATTTTTTTTTTTAGATGGAATCTCGCTCTGTCGCCCAGGCTAGAGTGCAGTGGCGTGATCTTGGCTCACTGCCAGTTCTGCCTCCCGGGTTCACGCCATTCTTCTGCCTCAGCCTCCCGAGTAGCTGGGACTACAGATGCCCGCCACCACGCCTGGCTAATTTTTTGTATTTTTAGTAAAGACAGGTTTCACTGTGTTAGCCAGGATGGTCTCAATCTCCTGACTTTGTGATCTGCCCGCCTTGGCCTCCCAAAGTGCTGGGACTACAGGCGTGAGCCACCGCGCCCAGCCAGAAATTTTTAAAAAACTGTTTCCTTACTACTACAGACGGTTTCAGAAGCACCACTATAGGGCCTGCAAAGATAAAACGTTCTCAATTCCTTACTCAGGAAATCTCCCTTTCAGCAGAGGAGATAACAGGGATACTAACCTCAAAAATACAATCAGGGACTGGGTGTGGTCACTCACACCTGTAATTCCAGCACTTTGGGAGGCCAAAGCGGGTGGATCACCTGAGGTCAGGAGTTCAAGACCAGCCTGACCAACATGGTGAAACCCCATCTCTACTAAATACAAAAAAATCAGCCAAACTTGGTGGTGCATGCCTGTAATCCCAGCTACTTGGGAGGCTGAGGCAGGATAATCGCTTGAACCCAGGAGGTGGAGGTTGCAGGGAGCCAAGATTGTGCCATTGCACTCCAGCCTGGGCAACAAGAGTGAAACTCCATTTAAAAAATATATATATATCAGAAGTATTAAGTACTATATAACTAATAAAAACACAGTGTTGGAGGGTATTCGTAGAGAATAAGACCACTTATCTCTGGGGCAGTATGAAAAGCTTCTTGGAGGTGACAGGTGAGCTTAAATGGGCAGGATTTTGAACATCGTGGTTTGTGGGATTGGATGGGTTGGAGTAGAAAGAGCATTTCCGATTTTGTTTATTTAAAATGCTCAGGTGCAGTGCAGGAATGTGCAGGGTACTTTCAAGGTACTTTAGGAAGGAGAGGACTTGTGTGTGGCCACCATGGATGGTCTGGGTGGAGACAGAGGGACAGAGACCCAAATGAAGGACTGAAGCCAGATTGTAGGGTGCTCATGGTCCTCAGCCAAACTTCCAGAGCTATTATGGTAAACGTCACAGATCGGCAATGTCTCCTCATCTGGGAATTAGCCCCAACTTGGTAGAGATGCCCTTTCTTTGGAACAGGTTTACTTTGACTCTTTTAATGAGACAAAAACAAAACACCATTAAGAAAATTAGGCTGTGACTCATGCCTTTGAGAGGCAGAGGCAGGCAAGTCACTTTCAGTCAGGAGTTCGAGACCAGCCTAGCCAACGTGGTGAAACCCCATCTCTACTAAAAATACAAAAAATTAGCCGGGCATGGTGGCAAGTACCTGCAGTCCCAGCTACTCAAGAGGCTGAGGCAGGAGGATCACTTGAACCTGGGAGGCGGAGGTTGCAGTGAGTAGAGATCGTGCCACTGCACTCCAGCCTGGGCGACAGAGTGAGACTCCGTCTCAGGAAAAAAAAAAAAAAAAAAAAAAGTCAGAAAATTGGGCGCAGTGTTTTACCTGCTCTCTTATTTCCTGTTAAATACAAAACACTTGTTTTACATTAACCACACCTGTGCATGAAGGCGGCCATCTTCAGGTACCTGAGCAATCCTGCACCCCAAGTCGGCATTCCTCACTCATATCGGGGGTGGATAGAGGGCATATATAGTCTAGTGATTCTCTACTGGGAGTGATTTTGTCTCCAGGAGACATTTAGCAATGTCTGCAGACATTTTGGTTGTCACCTAGTGGTTACAGGCTGGGGACACTGAAAAATATCCTGTAGTGCACAGAAGTCTCTGCACAAAGTGCTTTCTGACCGTTAGTGTCAATAGCATGTACTGAGATTGAGAAGCCATGTTATAGCTTACAGCTGAGCCTCAATGGTGACATCCTAGGCCATCTATGTGAGTTAGGCAGAGCTGAGACCCCCTAGAGCAAGTTTATCCAACCCGCGGCCCAGATGGTTCTGAATGCACCAGTCTATAAAAAATTCATTAACTTTCTTAAAACATTGTGAGATTTTTTTTGGATTTTTTTTCAGCTCATCAGCTATCATTACTGTTAGTGTATTTTATGTGTGGCCCAAGACAATTCTTCTTCCAGTGTGGCCCAAGGAAGCCAAAAGATTGGACACCCCTGCCCTAGAGTTTAGTGGTATCAGTCATTTAATGATGGCCATTGGTGGCATTGGGGAACAGGAAAATTGTTAAAAGCCCTAGGAATATCCAAAAACAAAAGGACAAGCCTCATTGTGAATAGATTTGGGAGAGTTAGGGACATACAACAAGTCTCTAACAAAATAACTTCAGAAGAACCCACATATACTTTATATTACCTTTATTTATATATAATACATAATTACATATTAACCTTCATGTATTATGTATCCCCATACTCATTAAAAACATGTAAAGAGCTTACTTAAGAGTAATGGCCATGAAACTATTAATACTCTGTTCTAAGAAACAAACAAAAAGCATTACATGAAGCATGTGATGGAAAGTCCAGGCCCCTTCAGGGGATTTTCCTGAAAACCTTCCCTAACATGCTGCTTTCTGCGAGGGAGCTATTTCTTTTCTTTTCCTTATTTTTCTTTACTTTTCTCTTTTTTTTTTTTTTTTTTTTTTGGTGGTGGAGGAGGAGACAGTATCTCACTCCCGGCTCACTGCACTCTCAACTTTTGAGGCTCAGGTGATTCTCTTACCTCAGCCTCCCGAGTAGCTGAGATCACAGGCATGCACTACAACACCCAGCTAAATTTTTGTATTTTTAGTAGAGACAGGGTTTCACCATGTTGGCCAGACTGGTCTCAAATTCCTGGCCTCAAGTGATCTGCCCGCCTTGGCCTCCCAAAGCGCCGGGATTACAGGCATGAGCCACCGGGCCTGCCCCTGGGAGTTGTTTCTAATGTTCCACCAAGGGTCCGAGTCAGCCGCTCCACAGATGCCGCGGGCCTGCGTCTCAGTCAAGTCCCACGACATGACTCTGGTTGTAAAGATGAGAATTTGAGGACAAGAGAGTTCTTTGCTGTTTTTAAACATTCTCATTTACTGACTATTGCTATTTCAAAAATGACTCCATATCCCCCCTCCCCATCTCACTCCCGTTTCCTATATCTTTACTTTTAGCTGTAGCTCTTCTTGTCTCTTCAAAACCAAAAAGCGCCGTGCCTCTGGTTCATGTGAAGGAAACCGTCAGCAAGCCTTATGTAACGTAAGTTTCCCCTTCGTGGAGCACGCTCTTTCCTTTGGACGGAAGAAGCAAGCCCGGCTAAGCGATATCTTCCACCACCTTAGCTGCCCCAGGAACTCTGGGATCCTTTTCTGGTGTGTGTGATTGTGTGATTCCAGGTCCACCCCTTTACATCTCACAAAGCTGCCTTCTCTTGTTCAGTTAGGGCAGTGTGTGGGGAAGGAGCCTGTCCGTGGTGATGATGTCATTCTCTTCTCCTGCACACTGGGGATGCTCCTTCTCTGAGTGCAGTGCAAGAATGTGCATCCCCTGCCCTCATATTTTACTCTCTGGTGATGCCACAGTTCCAAGAGGGCCTGCAGGCATCCTACCTCCCAGCCTTAGGTAGCTCCTGCATGAAATGAATTAAGGGTCTCTATCAAAGGCCTTCCTTACTCCGAACTATTTTCTATTAGCATGATAATGACCTGATAGTACTAGACTGTAGACTGTCCCCAGAAAATCTTTTTTATTATGCACATCAAGTGTCTGGGTTGCATAACATACACTCCATTATATCTTTGCAATAACTATGAGAGGACCTGGGGATCTGCTTTTTTAAAAACTTCCCTGAGGACCACATTACCCAGGCTCCCTTGCTGGCTGAATGCCGTTTGTACTGGTGGTGGGGGAGGCACAGCAGGAGATCAGAAGTTGGGTCAAGGGTATTTCTCCCCACAACCCCAGCCCCCCTCTCATCCCTCCCTGCCTTGGGACCACTCTGGCAGTAGCTGGGTTTCTCCATGACCACAGCTGCAGGTATTGAGAGAGCAGGGCCTGAGGCATTCCTGCTTTTAATGTTTGCACTCTCTCTCACATCAAGCATATTAAAATTTACCTGCTTCCCACATTAAGTATAATTTTAACCATAAAACTTTTTGAAAGAGTTTGTATAAATTTAACAATTTTGAGCTTAGGCATAAGTTATGCATTTTGTTCACATAATTTAAACTTTTTTGCATTTACATATAACTCTATAAAAGTCGGAGTTTCATTTGACTCATGGGCATGATGTTACTTAGATAAATATTCATTGATTATATTTTAAAAAAAGTTTGCTGGGAAATCCAATCCTCAGCCAGGGTTGAGAACCACAGCGCGGGTGTGTCCACCTGCGGAGCTGAGCAGGCCACCATGTTGGAGGACCGAGGTCAGGCCCATAATGAACCATCTACTTAATCTCTTTGCCTAGGGAGAGCCCTGCTGAAGACTCAAACTGGGTGAATAAGGTCTTCAAGAAGAACAAGCAAAAGACAAGTGGCACCAGAAAAGGCTTCCCAAGACATTCGGGATCCAAAAAACCAAGCAGCAAAGTGCAGTGAGCATGTCTAATGTTCCTTAAATCCCACGGAGAGGAGCAGCTTTGGGAACTGTGTTCAGAGAGATTCCGAGGAATAGAGGAGAGTGTAAGGGAGTAGGGGGTGCAGTGGGAGATTGGGCTTTGGAACAGACACATCCGACATAAAATTCCTGCTCTGCCACAGCTCCACTCAGGGATCATGGTTGGGACACTTGCTCTCCCTGAGCCTCCATTTCCTGTAAAATGGGGATGATACCACTTCATAAAGTTGTGAGAGTTAAATGTGATCGATGATGTAAATTGCTTCATAGAATGCAGAATGTGTAATAGCTCACAATAAGTAGGTATTATGTTTACATATTATGTTTGTATTTATGCTACTTAAATACAAAACTGGACAGGCCAGGCATGGTGGCTCATGCCTGTAATCCCAGCACTTTGGGAGGCTGAGGTAGGTGGAAAACCTGAGGTCAGGAGTTCAAGAACAGCCTGACCAACATGGTGAAACTCCATCTCTACTAAAAATACAAAAATTAACCAGGCTTGATGGTGTGCACCTGTAATCTCAGCTACTCGGGAGGCTGAGGCAAGAGAATCGCTTGAACCCAGGAGGCAGAGGTTGCAGTGCACCAAGACTGCGCCATTGCACTCCAGCCCGGGCAACAAGAGCGAAACCCCATCTCGAAAAAAAACAAAACAAAACTAGACAAGTGAGTGCCTACGTGACACTCAAATGTTGCCAGCATACAGTTAAGGGCCCTAGTCAATGTAGGCCTGCTTCTTATAGCTTTTTGACTATATTATGCTGTCTTTGACTTAGTCAGTCAACACTTATTGAGCACCTACTAAGTGCCAAACACTCTCCTGGACTCTGGCAAAATAAAAAATGAATTAAAACTCTATCCCCAAGTTTCAACAGTTTACTCCTAGTCTAACTTTAGATCAAAGATAAGACTAAAACCTAAGAATCTGATGAACTTTGAGTCCCACCTAAACCAAGTTTTAATTTTTTTACCGAGTCATCATATTTTAAGTAAAGCCCCATGCATGTATACAAACAGACTCGCAAATTCAAAATGAGAGCCTCAGATTCAAACCAAGTCGGGTATTATTTACAGTTATTTCATTGGGTTATCAAAGTATTTTCTGAATTGGCCAGGCATGTTGACATGTGCCGGTAGTCCCAGCTATTCGGGAGGCTGAGGCAGGAGGATTGCTTGAGCCCAGGAGTTGGAGTCTGGGCTGGGCAACATAGTATTCTCTGAATGGAACAGACCTGCACTGCTATATAATTTGCTTCAAGTCTTTGTTGGTCAGAAAAACCTCTAATCATTCTGAGCAACATCCTTCCTGGTTGTTCTTGTCCCAAGTGGGGTCCCTGGATGGGCACAGGGATTTATCAGACAGACAAGGGTCAGAGGCTCACCCGGCGGCCAAAGGCTCATCTCGAAGTCTAAGCAATGCACTTGATGAGTGGTGGGAAGCAGTATGGTAGCGGAGATTCTGAGAGCTGCTGCAGGAAGTGGAGCAAACCACATGTTCTTTCTGGATGACAGGTAGGTAAGGGAGGGTGCAGGACGGCAGCTCGAGGTCCCTGGGTTCATGGGATCAACAATCCCAGCCTGGGATTCTTCTCACTCATTCTTGATCTCCAGCCCCAACACTTCCCTGACCTTTGAGTGTCCTTATCTCTGTCTCTAGGAGCTCATGGTCACGTTCGGCCTTGGGAAGCCACGGATCTGCGGTGGGTGTGGGGAGCCTCCCTGGGACTAGGAGCACTATCTGGAAGCCAAGCCCAGGCTCCAGTTCCTTGATTCCAGGGCCAGCTCTCTTCCCACTGCAGCAGAGAAGCGGGAACTGTGCAATTCAGCAAGAGCCACTTTGGTTAACAAACCTTCTGGGAATGAAGGTGCTTTACAAAGAAGCAGGCTGTGATAAAAACAAACAAGACAACATTCATAAACTGTGGGAAGCATTGTTGTCATTGGGTCACACCTCCTGCACCAGGCAGGTGGTTGTCTGCTGCGTTCCTTTACAGAACAGATGCTGAGCCTGCCTGGAGGTGGCAATTTACCAATCGATGGTCTTAAGCAATTCCAAAGGCTGGGGTAAGGGGTAGAAAAGAGAAGCTCAAAAATGTTAGGGATGGAGAAGGGGGGAGTGATTCAGGAAGAGGAGAAACCTGTTCATTTCCTCCCAAATTACAACCACTGTCACATCCATGGCTAGTCCTGTGCAAACTTCCAGTCCCCAGCTGATATCCCTGCAGACAAGTAGAGAGAGGCTAGAACAAAAGCTAAAGTGTAGATGTCCCATACACTAATCAGTGTTGTTTTTTAATCAGAGGTTGAAATTCATACTCTGATGCAAACTGTATTAGTCAGTTGTTGCTGCTATGATAACACTGCATAACAAACAACCCCCCAAATCTCAGTGGATTACAAGGACAAACATTTGTGTTTCTCTTTCATGGGCCTATGTGTTGGCTGGGATAGCTCTATTTAGGCTGCAGGCTGGGTTAAGTCTGCTCCAGGACCCTTTCATTCTAGGAACGGCAGTGATGCCAGACTTGCTCTTCTCCTGGAGCTTGGGTGGGTGTACGCATCAGCCTAGCTTTCCTCTGCTAGCCTTGGCTCTCCTCCAGTAAGGGTTCCGTGGTCATCCGACTCTGGATTGTGTCACTGGCCTCAAAATGAAGAGACAGAGTGAGAAATTGAGAGGCTGCCTACAGGCTACAAATGGAGAAGGAGGACTCCATCCTGCCCCCAAATCCTCCAAATTCCTACCAAGTCTGTGAGATGCCCCAAGTTTCCACCATAAAAGATCCTTTTCTTTGAGTTTCTATGGAATTTCCCCCATTCCGATGTGAATGTAATAATATAGCTACAACTTACATAGTACTTACGTGCCCAGCACCATGGCACAGAGAGGTTAAGTAACATGCCCGAAGCTACACAGTTGGTAGGTGGCAGAGCCAGGATCCCAATTCAGGTTATCTGTCACCAGTGTCTTGATGTTCCAACTTAGTGATACAGCCTACGAGGGTGGTGGGAGCACTGGGGTGGGAGTCAGAAGTCACAGGGGTTAGCACTGGTTTCTCTATTCTGGCAAGTTACTTTACTTAGTGGGAGTTTCAGTTTCTCTCTATAACATTCACCCTGCCTTCAACCCATGGTTATTTGGGACTTAACTGAGAAGCTGAATGTGGAAGCATCCTGTGTAATTCTGGTTAACAAGACATGTCAGAACCTTATGACCAGTGCCCAGGCCTGTGTGGGACATTTGGGAGGGTCCCGGGGCAGTGTGTAGGACTGGGGCACCAAGAGAAAGGAGCAGAGAGAGGGTATCTGAATGCATGGTTCTGCCTAGGAGCTTTTAGGAATGCAGATTCTTGGGCTCACCCTGCACCTACTGAATCGGAAATGGGGCTGGGGCCCAGCGGTGTGTATTTCACATAGTCCACCAGATGACTGATGCACGCTGGAGTTTGAGAACCACTGGATTACTATGGAATAGAAGCACAGAGGAGAGGCAGCTAATTCACTCTGTTAGCTTGGGGATCTCAGGGAACCTGGTGGAGGTGTGGAAGATGAGCAGAAGTTAGTCAGACTGAGGATAAGGGTGTGGGAGGGTATTCCAGGCACACGGGATGGCCCAGAACAAGGAAATAGTCTATGCAAGCAGTTAACTGCAGTTGCAAGGATGGAGGTAGCGGAGAGGCCTGGAAGTGAACTTGGAGATGTGGTGGAAGGTAGGTCAGGCTGCCTTGGATGACCGGCTAATGAGGCTGGACTTCCCGTGTGGTGCTGCAGAGTCATTGCAGGGTCTAAGCAACAGAATGATAGATTTGAAAATTACGGAGATTTTAAAATTATCCAAGAATGTACAAGTCCACATCCCAGCATTTCTCTGGGCTCGGCAAGTGTCTTCCTCCAATTTCCTAGAGAGGGCAAGTAACTTGCCCCAAGTGACACAGGAGGTGGAGGCAAGTCTTGGAAGTGAGGTCTTCTGATTCTCCCTTTTGTCTCCCTTCTTTTCACCTGTTCTTCCTCGGCTTCTCCTATCCAGGTCTGCTCCCTGCCCACTCAACTTCCCTCTGCTCTCCACTTCTGAGACAGTTTGGGTCACCTACAGACCTCATCCCAGCCGGATCCAGGAATGCTGCCCTGAAGTGTGGAATTCCTTAGGATGACCTTGGAAGGCAGATACTGCCTGTCCTGTTCTGGGATGCTGTGGTGACTCCTGGGTCTCATTGATCCAGCTCCTTTTATTCTCCCACCTTCCCTTCCTGGTCATAGTCAAGGTCAACACTAGCCCAGGCAGTACCTTTTATACTAAGAAAATAGCACCTCTTCCTGGAGAACCTGACTACCAGCCGCTGGAAAATTGTCATAATATGCTGATTTTGTTAGAGCAAGACACTTGACTGACAACTGCTAGAAAACTACAAAGAACATGCACAGACATGCATAAGTCTGCGAATCGCCTACCCCTTTTATATGGCACTGTACCCTTGTATAGTGTAAAATCTGCACAACTGTACTCAGCCATCCGGAGACCACTTCAGCCCCATCCCCTTCCTAAAAAAACAAGTATCAGTTGAACTTTCATACATGGAATGATGTTTCAAACACCCTTTTATCACCTCCCACTGGAGATTACATTTGCAAGCAGCAAAAGACCCCTGTGTAATGAAATGAACCCCCTAACTGGCTTTTGGTGTAGCTTGAGATTTCCAATTTCCATGCATTGGCTATAACAGGCCTGGCTACCTGCTGAGGGTTGCCCAAGGTGTATGAACCTGTAAGGGTGATCCCCGGTGGAACTAAGGTTAGGGAAGTCCTAGATGGGGGATTTCCTAGGAAGCTGTGAGCCGAGAGAGAGAACGGGAGCTGGAACGGGAGAGAACCTGAGGACCCTGAGGCCAAGCCTGCTTCTCACTGCTGTCCGGCACACTCCCCTGACTCTGGGCCCTTTTGAGGACCAGGGGCAACACCTATTCCCAGCCCCGATGGTGCACAAGATCTGTTTCCCTTCCAGGGTGAGCATCTCAGCTTCCTGCGATCCTTTCAACCCTTCCACTACCCTACTCTGGACAGACTGATGGATGCCAGCACTGATCGGCACTCATGGACCTTCCTCTCAACCTTGGCCTGAGCTTGCTTCTTTGAGATGAGCCAGATCATTTCTAGTCTCCCCAGGATCCTGTCCAAGGGCAAAACTCTTGGGGGCCCAGCAGGACTGAGCCAACGACACGCTTCCTCTTTCTTGTGGTGGCAGGAGCCCAAGTTCTGGTTGTTTGGTTTTTAATTCTTACAGTGTACTAACGGCTTGGCCTGAGCTGGTCACTGGAATCGCTGGCTGAATTTGGTCAGGCAGCCCAGGCATTGAGATCTTTAGAGCTCCCCCGGGATTATGTGGTGCTGTGGTGTTGAGACAGGCTGCCCTGGAGTCCTGGGTGGCTGTAGAGGAAGAAGGAGGCCAAATGTCCCTCCCCTGCAGCCAACACAAATGAGGGCTCTCTGTCTGCTGTTCACACCTCAGTGAAAATGTTCCGTGAGGAGGACAACTTCAGCCTCAATTTTTCCAGCCTGTCCAGAAAATAATTGCCCCCCTCCTCCCCAGAGAGCAGACAACCTCCAGGTCCCGCCAGGCCCAGCAAGGAAGCCCCAGCTGCCCACAGGCCTCAGGTACATTTGCTTACCAAATCCTGAAATGCAAAACCCAGAATGAATGGGTGGAGGACCATACTAAACTGCCCTTTGGAGCCTGAGGAGACCATATGCAAATTTAAGCCTGGTGGGGCTGGGGATTTAGAGGGTTGGGGCTTGGCTGCGGCAACAGACCCCACTTAACACAGCCATTCCAGGGAACAAAATGTACTTTTGAGACCCTGAAAATGGTCAAAGTCCCAGGGGTCTTGCATCCTCTGCCTACTCTGGTTGATCTGTGGCCACACCAGTCAAAGGAAGCAGCTGGAGGTGTGTACTGTGGGGGAGACTGACTAGAGAGGCCCGCCCGGCCGCAGGCCTTTCTTCCAGGAGTGGCCTCCATGTTTGCAGAAGCCTGAGGCCTGGGAAACTAGGGGGAGGAGAGTGTCCTCTCTTGCACAGCCCAGGAATGCTTGTTCCCTGGGACCCAAGGAAGACTCGAACTTAATCATAATTATTGTTTTAATTCAAAGTCTGTATTTAGAGCCCAGATGCTCTTAATGTCAATTATGTTAAACTATTAATACATCCTCTTGCATACTTCCCTTCACTTGGTTTAATTATTTTTCTTGTTTTGAGGTAATTAAAATAATTGTTCTTACATTAGTTTCAGAGTTGCCAGATAAAATAGAGGACATTTTGTTAAATTTGAATTTCAGATAAACAATGAATAATTATTTAGTAGGAGTACGTCCTCAATATTGCAATTATTTGTAATTTTCTGAAATTCAAATTTAACTGGGTCTCCTGTATTTTTATGTGCTAAATCTGGCAACCCAAATTAGCTTCTGTCTCCTTTTTCTCTTTTTTTTTTTCTGATCAACATGAACGAATTGTTACATGTCAGCCACTGTGCTTTGAAACTGGGAGGCCTCACTTGTGCCCGGGGCAACACCAGAATGCTGTCTTTTCTTCCAGGCAGCACCTCTGACTGATACCCACAGCACAACCCCGCTGTAACCCAGCTAACACCTCCAGCTCAACCAGTTCTCAGCTGACCCCATTATCTCTGACTCACCCACTTAGGCTTCTGACTTCTCAGAGGGAGGGAATTAGGTTAATTATGTTGTAATGTTACTTGCCCACCTTTTTAAAGCCATGCAAAGCAGCAGGACCTCTATGCACCCCAGTGCTCTTGTAAAAACCATCTGTGTTGCTCTACATACTTGCCAGCACTTGGGGGAAAAAGACCAAAAACATCTATGGTGGGAGTTGAGGGGCCCCACCCCTCCACAGCACCCTCACAGGGTGCCCTATATTCATATTGGCACAAAAGCCCCATAACCAGTGGGGCCTGTGAGCATCCTGTGGGCAGGGGTTTTGTCTTTTGCATTTGTGCATTCCACACAGTTAGCATCAGAGCTGGTACATAGTAAGTGCTCAATAAACATTGGTTGAATAAATGAACTACTGGATTAGATCATAACTGGAGGGAAGGGCACTAAAATAGGAGTTATCAGAGCCTGCTCCTGGCTGGGTTCTGTCTGTATCTGGCTGTGTGACTGTGAACAAGGTGCTTCCCTACTCTGAGCCTCTGTTTCCTCATCTGTGAGAGGAGGATAATAATGCTGCCTCCTCCTGCTCTCCTTGGAGCATTAGGGTGAGCCTTCAGGGGTTGAGGAACAGATACTCTTGTGTCACCTGAGAGAGGAGAAAGGACATCATCAATGTCTGTTCTTGGAGACATTTTATGGACCAAAAACCTAGCGCTGTATTCTAACAATTTTTTTAAAATTATTATTATCCTTTAAGTTTTAGGGTACATGTGCACAATGTGCAGGTTAGTTACATATGTACACTGTGCCACGCTGGTGTGCTGCACCCATTAACTCATCATTTAGCATTAGGTATATCTCCTAATGCTATCCCTCCCCCCTCCCCCCACCCCACAACAGTCCCCAGAGTGTGATGTTCCCCTTCCTGTGTCCATGTGTTCTCCTTGTCTAACAATTTTTTATCTTGGCTCTGAGTGACAGAATTTAAGCACCAGATTTGGGGGACTAATAAGAGACAAGGTGGAATCAGTACTGCTCCCGATTTTCCTGGACATGCAATGAACTGTCACATTGAGAGTCACTGAGTTGTAGAATGTCAGGTCTGGAGGGCAAGTATCTTGTCCCCAGGGTCACCCAGCCTGGGGGCAGCTGGATTAAAACCCAAGTCTTCTGACACCCAGCCCAGGACACTTTTTTACTGCATCAGAGAGCTGGCGCTCCAAGGATGGGACACCTGGAGGGGATCCAGGCAGGGACAAGGAGGCCAACCCACACAGCCTTGCAGGCACCAGACAGTCATAGATGTGGCAGGTGGGTATCTGTCTTGCTTCCATGGTGAATAACCCAGATCACAGGTTTGTGCAAGTTAATGTATTTATTTGCTCAAATAACACGGTACAAAAATGAGACTCAGATGCCAGCATCAGGAGCACATACCAAATACTCATAGGGCTTAAAGAACATCATTCCAAATAAGAAACTATGTACAAAAGGTTCCTGACCTTCATTTCATAACTTATTCTGATCCTTCATATTTAGGTGCTATGATTGTGAACACTGCCTAAAACAAATCCACAAATAGCTCACCTCTCCCCCACTTCTCAGAAGCAGCAATAAAAACTAAATGGCTTTCCGGATAGGCTGAGTTGAGCTTATGAAGCCAGTGCCTCAGGTTGGAGGCCAGTCCCATATAAGCACCCAGGGCCTCTCCGCTCTAGACTGCTCCTCCTCCCCAGTCCTACCCCATGGTGCGACAGCAGGTTCAACACGGCAATACCATGTCCCCAAGGGTCACAAGATCTCACTTGCCATCCAGGTTTAACACCCTTTCCCCCATGACCACATGTTCTGGGCAGTGTCCAAGGGAGCCGACTGTCTGTCTACAGTCTTGTCCTTCCTGCACATAGATATGAACATGTGGCAAATTTCACACCTGAGTCAAGCTATTGAAACTGTTGAGCTATACAGAAGGCAGAGCCTCTGGCACCCCCACACTTCACCTTTGTGCAAATACAAAAAATAGCCCTTTTCTCAAGACATGTTACTGCTACCAGCTGCAAAACTGTCATGATAAATCTACAAATCCACAATGTCTAGGACATGAATAGTACCTCCTGGAGTATGGTGCTCTTGAGCAGTGCACCCCTGTGCAACAATCCATGGCAGTCCAGCCCATTGAAGCCCTCCTCCACTTCCTGAAAACTACCCAAAAGAAGCTATAGTGCCTACATGGACATGGCACTAGGTAATTTTCAGAACTCTTCACATCCATTTTCTCACTGACTCCTAGCCAATCCCATGAGATGGGAGAGGTGCAAGGTATCAGCTCCATTTCTCTAGTCATAGAATGACAGGACACAGGGTTAGAAGGATTCTGAGAGACCAAGTGTCCCCAGTCTCTAGGTTTTTCCATCTTGGGCCTGCAGAGTTCCTGGGAGGCATCTACAAATCCATATGAGCATGAAGAACTACTGGTCAACTGAAGAAATGATGGGATACACTTCGATGCATATCTGTTTGGATGCATGTGGATGTTCTGTTTAGAGATTAAATAAAAATTTAGTTTAAAAACTAGACTCAGTTAACATGAACATCTGAGAAAATATCAGTAGGCCTTCTGGGTGGGATCCTAGACTCCAAAGTCTGGAGAGGAGGGGGAATGTGTAGAGGGTCATGCAGCAAGTCTGGGGTAGGTTCAGCAGGTAGAGCCCCAGTCTTCCTCATTCCCAGTCCAGTGCTGATTTCCCCAGACATGGCCTCTGTGTCTTGCCTTGTGGAAGAATGCTCTGTGCTTCTCAGATACTAGGGTATGGACACAGAATGATTGTCTGCTCTTGTCTTCCATCACGTTTGTGAAGCAGGGATTGGGACATCACAGAGCATCTTCAGGGTCTCCTGGCTAAAGCTGCGAACCATTTGGCTAGTTCAAGGGAATTTGAGTGCAAGACACAGCTTTCAATCTGGACTTTCAACCTTAGGACTTGTGATGTTCTGGGAAGAGAAAAAGAACATAGGTGTTAGCCACAGCTCAATTATTTATGGGTTCATTCTGGAAACAACAGACTTCCCATTATCCCATTGACACCCCACCCCAGCCTCCATCTCTGGGTCTTTGTTCTTGCAACACCTCCTGCTGACACTGTTCTCCTGATCCTTTCTCCCCAGACAGCCTCCCCATTCTCAAAGGTCAAAATCAGCAACTCCACCTCCTGGAAGGCTCCCAGGACCTACTTGCTTCATGGGCCTCAGCTACCACTCATTTGGTATTTGGTTGCTATTTAATTTTGTCATCAAACTGTTGTCTTTTCCATTGGCAGATGAAGCCTTTGAAGGCAGAACCTTCCACAGAGCCTCACAGCCCTTTGCACAACTAAGCACATAGGAGGCTGTCAATAGCTACCAGTTAAATGAATGAATGAATGAATGAATGAATGGTTAGTAAAACCAGAAGATGGAGTCAGGGCAACTGAGGATGTCAGAACTGATGTTTCTATAATATCTTTCACGAATAACTCAGATCGATCTGTAAGCTATTACCTAAGCCACCCTAGAGGGCAAATTATCTGTAACATTCCTATTCTCTAGGAGAAGACAGTGAAGCCAAGGAGAGAGAGAGGTCCATGGTAAGGAGGATTTCTGACCAGGAAAATGAACCGAAGTAGAGGAGAGCATTTGAATGACAAGATACAACTACCATGAAATAAGCCAGCTCTCTTGAGAGACTTTTCAAATGGCTTCTAAAGGTAATTCCAAGAAAGACAGAAGTGTTTCGGGTGATAGTAGCATCATTGCAAAAGGTTTCCCAGGGGACCACTTGGATGTAGAAGTTCCGGTCCTGTTTGTCCAACACCAGCAAACAGAACATTTCATTCCTCTAAAGTTACACCTTCATTCAGAGGCTTCTACGCTGTGGATCTGGGTCAAATGTTTGTAAGCAGGTTATGTTAAGTGAATTAGAAAAGGATGAAGAAATCTTTATCAGAGTCCACCAGAAAATATGAGAGCTCAGAATTTTTAAAAAATCAGGCCAGCTGTGGTGGCTCATGCCTGTAATCCCAGCACTTTGGGAGGCCAAGGTGGGAAGATTTCTTGTGGCCAGGAGTTCAAAAGCAGCCTGGTCAACATAGTGAGAATCCATCTCTATACCAAAAAAAAAAAAAAGAAAATTTAAATTAGCTAGGCGTGGTGGCATGCTCCTGTAGTCCCAGCTACTTGAGAGGCTGAGGTGGGAGGATCATCTGAGCCCAGGAAGGTTGAGGCTGCAGTGAACCGTGATTACACCACTGCACTCCAGCCTGGGTGACAGAGCAAGACCCTGTCTCAAAAAAAAATCAGTGACAAGCATCATCTCTGAAGGGAATATCTCAGAGACTTGGGGGAGGCGAAATTATTAGGAAAAGCATAAATGCACTCAGAACAGTGAAGGTGACGGCAGGAGAGAGGCTGTTCATTAAGCAACCAAGGCCAGGTCAGTGAGTGATCGCCTCCTGGAAGCCTTCCAGAACCAACAGCCCATGGAGCCTTCTTGTCTATCTCAGCCACCCCTTATTTGATAGATAACCTTACTTTGTTATTTACATTTTATGACAGCCTAGAATTGAGAAGCCAAGCAACAGAGCCCACAAAATAATAACAAGGCAAGCTAAGATCGTAGCCAGTCCAATATGCCATTCTATCAAAAAGCATGGAAATGTACATGTAATTGAAGACTAGAGCCAAATAAACAAGATGTTAATTATGGAGTAAAATCAGTGAGGTTTCAGAAAAGAAAAAGGTTGTCATGGTTTAGAATTGTCTCAGAAGGCCTCAGTGAGGAGGTGACATTTGAGATAGACCCAAAAATTCTGAACTGAGCAGGGGAGGGGAGAGGAGGATAAGTAGATCCCACTGGAGGCCAGCTGTGAGCCTGCTGTCACTCATGCTACATTGCCATTGTCTTCCCCGCCCTCTCTCACCGGCTGGTCCTCCCTGTATGGGAACTGGGTGCAATTGTAGTGGTCTCTTAGGCCCATGAGGATGCACATGGCATGGCTGTTGCTGCCAGCAAATTTGTTAGCTAAGCTAACGTCAAACTGGTAGAGTCTCCTGGCGCGGTTCCTGTCCAGCTTAGAGGAGTGAGCCACCTGGCTGCGCAGGGTGGCTACCAGCTTGCTGAGGGAGGAGTCCGAGAACTCGTAAAAAAACCTCTTAAAGCTGGGGTGGCGCCTGATCTGGAAGTGGAAATGAAAACAGGTCATTAGTGTTGCTGGCAGTACCCCTCCCGCCAACTGCCCCTCCCACAACTCCATGCAGCCAGGCGGGGCACTCCTTGTCCCTGGGATGAGCTCCCCTTGTTACATCCCTCCACTGCCCCTAGCCTCTCAGAATCTGTTCTGCGAGGTCCAGCTCAAAGCAGCAGGACAAAGTAGAGGGCAAGGGTGGAAGTACAGGTCTTTAGACTCAGATAATTCAGAAGCAAACACCCCACAGAGTCTTCTCGTCTACCCTAGCCATTCCATATTTGACAAATAATCATACTTTATTATTTAAATGTATAACAGTCTAGAATTGGGATGCTTAAGTTGCACTTACTATGTGTGTGAGCCTCTGGTCATCCATAAAATGTAAAGTATCCACCCAACCCCAGGATTGCTGGGCGGGGATTGGAGGGGTGGGGAATGAAATGAGAGAATTTATATAAAATGTTTAGTACAGGAATGTTTAGTACAGATGTTAGAGGAATTTAATTCCTTCTAAGCCTCCTCCAACAAGCTCCTTTCTCTTAATAACTAAATGGGTTCCCCAGAGGCAGACCCAGACACAAGGACTTGGGTACAGGCATTTTATTCATTAAATGATCCCAGGAAATGCTAATGGAAGAATGAGACCTGGAACAAGAATGGGAAGGCGGCCCAGGGGGTGGCAACTGGAGCTTAATCCACTCAGGGCACCTTGGGAGCTCGCTGAGAGCACATTCCTCAGTTATACCCCACAAAGGCAAGGGAGCTGGGGTCTCTATCCACCAACTCCCACCAGCCATTGGTTGAGGGTTGCTCATGGGGAAGTGGAGGCTGTTAATTCTGCCCCCCACATGAGTTGCAAAATGGCCCTGGGTCCTCAGGCACAAGGAGGCAGGTGCTGGCAGCTGGATGGGCCAGCGTGCACTCTGGTGGTGAAGAGAGGCACCCAGAGCGTCCGCTATGCTGATTACTCATCTTTAACCTGACCTCTTCACATGTGATCTGTGTTTGTCTCTCAAAGTAGGCTGTGTTTTCCAAGGGTGGGGAACCTTCTGTTACAGACTGCCTATCAGGGGAGAAAATCAACAAGCTTGAAAGAATGAGAGACCACATAAATGCTGAAGAGCACGGCAAGACCGAGAGTGAACCCGGAGACCACAGGGAATGGAATCAGCCGGGCGGGTGGGGCCAGGAGTGGCCAGGTGTGGGCGGAGGAGGCTTCCAAGGACGGGGGACATGAGCCGAACTTCAATAGCTGATTTGGACAGGAGTGGTCCTGGCTGGGGCAGGGAGGCCACATGAGCGTTGTGTTATTTTAAACAGTTCCCTCATCTGCTACATGTCTGGCGTTTTCTACATATGCACTAAGCTTGGTCAAGTAGGTAATTCTCTCTCATTTTGGAAAAGAGGAAACCGAGACTCAGAGAGGTTAAGGGACATGCTCAAAGTTGCCCAGAGGTGCAGACTTGGGGATGGAACCCAGGTGGGTAGATGAGGCCCTGGGGTTGGCCTGGGGAGGGCTGAGTGGTACTCACCTGCTGCCCCAGTTGGCCATCCACTTCTTGGAGAAGTGCCACAAGCTTCTGGATGATGATCTCCTCTAAGGAAAAGAAAGGAGGATTGAGTGACTGTTGACTGGGTGATGCCCAGTTCCCTTCCAAAAACAAAGTGCTGCAACAATACATCCACCTGTGAAAGACAATATTTTCTCTCTAAAACTCAGCACACACGTTAGTTATGATGGACCCAGACAATTCTTACCTTAAACTAGAGCTGGAGTATGAGAGACTTGTTTGGGTTCCCTTTACAGAAATAGAAGGGACTCTGGTTTGCTGGGCCTCACCTGTAACCACATTCAGCTTCATTTGATAGGTGGGAAACTGAGGCCTCCCAGTGTCCCTTATCCAGGCTACAGGGTAGCACAGTCAAGAATGGGAGTTTGGACGAGGAGCAGCACATCAGAATGCAGGGAGGGGACATGCCAGGGCTACTGACCCATTAGGAATGCACCCATCCACCTGTGTTCTAAGCAGCGGTGTGCCAGGGCCTACTCGTACTAAGTTTACTGTAAATATTCAGGAAATTTGTGGACTAGTTGTTTTGTTTTAGACAGAGTCTCGCTCTGTCACCCAGGCTGGAGTGCAGTGGCGCGATCTCGCCTCACTGCAACCTCGGCCTCCTGGGTTCCAGTGATTCTCCTGCCTCAGCCTCCCAAGTAGCTGGGATTACAGGCACACACCACCATGCCAGGCTAATTCATTTGTGGACTAGTTGTTATAAACTGTTAGCAGCTTGAAATCAGCCAAAGTAAAAATATTTATGCCATGGAAATCTGCAAATGCTACAAAGTAGGGCATCCTTCTCCCATTGGAGAGCCTGTCTGCCAGCACACCACTGCTTATGAGACCCGGAGCAAGCTAGGAATTTCATATGAAACATTCAAGCAAACGAATGGGGGTGTTAATTATATTCCACAGGATAGACAGGTGTCCTCTACCTGCAACTCTGCCCCAACAGCACCAGTTTAAAGGCCAAGCCTGTGCCCCCTGCCCCATCCTAGAGTCTCCTGGGGTCTTTGCCTGCTGCCTTCCCCATTCCTTCCTCAGAACCATCCCCTATTCAGCCTGTGAACTCCATGTGGAAGAGAAGCACCCGGGAAGCTGTCCAGGTAAGAGCAGGGGTGTTACTGACTAGATTCACATGCTCCACTCAGCTGAGGTGCCCCTTCTGGCGTGTGGCCTCTAGCCTGGGAGGGTGCTTCTGAGATCACAACTGGCTCCCCTTCTGCGGGCAGGGGCTCCCGGCACTCGAGATCTTCTGGATCTAGGGCAAAAAAAGAGTTGTTGAGTGTTTTGCAGAGAGCTGAATCTAGTTCCTGACAAGAAGCTGTTCGGAGGCACAGGCATAAGCAGGGGCTGGTTTCCAGGCTCCTCGGTGAGTTTCCTGCCCCCGGCTCTGCCTCAGAGGAGTTCGTGGTGCACTCCTGGCCTTCTCCAGAAACCTAACTTTCGCCCACCAACCCTTTCTGCCTCCTCAGTCTGGGAGGGGCGCAGTTAAAACAGGTGTGCCAGCAGGGCCCACCAAATGAACCCTTTCCCTCTGCCAGGTTTTCTGGGTCACTTAGCCTGTCTGAACCTCACTTTCTCCATCTGTTAAGTGGGAGTGATAAGATTGACCTCACAGGGTTGCAAGCAGGTTAAATGAGATAATATGTGTGAAACTAGCAGGTAGTAGGCACTCTGTGATGTCAGGGGAATTACTGTACACCAGTGGCCCTCAGGCTTTGGTGTAGTGAAAAAACAGGCCCAGGCCATCTCCTACTTCATCAAACCCAGTTCTCTGTGCTTTTCTATGAACTGGCCAGGTGATTCTGATGCACAGCGGCACGGATCTCCCATCACATTTGTTGTTAAGTGTTTGTGTGTGGAGAGGGAGGGGAGGGCGTGTGCAGTGAGCAGGGCCTACTGGGGGTGGGGTCCTGCTGGCACCTGGACCCTCACCTCTCCCCACACTTCCACACCCCCCACTCTACTCAGCATGGAAAGACACAGTCAGGGCTTTCAGCAACAGTGGACATCCTCCACTATGCCAGCCTGTCAACGACAGACAGGCCACACAGCAGCCTTGCCCAAGAGGAAGCCTCTGTTACCATGGCAACACCAGGCCTGCTCACCAAGGCTGCTGGAGGTGGAGGGCCGATGGCCACCAACACACAGGGGCAGAAAGCTGGGCCTCTTGGGTCGTCGGGCCTCTGGGCTGGCAGCCCCTGCTGCCCCCGCTCTTCTGGGTTCCTTGGAGGTGTGTTTCTTATGGTAAAACGCTCTCCTGAAGCTCGACCTTTTTTCTTGAGATTTCCTTCTGCAGTGTGGGGCCGGGTTTTCTACACCCACCTCTTCCTGCTGGACTTGAGGTTGCTGTGGGGGAGATGAGAGAAACTGAGTCAGGGCCCCTGACCTTGAGGAGATCTCAGGTGAGGTGGGGAAAGAGAGCCACGGTGGGCTAGCAGGCGTTGCCCAGAGAAGAGTGGTTGATGCTCAGTGCTGGGGAAATATGTGTGGTCTGGAGGGGGCTGGGGAAGCTTCAAGAAGGAGGGACTGGGTCCGGGTGCAGTGGCTTACACCTATAATCCAAGTACTTTGGGAGGCTGAGGCAGGTGGATCACCAGGGGTCAGGAGTTCGAGACCAGCCTGGCCAATATGGTAAAACCCTGTCTCTACTGAAAATACAAAAATTAGCCGGGTGTGGTGGCGCATGCCTGTAGTCCCAGCTACTCAGGAGGCTGAGGCAGGAGAATCGCTGGAGCCCAGGAGGTGGAGGTTGTAGTGGGCCATGATCGAGCCACTGTGCTTTAGCCTGGGCGACAGAGCAAGACTCCGTCTCCAAAAAAAAAAAAAAAGGAGGGACTGGAGCAGGACACAGAAGAGCAGCAGAGACAGGGAAGTTGTTACACCAGGCAGGGTTGGGGAGCCCACAGTGAGGTCAGGGTTACATGGGGAGCGTCTTCCTCACCTCCTCTCCTTGCTGTTCTTCTGCATCTTGGAGCATGGAAATGATCTTCTGAATGAATTCTTCTGAAAAAGATCAACACGCATGGTTAACTTTGGTGCTACGAAATCTCTTCTGCGGTCAGTCTTCATTTCCTAATGCCCCGGTGGCTCCCTGGGTGATTCTCCAAGGGGGCTAAAGAGCTGCCAGAGGTGGCCTGAGGGCAGAGCTGGTTTCATGGGATACATATTCACTTTACCAATGACGGCCTCTAAATAGACACCCAGGAGGAGGCCCCTCAGGGCCATCTGGAAAGGCCCATTCCCTACAGGTGCCCTCATCCTGCACCTTCTCCCTGTCCAGGCAGAATTTCCCTTCAAGGCATATTTTCTATGAAAAGCAAACAAGGCAGAATGGCAGGGGATAGGGGGCAGAGATCTTTCCAGGTCTTTTCAGACCTGACGGTGATATTATATATATATATATATATATATATATATATATATATATATATATATATATATATATATATATATATATATATGTTTCTAGGCCTGGCTCTGCCAATGGTAAAATAATAATTACAGCGATGGCAGCTGCCATTAGCTGAGCTTCCCTCCCAAGGCCCCTACCCCTGTCCCTATCCTTTTTACTTCTGAGCTCTGCTCTCAAGCTGGGCCACCCAACAATGACAATAATAGCAACAAATGGCACCTAACACATATTAGCCACTAACAGGGGCTGCCCTAAATGCTGCCGACAATTCTAGAAAGCAGGTACTTGCTGCCCCCATTTCACAGATGAAGAAACTGAGACCAGAGATGAAGTAACTTGCCCAAGTCCACACAGCTCAAAGGGGTCACAGCCCAGACTCAAACCAAGGTCCATAAGATCACCCCATTGGCCGAGCCCTTGGTGTGGGCCAGCACTTTCCTCCCTTTGCCTCCTGTCTGCCTCATCAGGGTAAGCACCAACACTATCGCCATTTATCGAGGTTCAGACAGGCAGCCTGGCTTGGGCCTGGGCTCTGGGCCCCAAGCTGCCTCCCCAGCCTGCTGTACTCAGAGGGAGGTCTGGACAGGTCACTGCCTCTCTCTGGCTCAGTGTCTCTTTGCAAGTGGGGGAGTCAGAACAGAAGTTTTGCAAGGGGTGTCTGAGAAAAAGAGAGGAGTACTGACTGTATTCCGAGGCTCTGTCCAGCGGAAGCTCCTCTCCAGGTTCCTGGCTCTCTGATGGGGTGGGAAGCACGGAGGGACCTGGAGCCCCAGCCTCTGTAGATGGGGCCTCCTGGACTTTAGGTTCTTCCAAGCCTGAGAAGCAGAAGGAGAACGAGGGTGTGTTTTGTCTGTCTGGGGCTGTTAACTATGCACAGAAGCTAGCACAAACTAAAAGTGGGCTCCGTGGCTGGATCACATTAAGGACTTATGGGGCTGGAAGACAGCTGCTGGGCAGGGCTGTGCCTCTGATTTACTGGCCCAGACCGAGTTCCCTTATCCCTTTGTGCTTCCATAGAACTGGCTTTCCTGGGCTTTGCTGCCCTCTCCTCCCTCCACCATTTTGACTTGATCCACAAGTTGAAGAGTAGAGGCCTGGTCCCATGGCATGAATTAATGAATCATAGCCAGAATCCCCCTGCATGAAAATATCTCCCCATGGGCCTGAAATTCCCCTCTTTGGTGTTAAGCGTCACTCCCTCCTTTCTAAGATGTAAATTCTCCTGGCCAGGATGACCTAACAGGATGACCTGTTCTCCCTGATGCCCAGGAAGAAATGACTTGTCTGATCCTTTCCGCCTCTAGCTCTGGCCCCATCATCCATGGGCCATGTGGCCTTGAACACATTGTTTTACCTCCCAAAGCCTCAGGTCCTTCATCTGTAAGGTGGGGATAATAGTTGTACTCCATGTGATGGCTGTGGGGATAATAGTTGCACTTCATCTGATGGCTGTGAGGACTGATCGTGTTATAGATATGCAGCAGGGAAATGTCTCACTTTACAGGTGAAGAAATTGAGGCACAAAGATGGGGAATGACATAGACAATATGCTAGAACCCAGGTCTCCTGCCTCCCCTGCTCCAGCTCCTTCTTGCACACACTACTCCCCTCCCTGCCAGGGTGCAGAAGTTGAGGCGGCCAAGAAATGTTGACGGTTGGGAAATCCCGGAACATAATTTCCATCAAGGGCTTATTGGGGTTGCCTAGAGCTCGCTGAGGTGTTGTGTGTGGAGGTGACCTGCTGGCATTCTTTCTGTCTTCCCACAGTCATCCTCACACCACTCAGGGCAGAGTGCAAAAGTCAGACCAGGCACAACGCAACCTTTAAAATGGTCAATTCCATCCCCAGGGAAGGTTCCAGAGCTGGAGGCAGCTGCAGGGTTGCTATGGCAACTGCAGAGCCTGCTCACCATAGCTGCTGGAGATGGAAGGCCGATGGCCGCTGACACACAGGGGCAGAAAGCTGGACTTCTTGGGTGGCCAGGCCTCTGGACTGGAAACATCTGCAGCCCCCCTCTTGGCCTCCTCGGAGCCGTGTTTCTTGGGGTTTGTCTTTGAGGTTCTCTTGAGGCTTGTCTTTTTCTCTTGGGATTTCTTCCTAACAGCTGGTGCTGGGTTTGGCAGGGCCACCCCCAGCTGTGAGGCCAGAGATTGCTGTTGGGGAGAGGAGAAAAACTGGTCAGGTTCATGACACTGAGAGGGGGAAAGCTCTCTGGAGGCAAGTGAAGAGCAGCCAAGCTGCAAGATGGCCCCGAGAGAGGGGAGGCAGCAGAGCCCAGAGCAGGGGGAGGGCTGAGTTCTGAAGCTGCAGAAGGAGGCTTCAGGGAAGGAATGGACTAGAGCCCGGCCTGCAAGGACAGGTGGAGCTTGGCAGAGGAGGAGGAGGAGAAGGCAGAGAGCCCCTGGAGACCTGCAAAGTTTACTCCTCACCTCTTCTTCCCACTGGTCTCCCACTCTTTTGAGCAATTCCACTATCATCTGAATGATAGCATCCTCTGGAAGAAAGCAAATGCATCCGGTTATTCTTTCTAAATGCACTGACAACTCCTTCTAAATTACCATCTTGGATAGTTCTCTTAAACAACTCTTTAGGCCACACAATGGAGGGAAAGCACCACATCCCAGGGGCAGGTTCTTCTGAGAGAAGGTTGGAAGATCCACCGGGGAAGGCACTAAGCCAAATCATGACACTTTATGCAGGAAATTTCAGGTCAGCCCTTCAGGCATTCAACCTGTGCCCCACTATTTCCTTTGAAAGTCACAGATCTAGGAACGTCTACTTTGGGTTCAGTAAGCTGTGTGACCTTGAATAAGTTTCTTAACCTCTCTGGGCCTTTATCTCTCCCAGTGAAATGTGGGTGATAATCTTTGTCCTGCCTCCCTCAGAAAGCTGTCAAATGAGGGACTGGGCTTGAGAGCACTTTGCAAGGCTAATGTTGATCTTCCAACCTGCAAAATTCCAGTGGGAAAATGGTAGATACCTGGGCTAACTAAGGTGGAGGATGAAAGGATGTCGGTAGGCATGACACAGAGACAGCCTGCCACGCTGATGCCTCAGCCACACCCCCATGTCTGCACGGAGAAGCCACTGACAATGGAAATGGTTTCCTTTGATACCCCAGTCAGCCTATTCAAGGACAATGTGCCCACACTGTCCTCTGCTAGGTGCCAGCTGATGAGTTTACATGAAAAGAGATGCAAACAAGGTTCCCTGTTCCCAGGCTGTCTGTGGGTTTGCTTTTTTTTTTTTTTTTACTCCTAACTTCCCTGTCACTTATAAATTGTCTGGCTTTTGTCGCTTGACTCAGCTACCAGCTGGTTCCCTCTCATGTAAGAAAACAATTAGCTGCAAAATAACTAACTCAATGCCTCTTAGTTATTCTTTGACATATGCATAGCTCCTTCATTTCATATATGCTAAAATATGCTCATCTTTTTTACAGGGAATTAGATGAATAGGGGATTATGCTCCATTTATTAGGAGCACTCATGGTATTGTGGTTTTGTGTGAGACTGCACTTATCTTTTGGAGATGCATGTTTAAGTATTTAGGGATGAGGCATGATTTACTCCAAAATGATTCAGCAACAAAATGATACCCACACAAAGCAAACTGGCAGAGTGTAAACAACTATAAGTATACAAGTTGTGGCAGCGTGTAAACAACTGTGAGTATACAAAGCATTGAATGATACTTTTCATTCTTCTACATATTTTTTAAAGTAAAATAAATTTTAAAAGACTAAGAAAAGTTCCGTTTTCATTAACACATAAGGCAGAAGCATTTGCCAGCAGCATTTCCAATTCCCCAGCCTCCCTTCTGTGAAATTCTAAAATAAGCAAACGTGGCCAGAAGCACCAAAAGAGGCAAGAAAGGCCAGTGCATGTATTTTGAGAACCACCATCCAAGGTCTCAGTAATCATTCAGAACAATCCGTCTCATTCAGTAACAGCCACCTCAGCCACAGGCAAAAAGGTCACTAGAGATTCCGACTCACGGTCAGGCTTTTTGAGCTCCTCTTCTTGCTGATGACCTGTGGCATGGGGAGAAACATCCAAAGCTCCAGTACCATCCACTTTGATGAGGAAGGACTGGTGATCAGAATCTTCCCCACCTGGAATAGAGACGAAAGCAAACGGGTATGTAGGTGTGTATGTGCGTGTGTCAGTGACATTCTCCTGACTTTGTTCATCAACACGAGAAAACAGCACAGAATTCACAGTGCAACAGGTGCTGCTGCAGCCCGCTCTAGGCTTAACCAAAAAATCAGAAACCCACTAAGATTTTTATTTGAGAAGAGGCTGCTTCCACCAAGACACCTCTCTCGCTAACCCCCTCCCCGCAAATCCTCAGTCTTCTCCCCATCATAAACACTGAGTTTTGAGTGCTGCAAGGCAGAGCCCCCCTCCCTCTAGGTGCCAGTGGGCATTCAGCTCCAGAGCCTTGGGAGGCAGAATAGGAAGGCACCTTGGGAGCCAGCACCCTTATTTACATGTGGGGAATCAAAAGTTCTAGAGGGAGCAGCTCAAGCTCAAGGTCACACAGCAAGTTTACTCCTGATGGAGCCAAGTCTAGAACCAAGGCCTGGAAGCAGCAGCCCAGAAGCACATAGGCACCAGTGGGGTGGGAGCAGGGCTTTGCTCCTCACCCAGCTCCCTGCTTTCTCATTTCTCCTAGGTCTGTGCTCCTAAAACTATAGGAGTTGGCAATAACAGCTATTGTGCACTAAGCACTTTCCTTGTGGGCTGTGGCCACTCCATGAGACAGTAACGTTATATTTATCTTCATTTTATCCATGAAAAAAGTTGAGGCTCAGAGAGGAAAGCTGCCTCCCTGGGCCACACAGCTTGTGAACGGCGGCACTGTGAGTGGTTCTCCCTGGAGCGCTCAGCCACGGTGCTGTTCTACCTCAAAGAAATGTCACAGTGGGCCGGGCGTGGTGGCTCACACCTGTAATCCCAGCACACTAGGGGGCCACAGCCCGTGGATCACTTGAGTCCAGGAGTTCAAGACCAGCCTGGCCAACATGGTGAAACCCTGTCTCTGCTAAAAAATACAAAAATTAGCCAGGCGTGGTGGTGGGCACCTGTAGTCCCAGCTACTCGGAAGGCTGAGGCAGGAGAATCACTTGACCCTGGAGGAGGAGCTTGCAGTGAGCCAAGATCATGCCACTGCACTCCAGCCTGGGCGACAGAGGCTCCATCTCAAAAAGAAAAAAGAAAGAAAGGAAGAGAGAGAGAGAAAGAGAGAAAGAAAGGAAAGAGAAAAGAGAGAAAGAAGAAGGAGGAGGAGGAGGAGAGGAAGGAAGGAAGGAAAGAAGGAAGGGAGGGAGGAAGGGAGGGAGGAAGGAAGGAAGGAAGTCACAGCGGTGCCGGCCCCTGACAGCTCCCCCGACTATCCCTGTCCCTCTGTGGAGAGGCTCCTGGAGCAAGTTTAGAGCACCCTAGGGGTTGCCATAGGAACAGGCACGGTCCGCTCACCCCTGCGAGCTGGGCCCAGGTCAGCCTCCCCGGAGCGCAAGGCAGCAGCTGCCTTGGACAACCCTTCCTCTCGGCCTCTGGCCTCCTGGTCTTGAGCTGCCTTAGTCACCTCGGCCGCGTGTTTCTTGTGACCTTGCTTCTTGCGGCTGGGCTTCTTGTCGTGGTGGGCTTTCTTCCTGAGGGCTGGCTCCCCTGCTGCTTCCAGGGGCTCCGGATGCTGGGAGATACCCTCCTTCCCCCTTGGCCTCCTGCTGGCCTTTTCTCTGGGCTCCTCAGGGCCCGTCCTCACGAAGAAGTTCAGCATGGTCTTCAGCCACCCCTTCTTGGTGTCTTGCGAAGGCCTCTGCTCGCTGGGGAGAAAATCTCCGGTCTCCTCGGGAGTGGGGGCTGCAGCGGTGGTGCAGTGAGCCTCTGCAGATGGAGCTGGGCTGTCTGAATGTCTGGCCCAATCACTGGTCGTCCAGTGAAGCGCCTTCCTGGAGGGGGCAGTGGGCAGGGAGAGCCAATGGCAGTCCCACGACTCCGAGCCTTTCCCGGGGGCCTGCGGCCTGTCCAGAGACCTGGCTTTCTTCTCCGCCAGGGGCCTCCTTGGGCACCTTGGATTCTCCATCGGGCTGCAACCAAAACACACAGCTCCCTTAGTTTTTTTGTTTGTTTGTTTTGATTTGTTTGTTTGTTTGTTTTGTTTGTTTTTGTTTTTTATGACGGAGCCTCGGTCTATTGCCCAGGCTGGAGTGCAGTGGCGCTATCTCAGCTCACTGCAACCTCTACCTCCTGGGTTCAAGCGATTCTCCTGCCTCAGCCTCCTGAGTAGCTGGAATAACAGGTGCCCGCCACCACACCCGGCTAATTTTTGTATTTTTAGTAGAGATGGGGTTTCACCGTGTTGGCCAGGTTGGTCTTGAACTCCCGACCTCAGGTGATCCGCCTGCCTCGGCCTCCCAAAGTGCTGGGATTACAGGCATGAGCCACCTCGCCCGGCCAAACAGCTCCCTCAGCAGAGGCCTCCTGGGCACACCAAAGTTGGCTCCTGGTGCTGACCAGTGGGCCCATTCACCCTGCCCACTAACGTGAGTAGTGTCAACAATTTCTCAAAGCTGTTGTCTTGTGCAAATTCCCCCAAAACCCTCGGGGAATGGGGGTCATTATTCTCATTTTCCAGAGGATAAAACTGGACCACAGGAAGATTGTGCTCAGATCTCAGGGCTGGTCAGCCGCACCTCCAGAGCCCCTGAAAGGAACATAGCCCTGTCCACACCTAGGTTTTAGTCTATCGAGACTGATGTGGGACTTCTCCAGAACTGCATGATAATTAATTCATCTTGTCCAAAGCCACTGGGTCTGGGGGCTTTTGTTACAGTAGCAATGGAAAACGAATACAGCCGGAGCCAGAGGCCTGGTCCTGCCCCTCACTAGCCTTGGGACTTTGGGCAGCTCAGGCACCTTTTCTGGCCCCGTGTTCTCATCTGAAGCATGCCTGAGCCCTGCCCTCTCTCACAGGCTGTCATGAATATTCCACGAGGCAGCTCCGTCAGTGGCAACTCTTTTCTTCCAACTGCTCAAGCCAAAAATGTAAAGTCACCCCTGACTTCTCTCTTTTTTTAAAAAATAAATAATTTTATTTAGAAAATAGATATGGGGTCTTGCTGTGTTTGTGCAGGCTGGTCTCAAACTCCTGGGCTCAAGCGATCAACCTACCTCGGTCTCTCAAAGTGCTGGGATTACAGGCATGAGCCACTGCTGGCCTCCTTTCTTTCTTTTACCCCCACATCGACCCATCAGCAGAGCCTGTTGGCCTCACTCTCATAGAGCCTGTCCTCACCCTGACGGCCCCCTGTGGTCTCTAGGTCCCCATCTGCACTCACCTGAGCTGTTACCACCACCTCCTAACTGACCTCCCTGCTCTCCTCTTGCCCTCCTTACAGTAACTTCTCCCCTTTGCAGCTGTGGGGGCTTTTAAAACAAAAGTTACTTCCCTTCCTCCAAGAGGTCCCCTTTCACTCAAAGTCTTTAAAGCGGCTGTCACACCCCACACGTCCCAGCCTCCATCACCCCTCTGACCACATCTCTCTCACTCCACTCCACGCACACAGCCCTGCTTGCTGTCCTTCAGGCCCGCCTGCCTCAGGCCCTTCACACTGGCCAGTCCCTCTTTCTAGAACATTCTTCCCTCATGGAAAGAATGAGTTTGTTCATGGTTTGTTCCCTCACTTCCTTTGAGGCTGTACTTAACTGTCACCTTCCCATCGAGGCCCTCCCTGCCTATTGCCCATCAGCACACCCTTTCCCCTCCTACCCTACGGCCTGGTGGTGTGCAATGTCGTGTCTTTATGTGTTTAGTTGTTTCCTGTCTGAGTCTCTCTCCATCTCCTGTGTTTATTTTGCTAGGTCTTCTATCTTTGAGTGCCTAGAACAATGTCTAGCATATCACTGCCACTCAATAAGCACTTATTAAACAAATGAATAGATGTATAACACATTTAGTAAATGGCACAACACGTAAGGTATCTTTGGATGTGTAGTTAACATGAAATCAGTGCTTTCGGGCCAATTTCATCTTAGAGCAGTGGGGGCTCTTCCATTCTCCATCCAGAATGAAGCAGCGGCCAATGAAAAATGACAAAAAAAAAACCTTTCCCACCTGGGCAGCATTTCAAGCCCGCCTAGGTGTGGGCAGTGCATTTGATTTGTGTGTCTTTAATCTAAAACTCTTGGGGCTTTCCAATTTTTCCAGAGTTGTTCAGAAGGCCTCTTCCCTTCAGTGGAAGGTAAAAGAAAAATAAAATATGGTTTTGAATGCCAAACCTGAGCCCCTGGAGAGTCCTATGGAGTTTAGGACCACAGGTTGCCTGCTCTAATTTGTCATTATAGCTTTAGCATGCATTGACCAAGTAATGTTTAGTGGTATGGGATGTACTGTAAAATGTATTCTATTGCTATGCTCAGCTTAGAGGCAAAAATAAGAATCTATAATTGCGATTTCTTATGTGTGGGATCCACAGGAAAGTGAAGAAGATACAGAGAAAGAAGAAAAGAAATGGGAACACACATATTTGAAGGTGACACGAACATTTGGGATGCCTTCCCTCCTCCAAGCACCAGTATGGGAAGGAAACCAGATGGTATTGCAGCCCCAGGTCGCTGAGGCCAGAGGCCATTGGGGCCGAGTGTCCACACGTGGACGACCTTGGAGGAAATGAGAAATCAGGTCGGGGAGGAGGCAGGCAATTTAAAAGGACTTATTTGTTGTTTAATGTTCCTTAAAAGGAACATCTGGGCTACATGGAAACTTTTAGCAATATGTATCTGTACCTTATATGGAAATTCACTAATGTTCCTGAAAGGCTCAGAGACTGGCTGCCTTATGGTTGTGTTTCCAAAGACGATGCAGGGTAGGACAAGGAGAAGAGATCATAGAGGAAAATATTTATGTTTGTTCTCACTTATTTCTCTCAACATTTAATAAGCACCCACTCTGCACCAGAAATTATGCTCAGTGCTAGGGATACAATCATGAACAAGATGCAGTGTGTGCCCCCAGAGGGAATATTCTGGTCTTCTCTGAATGCGCAGGAATAAGGATGTGAGTACACAGTGATGACAGCAATGTCCCATTCCCCTGCATCTGCTCTCTCTTCAGAGGCACATGGTCTTAAAAGAAGATAAATTTAGGTTGAAGTTCTATGTGATTTAAGCTCACATTTAAAAAAGAGTAAGCTGACCAGAAATATTTACTGAACGGTGTCAGGGTTCTCTCTGCATTTTCCATATGTTCCTGTGGTCAGGGAAAATTGGATGGGGTTGTCAGAGAAGCTGTTCATTAACAAAACCACAGAACCAGGACACTCTTGTTCAGCTCAGCCTCTCTTCCGTCTGCACAGATTTGGCTCCATGGGACCCATCGCACGGAGGACCGGCGCTTCCTTACCCAGTTAACGGGAAGAGAGATGCAGTAATCTTTTAAAAAGCTGTCATTGCTATGGAAACGGTTTTCGCCATTGCCAATGGCAGCAGTATCCTCCTACCACATTCCAAGGACACGCTGCTCCTCCTGATCAGAACATTAACACAATCCCACCAGCACATGCTTTCCCTGATGTTTTTTCAGGAAAGCTGCGGTGATTTGGCCGCTCCCTCCCTGGAATAACCGGTGCCCTGAGCCCCCGGGGAGATGAGAGGAACTAAGGCCAGGAGCCCCCGCAGCTGCTGCTGCTGAGCCCAGAGGCAGGCAGGAAGGGGGCCTCTGCTATCCAAGAGTTTCCCCAGTGAAGAGATTCCAGGGTCTCCCAAGGTTTCCTAATTCCAAATCCAGTGGCCTCTTCCCATGTCTTGTCCTCCCTTACGTGCTTCAGTATTTGATACCAGCCCTACTTCCTTCTTTTCTCTTTCCTCTCTGGGTGGCTGTGACTGTCCTCAGTCCAGCTCTCTCCTCCCTCTCCCCCGCTCCAACTGCTCCTCCTCTGTAATGTTCCAAAGATTGTCTTCAGCTCTAGGCCAGGGATTGAGACAGCGCGGCTGACTGGGGAAGACACACCCACACGCCCCCAGGAAGACCCCTGAAGAACCTCTGCGGATGGGGTGTCCTCAGTCTCTAAGCCCTGGGAAGCTTGTCTTTTAATCCTAATAACCTCCCCTTTCCTACATGTGCCAAAATTAAACCGTTCAAGACTTTCCAAATATAAAATTCTGCTATCCAGGATTTATCAAAGCAAGACTTTCCTTTCCTTTCTTCTTCTTTTTTTGTTTTGTGCCCCAGGTGCTCAACTACGTTCAGTCCGACCACCAGGGAATCCCACCCTGTGCAGACTGTGCTCCAGACCAGGAATCCTAAGTGAGCAGCGTGGTCTCACTATGCGGAAACCCAGCTGATCTTGTAAACTTGTTATTGCCTTGGCCGAAAGTGGATGTCAGAGCAAAGTCCAAATCAGCTCAGAAATACCCAAGTGATCTGCACATCACAAGACTGCTTCTGATAAGATGTGACATTTACCGGTGACATGTCCAGCAACAGCAACAAAGAACCAGAGAAGGCTCACAAAGCTGACCCTGGAACGGGAAGTTTGCTTGCCTTCCCCAAGCTTGCTGCTGTGTGTTGTTTACTTTCTAAGTTGCACGGTGACCTCATCTCTATGCTGTTCTCTAATTTGTTCACCTGGCCGCGTTACTCTCTAACTGCTCTGGTGCCTTTCATGGAGATAACTTCGCGGCTCCCCTTCTCCACCCCATGATTCACACAATAGAAACTTCACAGAGAGCCAACCTGCTGCACACCCACAGCAGCACCCTGAGGGACAGAGTGTGTGGCACACACACGTGGACCCACAGTCAACACCACAGACATCCACGTGTCACCAGAACACACTTGTGCACACCACAGACCAACATGGACTCAAGACGCCCTGTATTTCTCCTGTCCCAAGTGTAAGGGAATAATTATGTGACCAAGCTCACCGCTTGCCATCGGTCCTAACTCTAAATTCCATGAGAGGGGACCTGAGCCTGGGAGGCTCTCAGTGTTTGTGAAACAAACAAATGATACACAGGCATGTGCAAACCCAAACCAGCTCACCTTCATGCAGCCACACGGCGTCCAGAGAGCCGTTTCATTGACATGATCTCATTTCATCTTTGCCAGGAGCAGTGAATCAGATGGGCTAACAGTGGGGCACTGAGGCTCCGGACCATTAAGAGACACGCCCAAGGTCACATAGCCGGGAAGCAGAGAGCTGAGACTCTCCCACTTCTCCCGATTCAAATCCTACATTCTCTATTCTACACCAAATGGCCTCATGTAAGCATAGATACACATGCACGCACTTACACATGGACTTAGGGGAGAAACCTGCTATTTCACACTGATGGAGGTAATCACAGTCACATACACACCTACCATGACCTATGCACATGGAGTCACACAATCACGTGTGCCTAGGTATAGACACCCATGCCCTCCCCACCCCATTCTGTCCTCTATCCAAGACCACGGGCAATGCAACACTGTGTGAGGAGTCGGTCAGGACTGTGGGTTATAATCCACCTCCCAGCCTCTACATTCCCATCCAAGAGAGCAGTAGACCATGAGTTATTTTAATAAGATTTCCCCATTCTTGGACTAACTTCCAAAAACCTTAAAACTCATAGAACCTTAATTTAACCATAGGTCATAATAACACCTCTCATTTATCAGGGGGTTCCCTCATGTACCTTCACATAAAGTCTATAACTTGACCTCTACCACATCCTGAGGGAAACTAGCAGGTGAGCTATGTAATGCTGCCCCATCCTACAGACAAGAAAACTGAGGCCCAAGGAAGTGAAGTTCCTTGCTCAGGGTGGCGGCTAATAAGCAGGATTGGGACTTGAATACAGAGTTTTAAGTCCGAGTGAGCCCAGAGCCCTTTGAGAAACACCCCGTTGAGATAATGTCATTGAACCTTGCTCCCTCTTTTTAGAGATAAGAAAACTGATCCCCCACCTCCACCCCCATTGCCTCTCTGGGAGGGCCCAGCATGCTGGAAGCAGCATTGGGACTGGACTCTTGGTTTGACACCCAGGACTAAACTCTTCTCCGGACCCCAAGATACATACCCACTGCTCCCGCCCCCAAAGGAGAGGGTATTGTTCAACCAACCTTGGACCACAGAAATCGCTTCTGTCCTGAACACCCTGGGCTGGGATCTTCAGACAAGAGGTCTCTGTGTTAGGCTCTGCTCCCTGTCAGCTGGAAGTTGTGTCCAGTGAGAAGTCAGACCCAGCTCTCCCAGGGAGAAGATGCCACTACTTTGGTGCTGGCAATTTTCTGAGTGTCTCAGAAGATGCTTTGGCCGTCCATATATACAGTATCTCCCAGGAACTGAGCTCATGGCAGCCAATCCAGAGAGCCATGGGCTGGCTCACCTTCCTCCACCTGTTACCACCCATCCCAGGACTGCTCCCCGCTCCTCCAATGATAAGAGGCTTAGCTCAGCTACCCTGGAAAAAACAGTTTCACTTGTCAACTTCCTTATTGCACCCAAACCCCAGTAAGAAACCAAAGCTCAGAAAATAACCTAAGGTCTGGCTGGGGAAAACCCCACCTGTAGAGTTGAAAACAAGACTTAATGGGAAATGCAGGTTAGGGGGAGAAAGTCGAGGTGGCTTTATTGCCTTTACAACATCCCTCAGTTATCTTTGAAGATTAGTGGGGAGGGAGGTACCTAGAAAGAAAGGTCAGCGATGGGATACATACATCCCTTGACCTGGAGACAACCCAGAAGGAAGAGCCCACAAGAGCCACGTGTTCCAGATCTGCTATGCCCGGGAAGGGTTGCCATGGATCTTGAGAGAACATTCTAAGAAGTCTTAAAAAGTCAGATTTCCACTTTCTGTAATGCCTTATTTTAAAAAATAGAGTGTAAATACATGTTTATAATCAGAAAAGAAAAACATGTTTTATTAAAATGAAAGCAAAGGCCGGGCACGGTGGCTCACACCTGTAATCCCAGCAATTTGGGAGGCTGAGGCAGGCGGATCACCTGAGGTCAGGAGTTCGAGACCAGCCTGGCCAACATGGCGAAACTCCATCTCTACTAAAAATACAAAAATTAGCCAGGTATGGTGGCAGACACTTGTAATCCCAGCTACTTGGAAGGCTGAGGCAGGAAAATCACTTGAACCCAGGAGGCAGAAGTTGTAGTGAGCTGAGATCGTGCCACTGCACTCCAGCCTGGGTGACAGAGTGAGACTCTGTCTCAAAAAAAAAAAAAAAAAAAAAAAGAAAAAAAAAGAAAAAAATATTAAGAAATTCTGTTTTGGTTCATTAACACAGGGAGGCATCACAAAATATATATGGAAGCACCAAACTTTGGAGTCAGCCCCATCTGGAGACACCTGCCAGCTGTGTAACCACAGCAGGGGACATGATGTCACTGAGCTTGTGCTCACTTATAAAACAAGTAGTCATCTCAGAGGGTAGTTGGGCCAAATGCGATAATGCTTACAAAGAAAAGAAGAAGGCCAGGCATGGTGGCTCACATCTGTAATCCCAGCACTGTGGGAGACCAAGGTAGGAGGATTGCTTGAGCCCAGAAGTTCAAGACCAGCCTGGACAACATAGTGAGATCTTATCTCTACTAAAAATTTTAAAAATTAGCCAGGCATGGTGGCACATGCCTGTAGTCTCAGCTACTCAGGAGGCTGAGGCAGGAGGATTGCTTGAGCCCAGGAGGTCAAGGCTGCAGTGAGCCATGATCGTGCTACTGCACTCCAGCCTAGGCAACAGAGTGAGATCCTGTCTCAAAGGAAAAAAGAAGAAAGGAAGGAAAGGAAGGAAAAAAAGAAGGAAAGAAAGGAAGAAAGGGAGGGAGGGAGGGAGGAAGGAAGGAAGGAAGGAAGGAAGGAAGGAAGGAAAAAGAAAGAAAGAAAGAAACAAAGAAAGAGAAGGAAAGGAAGGAAGAAAGAGAAGGAAAGGAAGGAAGGAAATGTATGGAGTGCCAGACATCTTTCTTTCTGTGTATTAACAGTGCCTGGTACTTGTAAGGGCTCAATAAAGGGCCAATGTTTTATTACGGGCAACAGAGTTATTAATGCTTCATTCATTCTGTCAACAGGTTTTGGATCCAGCTATGTGACAGACACTGTCTCAGCACTAAATTTAGAATTTATTAGTCCAAGAAGTCACTCAGCCTTCAAACAAATGTTAAATAATATTACATATTTTTCATTTATTTAATGAAACTATTGTGTCAACCACTTCTTCCAGGCCCTGTGTGTATTGTATGTGTTCTTTCTTATTCCAAGGTGAATATGCCCAGCCTGGCCCAGCCCTCATGGAGTCCATAAAGTAGTTGGGAAGAGAGAAACACACAGAGAAAAATCATACAAGCAAGCAGAAGGGAATAGGAAGTTGTTTAATGCGTACAGAGTTTCAGTTTGAGAGGAATGTGGTACCACTACCTCCACCATTCAACCATCTCCACAACTTTTGAGATGTGGAGGATTTTCACAAGGCACACTCAAACTCAACTTTTGAGTTTGGAGATGGTTCAATGGTGGAGAGTGGTACAACAATCAAAATGTGCTTAATGCCACTGCACCGTACACTTTAAAAAGGTTACAACAGTCAACTTTATGTCATGCATATTTTACCACAATAAAAAGAAGGGGAGGGGCAGACAGCCACGTGGCACACCGTGCAGACATCTCCCATGTACCCAGCAATCCCATCTGCAGGTACATACGCTCCTAGGTTCTCACGGGAGGGAGAACCATCATGGGCAGCTCTGGGCATCCCACGCCTTCTCCATCAGGGGTCCGGGGGGCAACCTAGCCCTGTGCTCAGTGCCTGCCAAAGACCATATCCTGGAGACGATCTCCACGATCTGGAGACAGACTCTGGCAGCTGCCTGTCCCAGGGCCAAGGTCGGCTACACTACGAGTGAGCCCCCATGCAAAATGAAAACAAAGCACCCTTGTTCAAAACGTATTAATAGTTTCAAGACAGACAGCAGAACATTAAACCAAGCCCCCTGCCCTTCTGAGTGCACACCCTGTGCAACAGTCCAGGTCACACAGCCTTGAAGGGGGCTCTGAAGGTGACAGTTCCCAACCATGTGCTGGGAGGGAAGATGGCAGAGGGAGAGAGAGGGAGATTGAGAGAGAATATCTTTAAAATTTTTATTTAAGTATAACGTATAAAAAGGTGCACAGATCACAGGCAGACAGCTCAATGAATTTTCACGAAGGGAATAAACCTGTGTAACCACCACCCAGATGAAGAAAGAGAACATTCCTGGCACCCCAGAACCCACCTTGTTGCCCTCACGACTCCCAGATTAGATTAGTTTTGCCTATTTTTGAGCATCATCGGTCTGCATGTTTTCTTTTATGCCTGGCTTTTCTCACCGCATGTCTGCGGGACTCAGCCATACTGCTGTGCTGTCATTCTCAGACGGACAATCCCAAGTGTCAGAGCCCATGTGGGGCAAACAGAATTCTCATACGCTGCTGGTGGGAGTGGAAAATGGTGCAACTACTTGGAAAAATCGGCTGGCAATATCTATCAAAGCTGAACAAACACCTGCCCTGTGACCCAGCAATTCCACCCCCAGATAGATACACAACAGAAATGCATCCCCATGGCCCCCCGAAACAACTTTGATATGAATGTGTATATCAGTGCTGTTTGTGAGAGCCAAACTCTCAAAAACTTGAAACTACTTAAATGCCCATTAACAGGAAAATGTACAAACAGTGGCATATTCACACAATTGAGATTTTGTTGTTGTTTTTTCCAGAGAGTCTGTACATTTGTTTATAAAGATTTTTCACCCGCTTGTGTGGGCTGCGTGTGCAGCACGGGGCACGGAAGATAAACGTGGTCTTGGATAAAAATGATGGTAGCCAACGGAGAGGAGTGGGTGGAACACAGGGCCCCAGTCTCAGGAGCGCGGGATTTGGCGGTTCTGAGTAACAAACCTAAGAAGGATTTTCACAAGGCACACTCTAACCTCTCTGAGTGTGAACGCTGCTTCCCAGAAATCCGTCCCCATCCCGGCAGAATTATCTACATATGGAAATGAGCCTGGATCTTCATTTGCTCTGCGGCTCTTGTTCACCGCAGAGCAAAGAGCAAGCTGGTGAACTCTCACTCCTTTCCCGGGCCACACCCTCTGCCTGGAGCCTGCTAATTCGAGGTCCAGCCTCCAACCCACCGGCCTTCCCTAAGTCTCCTTCAGTGTCCTCAGTGAGAGGTGCCGGAAAGGCTATGACCTCACTCCTTCCCAAGCCCCGTCAGAACCCAGAACCAGAGTCTCCAGCCCGAAAATAGCCTCAGAATATCCCCTCGGTTGCTGTGTGCGATGCCTGATTTAGGTCTTGTGCCGGAAATGCTCAGTGAATCTCAGTTCCCCTCCAGATTCCCCTGCCTCGTGGCTCCCAGCGACTCCTAGACTCTCCTCCGCCTCAGCTGTCTGTGGGTCCCTGCTGCAAGCGGGGGCCTCGAGTGCCCGTCCCCACGGAGTGGGAAAGCTGTGGCTTTGACATTAGGCAGAGCTGCGCTGCAGCTCCGGCTGCCTACCCCCAGGGGGCGCGCTGGTGATCGCAATGACAACGGCCATTCGCAAAATGGTTACCAGACCTCAAGCCCGTAGCACGAGCTTCTAAATACATGATTTTTGCCCACAATAATATTCATAAAGAATATATTGTTATTTTACAGATCAGGAAATTAAGGCTCAAAAAGATAAAATAGGCCGGGTGCGGTGGCTCACACTTGTGATCCCAGCACTTTGGGAGGCTGAGGCGGGCGGATCACTTGAGGTCAGGGGTTCAAGACCAGCCTGGCCAACATTTCGTATTTTCGTAAAAATACGAAAATTAGCCGGGCATGGTGGCGTGCGCCTGCAGTCCCAGCTACTCGGTAGGCTGAGGCAGGAGAATTGCTTGAACCTGGGAGGCAGAGGTTGCAGTGAGCCGAGATGGCACCACTGCACTCCAGCCTGGGCGAGAATGAGATTCCATCTCAAAAAAAAATAAAAAGGTAAAATGCTTAAGTGATACTAGTAAATGGCAGATTAAAACCTGCCAGTCAGCCAGGCCTTATGGCATGCAACTGTGTTCCCAGCTCCCCAGGAGGCTAAGGCGGGAGGATCTCTCCAGCTTAGAAATTCTAATCCAGCCTGGACAACATAGCGAGACCTTGTCTCCAAAAAAATAAAAATAAAAATCTGTCAGTCTCCAAAGTGCACTCCACTGTTCTTCTGAACCTCAATTTTCACACCATTACAATGGGAATAAATGATACCAACCTTGCAGGACTGTTAGGAAACTTGAGTGAGGCGATGCAGTGAGCACTTGGCATAGGATGCTGGTGGGCACCTGGGTAGTGGGAACATTTGCTGTAGAAGGGCCCACAGTGAGGTCTCATCATGGGACAGGGGCCCACAGCTGTCTCACAGAACTTGCTCCAAGCCCAACAGTGTCACATGGGTGAACCCAGCCAGGATAATTCCCCAAATTCCTCTTTCCTGGGTCCTAAGGTGGACATTGGTCTCCTCAACCTCTGGTGGCTCTGGCAAGCCCTCTTACACTGTGCCGGTAAAGGAAGCACCTGGTTTAAGCCAGGGTTTCTCAACCTCATCTCTGTTGACATTTTGGACTGGATACCTATTTGCTAGAGGGGAGGGGGGCGGTCCTGTGTGTTGTAGGATGTTTAGCAGCATCCTTGGCCTCTACTCACTAGATGATAGTAGTATCCCACCCAGTAGTGAAAACCAAAAATGCCTCCAAGTCCCCTGGAGAGCAAAATCTCGCCCAGCTGAGAACTATTGGCTTAAGCAATAACGACATGCAATGATCTCACGTTAACTAGGAGTCCCTGATGGCAGGTAGTTCCAGGTGGTTTGGGGCAGCAGCTTGATGATGCCAACAACCACCAATGTTGTCCTAATGCTCATCAATTCATGATCACAAGATGGCTGCCACAGATCCCATTGTGCCACCGCCACAGTCCCACTCAAAGGCAGGCAAGAGGGGGAAAGCGATGGTGTCCTGTGGCATCACCTTTAATCTACAGAGTTTTCCTAGACACTTCTCAGCAGATCTCCCCTGTGTCTCATTGGCTAAAACTGGGGTACCTATCCAGTCCTAGCAGCAAGGGAGCTGGGAAAATGACTAAGTGGCAAGGGGGAGGAGGGATGGAAATGGTGGGCCCTCCCTGACCTGGCAGAATAGACACTCCTCATACTTGCAGAAATTATTTTTAAATCTATCTGCTTTTCCTCACTAAGACTTCAGGACAGGGATCCACATGTTTTCCTCTGTATCCTCAGAACTTAGCCTCGTGCTTAGCACTTAGAAGGTGTTTACTTCATGCTCGTTGAATGAATGAATGAATGAATCGATCAGTTGACCAATGATTTGACCTTCCCCCTTCCTTGCTTATATCACTAAGAGCCCTAAGTAGATGATTATTTATCTATATGCAAATTAACTTGTCTAATTACAAATAAGCCTATGATACAAATAATAATGCAAACATCTCCCAGTTTCTCTAACAAGTCCCGATCCCTCTGGCCATTGAATATGCTGTTCCACTTGTCCAGAACATTCTTCCTGCTACCTCTAACCTCACCCCTCTTCAGCTGGCCAGCTCCTTCTCACTCATAGGTCTCAGCTTAGATGTCACTGCCTCTGGGAAGCCCTCACTGATCTCCTCAGTGTGGCTCGAGGCCTTGGTCCCCTGTGCTGCGCCATCCTAGCACTTATCACCCTGTGTTGTGACTGTTTCCCTAGCAGGACAGGAAATGTCCATGGAGACCAGAACAGCTTGTCCTTCACCAAAGTTAAGTTCTCCATAAACTTTTTTGATTGAATCATTTATGCCAAGGGTTGGCAAAGCTGTTCTGCAAAGTGCCAGATAGTATTTTCAGCTTTGTGGGCTGTATGATCTCTGTTGCAACCATTCGACTCTGCGGTTGGAGGGAGAAAGCAGCCATAGCTGATACTTAAACAAATGAGCATGGCTGTGTTCCAATAAAACTCTATTTGTGGGCACTGAAATTTGAATTTCATATGAATTTCACATGTCATAAAATATTATTCCTTAAAAACATTTTTTCAACCATACAAAAATGTAAAAACCATTTTTAAAGGTTCACCGGCTGTACAAAAACAGGTGATGGACCTTAGTTTGCTAACCCTGATTAATACTGAGAGTCACATGTTCTGGATTTTCCAGGTCATTCTCAAAGATACAACAGGATCACATAAAGCAGTAATGCACAGTAGTTCTTAAGATCAAGCAGTTAAGTTAAACTTGAAAGTGCATTAAATGACTTAGCCATCACAACCCAGAAGACTGTGTCTTAGGAAATCAAAGATTAAGATTAATTTAAGACTGGAGCTGGGCACAGTGTCTCATGCCTGTAATCCCAGCACTTTGGGAAGCCGAGATGGGCAGATCACTTGAGGTCAGGAGTTTGAGACCAGCCTGGTCAACATGGTGAAATCTCATCTCTATTAAAAACACAAAAAATTAGCCAGGCCTGATGGCAGGCACCTGTAGTCCCAGCTACTCAGGAGGCTGAGGCAGGAGAATCGCTTGAGCCCAGGAGGTGGAGGCTGCAGTGAGCTGAGATCGCACCACTGCACTCCAGACTGGGAGGCAGAGTGAAACTCCATCTCAATTAAAAAAAAAAAAAGATTAACTTAAGGCTGGGAAACTGTTACTATCAGGGAACTATATCAATAGGTTCAAACAAAAATGTTTGATAATTTCTATATGCAATTCTGTTGGAAATTTTTAAAACTAGGCAGAAGAATATTTCTTTTCCATAAGAATGATTTCTCTGAAATGATATTCAAAACATTATCTAGATTAATGAAAGCAGCTGTGATGTCCCAGCCTACATCTTTCTCCTGTGCTGGATGTTTCCTGCCCTCAAACATCAGACTCCAAGTTCTTCAGTTTTGGAACTCGGACTAGCTCTCCTTGCTCCTCAGCCTGCAGACAGCCTATTGTGGGACCTTGTAATCGTGTGAGTTAATACTTAATAAACTCCTATACATATATATATATATTAATTCTGTCCCTCTAGAGAACTCTGACTAATACAGTAGCCATTGGAAAAATTGAAAACAAATTAACTGAGACTCGTTGTCCTTAGGGTATAGGAGTGAGAGTGGGTTTCCCATAATGCTAGTTTGTTGTTGTTGTTGTTGTTGTTTTGTTTTTGTTTTGTTTTTTTTTTGAGACGGAATCTCTGTCTGGCTGGAGTGCAGTGGTGTGATCTTGGCTCAATGCAACCTCCGCCTCCTGGGATTTTAAGCGATTCTGCTGCCTCAGCCTCCTGAGTAGCTGAGACTACAGGCGCCCGCCACCACACCCAGCTAACTTTTTGTATTTTTAGAAGAGACAAGGTTTCACTATGTTGGTCAGGCTGGTCTCAAACTCTGGACCTTGTGATCCGCTCACCTTGGCCTCACAAAGTGCTGGGATTACAGGTGTGAGCCACTGTGCTCACCCTGTTGTTGTTTTTAAACCAGACTTCCTGTGTTGGCCAGAACATTCACAGGGGCATAGGAACTTCCATGCACTGCTACAGCGGGACAGTATATGGACTGGTGCAGCCATTCTGGAAAGCAATCAGGCACTGTTAGTTAAAACTGGTGTATGTATTCCCAGGACCCAGCAATTCCACTCCTACACGTATATTCCAAAAAAATTCTTACACAGGCCAGGTGTGGTGGCTCACGCCTGTAATCCCAGAACTTTGGGAGGTCGAGGTGGGCAGATCACCTGAGGTCAGGAGTTCGAGACCAACCTGGCCAACATGGTGAAACCCTGTCTCTACTAAAAATACCAAAAAAAAAAAAAAAAAAAAAAATTAGCTGGGCATGGTGGCAGGTGCCTGTAATCCCAGCTACCTGGGAGGCTGAAACAGGAGAATCACTGGAAGTGGAGGTTGCAGTGAGCTGAGATGGTGCCACTGCACTCCAGCCTGGGTGACAGAACGAGATTCGGTCTGAAAAAAAAAAAAAAGAAAATTAGTTACCAGTGTTTCTCTGGCTTGGTTCCCCACCAGGTAAATTATAGAAACAGGCCCTTTTTGTCAAAGGGCGTTTGATTCCAGGAGTACCTGCCACAGTGACAGTTTCCAGGTCACTCTTCCCCATGGAAAGATTCCTTCCCATCCACGCTGGGTTTCACACATTGGGCCCTCTCAGTATCACAGAGAAACTCCAGCTGCACGGCCAGGCCTCCTCTGTCACAGTGAAGCTGTGGCTCCAGCTCTCTGGACACTGAGCAAATCCAGTTCAAGCCCTGACGTTTGGGGAATGTGGAGGGATTTCCCCACCAGCACAGGCCTGGGAATGACTATGAGCAGAGAGGAGGAGAGAGGATTCCAGAAGGAGCTAACTATCTGCCCCAAATGCCCATCTACTTCTCTTTCCATTGAGCACTGCAGTTTCTTCTGCAAATGGGCCCCATTATATCCACCCTCCAGCCAGGCGTGAACTGGCTGAGAGTAAGTTGAGTCCTAGGAGTCAGGATTCAACTGCCGAGGCGGGGCTTGGACACCAGGCCAAATTGAGGACTAGGTAAAACCAGGACAGGGCGAACAAGCTTTCCATAAGACACGCTAAGACACGCCCATCAGTGCGCCATGTCAATTTACCATTGCCATGGCAACACCCAGAAGTTACCGCCCCTTTCCATGACAACTACCTCCTGAGCTGGAAGTTACCACTCTTTTTCTAGAAATTTCTACATAATCTGCCCCTTAATTTGCATATAATGCAAGCGGGTATAAATATGAGTGCAGCCCTGCCTCTGATCTGCTGCTCTGGGCACACTGCCTGTGGGGTAGCCCTGCTCTGCAGGGAGCAGGACCTCTGCTGCTGCCGTACACTGTCGCTTCAATAAAATTTGCTGGTTTAACATCACCAGCTTGACCTTGGATTATTTTTGGGGCAGAGCCAAGAAACTTCCTGGGCTAAGCCCCAATATTAGGCTCGCCTGCCCTGCATCAAAAGGATGTAATTGAGGCCGCAGGAGCTGGGACTTCTTTTACAGATACGAGGTTATGTGAATGGTTAGGCAAGGAGAGGTTTGCCGCCATCACGCCACAGCCATGACTAATTAATCGCCGTAGATCGAGGGAAGGAGAGCAGCAAATGGCCTCAGCTGTGTGGGTCCCGCTCGGTCATGGCCGGAAGAACGGCCCCCAATAGGATACGTCCAAGTCCTAACGCTCAGAACCTGTGAATGTGACCCGATTGGAAAAAAAGGGTCTTCACAGACATAATTAAGGATTTCAAGATGAGATCATCCGGGATTTGGAGGGGGCGTAAATCCAGTGAGAGTGGTCCTGAAGGAGCAGGAGGAGACCTGAGATTCACAGAGACACACAGGGGGAAGATGGCCACATGAAGATGGGGGCAGAGATGGGAGTGATGCAGCCACAAACCAAGGCATGCCAAGGTCTGCCCACCACCCCCAGAGGCTAGGAGCTGGGAGAGACACAGCGAAGGGACTCCCCCTCAGAGTGCCCAGAGGGAATCGATCTCTGCCTGAATGTGGACCTCCTGTGAGACGATTAATGTCCACTGTTTTAAGTCCCCAAGTTTGTGGTAATTTGTTACAGCACCCTAGGAAAATAACACATTCTCTCTCACACCCAGCCACTCAGCTGACTGGGTCTCCAGGTCCTGAAGCCCCCACCTGGCTCACTCAGGCTCGCGGTTGAGCTGCCTGTCAACCGGGAGTGTCCCTCTTCCTGCTGGAGGGCAGGGGCCCTCAGGAGCACTGGCTTTGATCATCCTGACTGACCCACAGAAGGGGTGGGTGCCAGGTAGGTGGCAGCGCCTGAAGATCTTCCATCTTGTTACTCTCAAAATGTTCCTTTTGTGGCCCTAAAAAATAAGCAAATAAAATGATGTAAAATAATTAATCTTGAAGTAAAAAATGTAAAACCAGTGCCGAGGCTGATGCCTAAAGCATCTCCTCGCCCTTTTTCCTGCCCTTGGTGACTTTTGTTCTTAGTTAGCTCTGACTTTCAAGTCCAGGGTGAGACCAGGTTTCCACTCACAGAGGTCGCCCACAAGGTGAAACTTGAGGGCCAGGCCCTCTGAGCCCAACAAACTGCAATTCCCAGGAAATATGATCAGATGGCAGGATCTCAGGCACTAGGCCCAACCTGGAAGGGGCTGTATTTCAGGGAAGGAGCCGTATTTCAGGGAAGGGGCGGGCCCTTGCATTAGCAGGTGACTGTCTTCTCAGTTGATAAGAACACCCCATTAACCAGAAAATGGGCTGTCCAAGACAGACTTTGGTCTTATCAAAACAAGAGCAGAGAGTCTGTTGAAACAGCTTGCTGGGAGCCAGACTGTTGTAATGCAACAATTAGTACATGCCTGTGTCTCATTTACAACACCAGAGACTCCACACTTTAGCGATGGCCACTGAGGGTTTTGTTACTGTTGTTGTTGTTTGCCACTTTCCTGCCTAGGAATAGCCACTGTTTAGAAAAAGCTCTTCCAAGGTATTTTTTCTACTCGCATAGAATCATATTATTACTATTCCTCTTTTTTTTTTGATACAGGGTCTCACTCTGTTGCCCAGGCTGGAGTGCAGTGGCATGATCACACCTCATGCAGCCTCAACCTCCCCTCACCTCAGCCTCTCAAGTAGCTGGGACTACAGGCATACGACCACACCAAGACAATTATTTTTTTTTTTTGAGATGGAGCCTTGCTCTGTCGCCCAGGCTGGAGTGCAGTGGTGCGATCTTGGCTCACTGCAACCTCCACCTCCCAGGTTCAAGCGATTCTCCTGCCTTAGCCTCCCGAGTAGCTGGGACTACAGGCGCGCACCACCATGCCCAGCTAATTTTTTGTATTTTAGTAGAGACAGGGTTTCACCCTGTTGGCCATGATGGTATCAGTCTCCTGACCTTCTGATCCACCTGCCTCAGCCTCCCAAAGTGCTGGGATTACAGGTGTGAGCCACTGTGCCCGGCCACTGATTTTTTAAAATTTTTGGTAGAGATAGGTTTTGCCATGTTGCCCAGGCTGGTTTTGAACTCCTGAGCTCAAGTGATCCACTCGCCTCACCTCAGCTTCCCAAAGTGCTGGGATTACAGGTGCAAGCTACTGGCCTGGCCTCTTTGTTGTTAGTGGTGTTGTATTTTGTTCCAGTGGTGGCAGTTCCCAAAAACATTATCCTAAGGGAGCTTTTGGCCACAGAGCAGGGAAGACTCCCTTGTCTCTTCCAAGCCCCAAATAATTTCTTTTTTAAAACTTAGTGAAGGAAAGCGTTCAGAACTCCAAGAGACCATCACTTCTCAGGAAGGGGGGTTTCCACACAAGGGGACATTAGGAATAATTGCATTTCACCCACATGAACTTCTCAGCCTTCTGCTGATGACTTTTCTCTTTGAAACCTTGCAAAGTTGGAGTGGAACTTGCAGCCCCTACTCCCACTCCAAGTTAGGCAGACAGGGATAGGGTAAGGGGACAAGGAGGTGAACCCAAGTCAGCTTGTCCCCAGCAAAGTCACTCATGGCCTCTCTCCCCAAGGCAATGCTCCTCTCTTTTGTAATCCCAAGACAGTTGACAACACATCCAAGTCCATTTTTTTTTTTCTCACTCGGGGCACTTGAGAGGTAAGTAAAATTCTCATGACATATGGACGATATACAGACTAGAGAATATCCCATACTTTTAGTCTAATTCCTCGAAATAGTTTATAGAAATTATCTTATATAACAAAAGCAACTACGCCTTTCTGTGCCATGTTCCCTGAATCATCATTCATTTTACCAGCTCCACATGTTCACAGACAGGTTAGCATCACCACTTGGCAGATGGCCCAGGAGCCCCAGCCTTGCACCTGCAGGGGCGTCACGTGTTCTTCCTCATCAGTTCTTGCAGATCTTCTCTTTATGTGAGCTACAGGGTGTTCCACTGTATTTACTTACCCAAACCCCATTGCTAGACCTTTGGATTTTCCCCATGTTTTGTAAGAATAACCAGTGCTCCAGAGAACATCTCTAAAAATATATGTCTGCACGTATGTGAGAAGTTTTGTGAAAGGTGTATTCTCAGAAACAGAATGTCTGGGTCACAAGGGAGACATACTTACAACCTGGGTAGGCCCTGCCGAATTCCCTTCCAAAAGTGTGTGCCTCTTTCCACCACCAGCTGTGTCAATGAGTGTGGCTGCTTCTTCACCCTCACGCTCACTGTGGACACTGTGGAGCCTGTTCATTGCTGTCCATCAGATGAGCCACTCTTGTCTTAATTTGCCTCCCTCCCTCCCTCTCTCTCTCTCCCTCTCTCTCTTTCTTTCTTTCTTTATTCTTATTATTATTATTTTGGTAGAGGCAGGGTCTTGCTATGTTACCCAGGCTGGTCTCCAACCCCTGGGCTCAAGCAATCCTCCTGCCTCAGCCTCCCAAAGTGCTGGGATTACAGGCGTGAGCCACCGTGCTGGACCTAATTTGCCTTTCTTTCACAGTGAAGTTAAACATCTTCTTAAATGCTTCTTGGCCTCTGAGTTTGTTCCTAAGCAGCAGATTCTTTATTAGGAAAAAAAAAATCCACTTACAAGTTCTATTGTTTCCTCCTGGAAGTGCTCATTATAACCAAGAGAATACATGGAAGCTCTGTCTTCCTATGACACATAGACCCTTCTCACCTCACAGGGAAAAGGAGACTGTTGATGTCAGCACCCACCAAATGCCACACACCAGGAGCCGATTCCAGGACTGATCCACAGGAAGCCACTTCTCCATCTTTCGAGGGCACCCGTGTTCACAGACAGGACTTCAGAGGTCAACTTATAGACGCCACAGACAGGAGGAAGCCACTTCACACCACAAATACAGTTTTTATACAGACAAAAATGAAAGGATTGTCAGTTATCTCAAGTAAGTACTGAACCAAAATACATGTTAAAATCTTGATGTAAGGTCCTGGTGGGTTGGCCTGGACCACACCATCAAAGGCCCTTTTTCTCCCTCAGAGGTGGGAAAGCTGAAAAGTAAACTCCCCTGGCCCCTTAGCAGCTGGAGTTTCTGATGTGAATTAGGATCTGACAATTTAATGCCCTGGCCCAGGTTGGGAGGAGGAAGTGAAGTGAGGGCATTTTCCTGTGGATCCCATGCTGCTGAACAAGCAAGGTCAAGGAGAAGCTGCGCATTCCAGCAAGGCTCGCGTGCTGACACTCCTCCATGTGCAGCGTGGTTCCCGCCTTCTGCATCACTGCTGCAGTGTTGAGATTCCGGCTCATCCCTGGAGCCCTACCAGGAACCCACTCCTCCACCCTTCCAATGACTTTGTAAACCCCTGATGCCTTTCCCGCTAAAATTAGCTGCTGTGGTTTCCTCCAGCTGAACCATGACTGATACAGCTCACAAATATGCTTTATCTTGACCAAGGCAGCCATGCAAGATAAGAGAAAGAAAAGTCTAGACAAAGGGCAACACAGGCATGAATCACGCTTATTACGGTTTTCCTAACAGCACTTTAATTAGATACCTCGTCCCTTTAGACAATGTGAAAACTAAGCAGAGGCACAAAGAATGAAATAAACATCATCTGTTATTCCACAAGAATCAAATATTGATGAGAAGAAAACAGCCAGCCCCACTGAGATGCCGGGCCTAGCAGGCCAGCTGCTGTTGTTCATTTGAACGCAGATTCACCAGCTCAGCCGAGGACAGCCTGGGCTGATCTGGGCTCACACTTACTATCTGATGTGAGACTGCAGAGGAGCTCCCAGCTCCTTTCTGAGAGTGAGGGGAAAAGTTGCGATAACAAAACGTGATGGTAATAACTTATCTCATTTTTCTCCTGGCAGAAAACTTGAATACCAGAGCATCCAGTTCTAACCCACAGACCTGGCAGCCTAGTGGGAGAATGAGTGTCTGTACTTTTTCTGCCTCCAGTCACCCTCCCTGAACTCCTGCTGACCACCCACCATGCCTGGAGAGGGTCTTCCATATCCCTCTAGCCCAAGCTAGAACCTGAAATCTATTTGTATTTATTTAAACTGGGCCTATTCTTTCCACCTTCAGTCCAAGGTCAAAGTTGTCTTCCAGAGACTTCTTTCCTTCTTTTTTCCAGAGAAAAAAATGATAAAACTACCTATAATTTATCAAGACGCTACCGAGAAGTTAACCCTCATAAGAACTTCACAAAGTAGGAGTTATTCTCATTTTACAATTGAGAGGTTCAGAGAGATTGAGTCCATTTTCCAACATTCCACAGCTCATGAGACGTGGAAGCAGGATTCAGACCCACAACCTTCAGGTTCAAAGCCTGGGTTCTTAATCCTCATGCTACATCCCACTTTGCCAGGCCTAGGAAAGTGCCCCTGATTTGCTGCCCTCTTTGGGGAAGCTGCTACTCTATGCAGAGCCTCTGTTTGCTCATAATTTTTTTTTTAATAATAACTACTGGGATCTCATTCACATGCCACAAAGTTCACTCTCTTTTTTTCACTCTGTCACCCAGGCTGAAGTGCAGTGGCACGATCTTGGCTCCCTGAAACCTCCGCCTCCTGTGTTCAAGCAATTCTGTGCCTCAGCCTCCTGATGTAGCTGGCATTACAGGCACGTGCCACCACACCCAGCTAATTTTTGTGATTTTAAGAGAGACGGGGTTTTGCCATGTTGGTCAGGCTGATCTCGAACTCCTGGACTCTAGCAATCCACCTGCCTCGGCCTCCCAAAGTGCTGGGATTACAGGCATGAGCTACCAGGCCTGGCTAAAATTCACTCTTTAAAATGTACAGTTCTGTGGGGTTTAGTATATTCACAGAGATGTGCATTAATCACCATGACTGCCCACTTCCGGAGCATTTTCATACCCCTGGAAAGAAATCCCATACCCATTACCAGTCCCTTCCCAGGCCCTCTCACCCCCAACCCCAGTCAACCATTAATCTCCCACCTGGCTGGGTGGATTTGCCTCTCTGGACATTTCATATAAATGGAATCATACAATCATATGTTATGACTTGCTCCTTACATTCAACACTATTTCTTCAAGGTTCACCCGTGTTACAGCATGTATTAGAACTTTATTCCTTTTTCATGACTGCATAATGTTCCATTGTGTGGATAGATCACATTTTGTTTATCCATTCAGCAGTTAATGGACATTTGGGTTGTTTTTCGTTTTGGCAACTACAAATAATGCTACCGTGAACATTTGTGTACAAGTTTTTGTGTGGACATATGTTTTTAATTCTCTCGGGTATATACTTAGAAGCAGGATTGCTGGGTCATACGGTAACTCTATTTTAGCTTTTTGAGAAATTGTTAAGCTGTTTTCCACAGCAGCTGCATCATTTTATGTTCTCACCAGTAACGTATGAGGGTTCTAACTTCTCCACATCCTCTCCGACACTTGTTAATGTCCATCTTTTTTTTAATTATAGCTCTGCTGTTGCCAGAAAAAGAGTCCCAATCCAGACTCCAAGAGAGGATTGTTGGATCTCGCACAGGAAGGGATTCAAGGTAAGTTACAAAGTGCAGAGAGAGGATAGTTTATTGAAAGCTACTCAGTCACAGAATAGGGCATCCTCAGAAAGCAAGAGGAGGAACACGCCATCTCTGTCTTAAACTTTTCTCATATAGGAGTCTCATCTATGTAAAAGCTAAGATAAATTATGTCTGCGTGGGTGGGCTGACAGCATAAAATTTAGTATTCTGTTGATTTAAAGAAAGTATCTTTGGCATTTTAGTACATAAGTACATCAAAGCATGACTATAGTCATCTTAAAAGCATATCTTGTTAAGGATAGTGGGACATCTGGACTTTTTGTTATTGTAGGAGTGTGTTCTTGCAGGTATTTTTAAGGTGTTTCCTCAACTGTAAACATCTTAGGACCATGAGTCATGACTGGCAAGGAACGTGCCTTGATAGTTTTAAGATGGAGTTGATTTTAAAATGATGTCACCATGGCTCTCCTATGCTTCTGTTTCCCTAACAATCCTAGTGAGCGAGAAGTAGTATCTCATGGTAGTTTGTTCTTCATTTCCCTAATGATTAATGATTGTTGTGGTTTGGCTGTGTCACCCCCAACCCCCACCAATTCTCATCTTGAATTGTAGCTCCCACAATTCCCACATGTTGTGGGAGGGACCCAGTGGGAGGTAATTGAATCATGGTAATTGAATCAGTCTCTCCCGTGCTGTTCTCATGATTGTGAATAAGTCTCATGAGACCCCATAAAATTTTATAAAGAGGAGTTTCCCTGCACAAGCTCTCTCCCCCCTGCCACGATGTAGGATGTGACTTGCTCCTCCTTGTCTTCTGCCATGATTGTGAGGCCTCCCCAGCCATGTGGAACTGTGAGTCAATTAAACCTCTTTTCTTTATAAATTACCAGTCTCGGGTATGTCTTCATCAGCAGTGTGAAAACGGACTAATACAATGATGTTAGCATTTCTTCATGTGCTTATTTGTTATTTGTGTATCTTCTTAGGAAAAATCTCTATTCATGTCCTTTGCCCAATTTGGGGTTTTTTGTCTTTTTATTATTGAGTTGTAGGAATTCTTTATCAATCCTGGATACAATTCTTTTATCAGATATATGATTTGGAGATATTTTCTCCCATCCTATGGGTTTTTTTTTTTTTTTTTACTTTCTTGATGGTGTCCTATGAAGCACAAAGGCTTTTAATTTTGATGGAGTTCAATTTATCTATTTTTTTATTACTTATTCTTTTGGTGTTATATTTAAGACACAATGGCCTAATCCAAGGTCATGAAGATTTACTCCTATGTTTTATTCTAGGAGTTTTACAGTTTTAGCTCTTACGTTTATGTCTTTGACATATTTTGAGTTAATTTTTGGAGATGGTGTAAGGTAAGGGGACAACTTTATTCTTTTGCATGTGGACACCCATTGTCCCAACACTATTTGTTGAAAAAACTGTTCTTAATCTATATCCTTATGCCATTACCAATCTTTGTTGAGTACTATAGCTTTGTAGCAAGTTTCAAAATCAGGAAGTGTGGGTCCTCCAACTTTGTTTTTCTTTCCAAGACTGTTTTGGCTATTTGGGGTCACTGGAAACTCCATATGAATATGAAGATCAGCTGAAGTCCATTTCTGCAATAAAAAAAAAAAGCAGTTGGAATTTTGATAGGGATTGCATTGAATATGTAGACCAATTTAGGGAGTATTGCCATCTTAACAATCCAGGAACATGTTATATCTGTCCATTTATTTAGATTTGCTTTAATTTCTTTCAACAATGCTTTGTAGTTTTCAGAGTATATGTCTTGTGCTTTAAGTTTATTTGTGTTTTATTCTTTTGATGGTATTGGAAATAGAATTATTTTGAATTTCATTTTCAGGTTGTTCATTGTCATAGATAGAAATACAATTGACTTTTGTAGGTTAGTCTTGTATTCTGCAAACTTACTGAACTCATTAATTAGTTCTCATAGTTTTTTTATTCCTTAGGATTTTTATACACAGTATCATGTTATCTATGAACAGAGATAGTTTTACTTCTTCCTTTCCAACCTAGATGCTTTTTATTTCTTTTTCTTGCCTCACTGCTCTGACTAGAACCCTGCAATATTAGGAGAAAAGCATCTAGTCGTTCACCATTAAGTAGGATGGTAGCTGTGGGGTTTTCACAGATGGTCTTGATCAGCTTGAGGAAGTTCTCTTCTAGTCTTGGTTTGTTGAATATTTTTATGATAAGACACTTGGATTTTGTCAAATGCTTTTTCCCTATCTATTGAGATGATTATGTGGGTTTTGTCTTTCATTTTATTAGTGTGGTATATAACACTGATGTTCATAGACTTTTTTTTTTTTTTGAGACAGAGTCTCACTCTGTCATCCAGGCTGGAGTGCAGTGGCATGATCTTACTCCAACCTCCAACTCTCCGCCTCACTCCAACCTCTGCCTCTCGGGTTCAAGTGATTCTCCTGCCTCAGCCTCCCAAGTATCTGGGATTACAGGCATGCGCCATTGCGCCTGGCTAACTTTTGTATTTTTTGGTAGAGACAGGGTTTCACCATGTTGGCCAGGCTGGTCTCGAACTCCTGGCCTCAACTTATCTGCCCACCTTGGCTTCCCAAAGTGCTGGGATTACAGGTGTGAGCCACCGCACCCAGCCCATAAGCTCTTAAAGTATGGATTTGAGAGAAAACTAGAATCATATCTAAATATCAGGCCTTTAATCCCTGTAGGAGGAGATGGTACACATGGCATTGTCGATTGATCCTGGGAATATTTGACACCACTCAGTTTAATATCCTGAGCTCCAAGGCAGTCATTCCCTCTGATTCATCCCAGAACAAAGGACGTCTTAAAAACCTCTCATTACAGGAACTCTCCTCCTACGACAGAGATAAGTGGTAGGCCTGGCAGTGAACTTAAAGAGTATCAAACAATCCCTTGACTAAAAATTGTACCTCCTTAAGAAATAGACCTTTCATAATTGTGCAAGACAGAAACCACAACTCAAACCAACATAAGTGAAAAGGAGATGTATTCGAAAGCTATTGGGATTGTCAAAGAATTGAAGCAATTACAGCTATCAAAATTTCACATGTGGCTGGGCACAGTGGCTCACGCCTGTAATCCCTTCTCTTTGGGAAGCCAAGGCAGGTGGATTGCATTGAGCTCAGGAGTTTTGAGACCAGCCTAGGCAACACAGTGAAACAATGATGAGCAATGATGGCACCATTGCACTCCAGCCTGGGTAAAAGAGTGAGACCCTGTCTCAAAAAAAAAAAAAAAACAAAAAAAAACACAAACAAACACACGTATCCCAAACATATATACAACTATTATATATCAATTTTTTAAAAAGAATTGAAGAAAGATCTGCAGGGATCATGACAGCTCCGAGAGCCCCAAGATTAGAAGTGGAGACCAGACCCTCCAGGGACTTCACCTCACCTTTCTGCCCCTCTGGTGTCCCCTCATGGCAGAAGACACAGCTGCCACTAGCTTGGGGTAACTTCCCAGCCAGACACAGAAAGAGAAATCCCAGGGAAGGACCCTGATTGGCCTATCCTGGATCATGCACCATCTGGACCAGTTGCTGTGGCCACGGAAATGGGCTTCTCTTAATGGCCCAGCCTGGGCTACAGGGCCCTCCCCAACTGCTGGGGGCAGGACACTGTGATGGAGTAGGAAAAGAGTTACTCCCAGAGACAAAGTTATTACCAGGAGGATGGTAGATGGAATGCTGGGCTGACACCTGCATTACTTCACAGCCAGTCTCTCCTAAGGATTAAGGCATTGTCCTGTGAAGATGTGTGTATCAAGTGGAGATACACTATGGAGGGAAATTTGCGGGACCCCATCACCACCCGTGAAAACATCATCACAGGTTAATTCATCAAAGTTCTATGCCATAACGCAAAGAAGCAGCTGTAAAGGATTGGAAGCCAGCATGGAGTTTTGATGGGAAGTTGGGAGAAGATATATGGCAGACAGTGCATTACAAATTATCTCTTTTTTTTGGATCCACAAGGAGAAACCTATGTTTTAATCTACATGTAGGGAGCCAGGTATCTCAGGAAAATCAAGATACCATTTGCCACTGAGAGGGCTGCTGAATGTCAGTTGAACAGATTTCAACTGAAAGCCTAAAAGGTCCAGGGGAAGGAGCAGTGACACAGCTTGGAAAGGATATGGCTGCACAGAGAGGGCAGCGCACAGAAGCTGCAGCCTTAAGTAGGAGAACACAGCCAACCTGTGGGAGCCAGCAGGGAGGGACTAGAGAAATAAAATACCTTGGCAATCTCCGACCAGAGAGTTTCTTGACTAAAACCAACCAGGAGCCAGAGGACAGGAAGCCCACTGGGGCAATCCATACAGGACAGTCTCCTGGCCACAGAGCAGGATGAAGAGGGGTGGAGAATGGTGTAAATAAGAGGAAAAGTCACTCAAAAGGAGCAAGGAATATAGGTGGAATATCACAAGCCTGAGTTCTGACAACAAATATGGGCAGAAATGATGGGCGCCTCCCATAAGAACACCTCCCCGGCCACGTGCGCTGGCTCATGCCTGTAATCCCAGCACTTTGGGAGGTCAAGGCAGGCAGATCACCTGAGGTCAGAAGTTCGAGACCAGCCTGGCCAACATGGAAAAACCCTATCTCTACTAAAAATATAAAAAATTAGCCAAGTTTGGTGGCACACACCTGTAATCCCAGCTACTCGGGAGGCTGAGGCATGAGAATCACTTGAACCTGGTAGGTGGAGGTTGCAGTGAGCCAAAATTGTACCACTGCACTCCAGCCCAGGTGACAGAGTGAGATTCTGTCTCAAAAACAAAAACAAAAACAAACAAAAAAACACCTCCCCAATCCTTCACGCTTTCTCCTCCCTACCTGCGGGCTGGGTGTCAATCCCCCATACAGAAACCACATGAAGGAGACAGTACAACCTCCATCAGCCTGGGTCCCCAGATGACTTCATGGGGAAGATCCCTCCCCACCCATGAACCAAGCTTTATGTGGCCAAGAAAATGAATGTCTATCACATCAAGCCACTGAGATTTCAGTTGAGATGCTATGGCCAGCATGACTCTAACTGATACAGTAGCTGCAGATGACGTAGGGCTGGCCTCCTTAGAAGGGAAGCTGGACTTTGATCTGGACATGTCTTCCTCACTTAAAAGCTGGGTGAATTAATTTGCATTGTCAGAAAGGCACTTCATCTTGCTCAAAATAAAGATGTGGTTGAGCTGCCAAGCTTTTGTTTCTGTCATTTCACTGGGGGCCTTCTGCTGCTGGCTCTAGTTCAGGTCTCCTGCTTTGTCAAAGGCCCTTTTTTCTTTTGGTGGCCAATCAAGACCCAGCTTGGTAAATTACTCACTGGTCAGTCAGGAAAAAATAATGTTCTTATTGCAAATCACTTTAGAGTTTGCAGAGGGCTAGAGTTGGCATATTCTGTTCCTAAGGTTGGAAGGGTCCCTGGCTGAAAGCCCAGAATCCCAGAATCTCAAGGTCCCCCTGATGTTCAGTTTCCCCATCCCCCAAACCCTAACACTGGGTCAGCTCACTGACCCTTGTGGGGGTGGTGGAGAAGAAAGTGCCTTTGTTGGTGCTTTAGAAGCTCTCTAGAGATTTGCACGCCACGTTCAGCCACCCACAATCAGCTGTCCCCTGAGAATCTGATATGTACTCCCCACCCCACACCACAGGTCGAGAACCTGAGCTTGTCACTGGCTGGAGCATATGATCATGTGACTGAGGGGAAAGCTCTTCCTGCTCAGAATTGCTGGAATTTTAAGAGCCATATTTAGAACTCTGGGGCTTTCCAGCCAGAGCACTTTCAACAATACACCGTGCTTCCTTGAGTTAGGATGTTTAGATGGGCCAGATCTAGAGAACTGAGGTCTATTCAGGAGACTTTGTGATCTCGGTCTTAGCTGATGGCTCCCCCAAAGGAAGAGGATGGGAGAGGGGCAGCTCTAGGCCAAGATGGTCTTCTCCACCCAGCCTGTCTACATTATTCATATCCATTAAGATTGCATTGGGTTGCACATAACAAACTAACAACAGTGTCCATCTTTCATGGTGTGACCTGCAGATTAAACAGAAAGGGGATGGACAGGCTGGGCGAAGTGGCTCACACCTATAATCCCAGCACTTTGGGAGGCCAAGGTGGGCAAATCACCTGAGGTCGAGAGTTCAAGACCAGCCTGACCAACATGGAGAAACCCTGTCTCTACTAAAAATACAAAAATTAGCCAGGTGTGGTGGTGCACGCCTGTGATCCCAGCTACTCAGGAGGCTGAGGCAGGAGGACCACTTGAACCTAGGAGGCGGAGGTTGCGGTGAGCCAAGATTGCACCATTGCTCTCCAGCCTGGGTAACAAGAGCGAAACTCAGTCTCAAAAAAAAAAAGAAAAAAGAAAAAAAGAAAAAAGAAAGAAAGGGGACAGTCTACTACAGGAGAGAAAGTGACATAGGTAAAGATGATTTGTTCCTGCTTACACATGTTTTTTACATCTCTGACAGCTCAATTTAAATTTGGCCCCTCTCACTTGATTCTATTTTATTTTCCTTCATAGTACATATCACCACCTGCCATTTTATTCTGTATTGATTTGTTTATTTATCTGTTCTGGTCACCACAATATTCCTGTTTCTAGACAGTGCTTAACCTACAGTAGGTGCTCAATGAATGTTAAATAAATGAATGCATTATTTCATTTGAAATTTCTCAACTCCATGTGCTAAGCAGGGCAAAGGATGTTGTCTTTCATTTTACAAAAGTAGAAAGTGAGTCCTAGAAGGGTGGTGTAACTAAAGCCAGTAGAAAACTAAGGAAGCCTCAGTCCTTTTTTTTTTTCTTTTGAGACCGAGTCTCACTCTGATGCCAGGCTGGAGTGAGTGGCGCGATCTCGGCTCACTGCCTCCACCTCCCGGGTTCAAGTGATTCTCCTGCCTCAGCCTCCCAAGTAGCTGGGACTACAGGCATGTGCCACCATGCCCAGCTAATTTTTTTATTTTTAGTAGAGACGGAGTTTCACCATGTTGGCCAGGATGGTCTCGATTTCTTGACCTCGTAATCCGCCCGCCTCGGCCTCCCAAAGTGCTGGGATTACAGGCATGAGCCACTGCACCCGGCCAGTCTTTTTGATTCCTAATCAGGTCTACATGGGTAGGGTGAGGGTAGAGAGGCTCTGACATGCCCCTAGCAGATGTCCCAGATCTGTAAGAGGCCTCATCTAGGCCCCTGCTGACAAACTACTCAAGGATAAAGTGATCATAAGAAGAGGAGATAAGAAGTTATTCCCAATAAAGAGAATGGGAAAATAGGAATTGCAGAAACCAGTGGCCTGTGGGTTAGGAGAGGAGGCTGATGCTATCAACGGACAGCTGGCTTATGGTGCCCCTCAATTCCACCCCCACCCCTGCTACTTACTTTGCCCCCTGGAGGTGTGAGTTCCCCGTCACTGGAGGTGTTCAAGCAGGGCCTGGATGTCTACTTACAGAGCATGCCTGAGCTGGAGAGTACACATCTCCCCGTGAGAGAAGGCAGGCTTGCTGTCCATAGAACATTCAGTCAGCCACCGCCCGGCCCCACACTAACACAAAAAGAGGCTTTTGCACCACCTAGTGGACATGGTTTTAAACTGCAGGCCTTTCCGTGGAGAGAAGCCCACAGCCCAGAATCCCATTTCCCGTGCAGTCTCCCTGACCCCCTCAAGGATCAGAAGGCCCACAGCCCCACTGTGCTTCCAGACCTCAGCCCTGCAAAAGGGAAGTTGGAAAAAGAGAGCAGAAGCCTGTGATTCTCCGGAGGGAAACTCTCCCTGGTGCCTCTCAAGCCGAATTCACTAGCACCACTTTGTCCAGTACTGTCCCCAATAGGCACACTTCTCACGTCATCTCTCCCTGGGGACTGCAATGGTTTGCTCATCAGCTACATCTGTTTCCCCTACTTCTGTGCAAACTTTCCAAGCCAGGGCCCTATTCCCCTTTGTTTACTCACCATCACTCCCCATCCCCAGTATATGAGCAATTAACTCAAAAGGATTCGGGACTTTAAAAAAATCAAGATCACGATTAAAATATTTCTGAGTTGCATATACTGGTTTCAGAACAACCTGCTTTAAACTCCTCACTCAAGTTCTGGGGCTGTCCCATTGGTGGCTTAGTTCCCACCGAGGTCCTTTGAGGGCCGAGGTGTCACTGAGGGAGCTCGCCAGCAGCGCAGGGCCCTGACACCGGCATTCAACAGGCTCCCTCTGAGCTCACACTGCCCTCGCATTTACCACCAGATACGGACATTTCTGCGGTACAGGCCTTTGCTCTGTAAAGGTCTGTGTTTTCTGTGTGTCTCTACAAACCTTTTGTGAGAACATTTGAGTAGAAAATGTGGATCACTAACACCGTGGGACCAGAGGAGGAAGCCAAGGAAGACTGTGGCCCTAGGATCCTCTGTGACAAAGAGGATGGGTCCCCAGCATCAGCCCAGGCTTCCTGCAGTTAAGAGCCCAAGACCCAGCAGAGCCACCAGGATTAAATCAAATGCTAGATCTGGAACTTTCCTATGAAGGAAAAAGCCTTTCTAAGAAAGAATCCACCTAACAGAGAAGAGGAAGACCAGAGCTCATGCTCATGGGTTAATGCTGTAAATGGTTCAACTGGACCAAGACAGTGACTTGTATTATTTGTTTCATTAATGAACTTTTTATTATACTCATTTTTCATAAATTCTTTATCTATTGTCAGTTCTTTAATTGTAATGTAATCATGCCTGGCCACTTTTTCAAACCATGAGAATGTATCTCCTGCTTTTTAAAATTCTTTGTTGGCTGGGTGCGGTGGCTCACACCTGTAACCCCAACACTTTGGGAGGCCAAGGCAGGTGGATCACCTGAGGTCGAGACCAGCCTGACCAACACAGTGAAACCCTGTCTCTACTAAAAATACAAAAGTTAGCTGGTGTGGCCGGGCGCGGTGGCTCACACCTGTAATCCCAGCACTTTGGGAGACTGAGGCAGGCGGATCACGAGGTCAGGAGATCGAGACCATCCTGGCTAACATGGTGAAACCTTGTCTCTACTAAAAATACAAAAAATTAGCCAGGCGCGGTGGCGGGCACCTGTAGTCCCAGCTACTTGGGGAGGGGGCTGAGGCAGGAGAATGGCGTGAACCCGGGAGGCAGAGCTTGCAGCGAGCCGAGATCGCGCCACTGCAGTCCGGCCTGTGTGAAAGAGCGAGACTCTGTCTCAAAAAAAAAAAAATTAGCTGGTGTGGTGGCGGGTGCCTGTAGTCCCAGCTACTCGGGAGGCTGAGGCAGGAGAATCACTTGAACCCAGGAAGCAGAGGTTGCAGTGAGCTGAGATCACAACACTGCACTCCAGCCTGAGTGACAGCAAAACACCTCAAAAAAAAAATTTGTGAGAAGTTCACTTTGACACATGAAATTTTCAATGACCTGCCACTTTTCAGGACTTTAATTGTATGAAAAATGGATATAAACTCAATGCCTCACCTGGTGCCCGGTACAGAGCAGGTACTCAATTGATGTTTGTAGAAGGCAGGCCTAAATGAACCCCCTTACTCCAGGCACCCAGGGGTCCATCCCCAGACCACGGCCTGATCTCCCTGGGGAGATGGAGAAAAGGTGGCATGGCCTCAGGGCTGAGTGCAGAGTTCCGGAGTCGGGATCTCTGGCAGTGATTCATGCCTGCTCTCCTAGTAGCCCAACCCGGCCATGATGGTCTCAGTGCTGGGTGAGATTCATTGCCTGAGTTAAGGCCTCATCGCTGGGAAATGTAGCTGTTGACATCCATCAACCCACCAGCAGGCAAACACCACTTATAACTGGAAGAAGTGATCTAGGAATCCATCCTCCTGCTTCATCTTGGACCCAACCACAATGCTGAGAAGAGGAAATGAGGTGGCTTCAGGAGCGAAGAAGCTGGGCTGGGCCATGTGATCTTGCGCAAGTCACTTCGCTCTGGCGGCAGTTCCCTTCTCTGTAAAATGAGGGCCTGGATAAATTCATTTCGACAGTCCCTCCTAAGCCAGGTATGCAGCTCTGGGGTGAGGAGGTGATAATGTGTCCAGAACTGGTGGGTTCTTGGTCTCACTGACTTCAAGAATGAAGCCGCGGACCCTCGCGGTGAGTCTTACAGCTCTTCAGGTGGCGCATCTGGAGTTTGTTCTTTCTGATGTTCCGACGTGTTCAGAGTTTCTTCCTTCTGGTGGGTTCGTGGTCTCGCTGGCTCAGGAGTGAAGCTGCAGACCTTCGCGGTGAGTGTTACAGCCCTTAAGGCACCGCGTCTGGAGTCGTTCGTTCCTCCCCGTGGGCTCATGGGCTCGCTGGCTCCAGGAGTGAAGCTGCAGACCTTCACGGTGAGTGTTACAGCTCTTAAAGCAGCACATCTGGAGTCATTCATTCCTCCCGGTGGGGTCGTGGGCTCGCTGGCTTCAGGAGTGAAGCTGCAGATCTTCGCACTAAGCGTTACAGCTAATAAAAGCAGCGTGGACCCAAAGAGCAAAAGAACAAAGCTCCCACGGTGTCAAAGGGGACCAGAACGGGTTGCCACTGCTAGCTGGGGCAGCCTGCTTTTATTCTCTTATCTGGCCCCACCCACATCCTGCTGATTGGTAGAGCCCAGTGGTCTGTTTTGACAGGGTGCTGATTGGTGCGTTTACAATCCCTGAGCTAGACACAAAGGTTCTCCACCTCCCCACCAGATTAGCTAGATACAGTGTGGACACAAAGGTTCTCCAAGGCCCCACCAGAGTAGCTAGATACAGAGTGTCGATTGGTGCATTCACAAACCCTGAGCTAGACACAGGGTGCTGATTGGTGTATTTACAAACCTTGAGGTAGATACAGAGTGCCGATTGGTGTATTTACAATCCCTGAGCTAGACATAAAGGTTCTCCAAGGCCCCACCAGAGCAGCTAGATACAGAGTGTGGATTGGTGCATTCACAAACCCTGAGCTAGACACAGGGTGCTGATTGGTGTATTTACAAACCTTGAGCTAGATACAGAGTGCCGATTGGTGTATTTACAATCCCTGAACTAGACATAAAGGTTTTCCACCTCCCCACCAGACTCAGGAGCCCAGCTGGCTTCACCCAGTGGATCCTGCACTGGGGCTGCAGGTGGAGCTGCCTGCCAGTCCGGCGCCGTGAGCCCGCACTCCTCAGCCCTTGGGTGGTGGATGGGACTGGGCGCTGTGGAGCAGGGGGTGGCGCTCGTCGGGGAGGCTCAGGCCGCACAGGAGCCCATGGAGCGGGTGGGAGGCTCAGGCATGGCAGGCTGCAGGTCCCCAGCCCTGCCCCGCAGGAAGGCAGCTAAGGCCCGGTGAGAAATCGAGCGCAGCGCCGGTGGGCTGGCACTGCTGGGGGACCCAGTACACCCTCCGCAGCCGCTGGCCCGGGTGCTAAGTCCCTCATTGCCCGGGGCTGGCAGGGCCGGCCGGCTGCTCCGAGTGCGGGACCCGCCAAGCCCACGCTCACCCGAAAGTTCAGCTGGCCCGCAAGCGCCGCGCACAGCCCCAGTTCCCGCTCGTGCCTCTCCCTCCACACCTCCCTTCAAGCTGAGGGAGCCGGCTCTGGCCTTGGCCAGCCCAGAAAGGGGCTCCCACAGTGCAGCGGTGGGATGAAGGGCTCCTCAAGTGCCGCCAAAGTGGGAGCCCAGGCAGAGGAGGTGCCGAGAGCGAGCGAGGGCTGTGAGGACTGCCAGCACGCTGTCATCTCTCAATAAGAGAGGCCATGGGGCATGGGCTCATCGCAGAGCAAAGTCAAGGAGCTGGAACAGTCTCAGAGGGAAAGTGAAAGGGGCAAAGCATTTTCCCATCGATCCTTTTTCCAAAGCCACCTGCCTGCCCCCCTGCCGGTGAGTACCATCGAGGGTCCCAGATAGGACTAAGCCTGGAGTTTCCCTGCTCATGGGCTATCACAGCTTTGAGCCCCAAAGTCCAAGAGTCCTTATCAAGGACTTCTCTGCAGTGACTCAAGGCCAGTGCAGGCGCCAGCAGAGACGGGGATTTCCTGACCGGCTGGGGGCAAGAGGCTGAGGTAGTTTCCTCCTTCTGAGAAAGAAGATATGAATCCGAGGAGTTCTATTCTTGGTTAAATGAAAATACTCCCTTCTCCTTCTACCTGAGCTTTACCTGACGGCTTGCAAGGGCAGAGGCTCTGGCCCTCAGGAGGCCCCAATCAGTACTTGGGGCTAGGGCACAGAGGGAGAAGCTGACCCATTGGACCGAGGTGTTTTCATGCTTCAGAGCAGCTTCTGGTCTGCAAAGTCTTCTCAGCTAACACAGGTGAAGCACGCCCCACAGAGCAGGCAAACATTAAGCATTTCACAAGTATTGCCTTATGGAAGCTTTCCGACAACCCCAGAGGTCAGGTCAGGAGAAGGAGCCCCATTTTGCAGACGAGAAACCTGAGGCCCCAGAGAGGCGGAACACCTTGCCCAAAGTCCCACAGCAGATACAGGGACAGGAGCATAGGAAGCCACAAGTGTGGGGACGGGGGCCAGTCTTCACTGGGTCGTAGTCACTGAAAACTGAGGATGAGGGGGCTGGGCCAAGTGAAATGGACTATTCAGTGAAGATGCCAAGAGCAGAGAGGTGGGGCCGGGGCCTGGCTAAGAAGCATCCACATACAGTCAGAGGTGCTGAAAGAAAACAGGTCGAAGCCCTGGGTTGTGGAGAGGCGGGCCAGCTCCACAAGCCTCTCCCTCAGTGTCCTCATCTTCACGCCTGAATGCCGAGTGAATTAAATGAGATAAGATATCCACAAGGCCCTTAGCACAAGGCCTGGCACATAGCAAACACTTAAGAAACATCGGCTGGACGCAGTGGCTCACGCCTGTAATCCAAGCACTTTGGGAAACTGAGGCAAGAGGATCACCTGAGGTCGCAAGTTCGATACCAGCCTGGCCAACATGGTGAAACCCTGTGTCTCTACCAAAAATACAAAAATTAGCCGGGTGTGGTGGTGGGCAGCTGTAATCCCAGCTACTCCGGAGGCTGAGGCACGAGAATCTCTTGAACCCAGGAGGCGGAAGTTGCAGTGAGCCGAGATCGTGCCACTGCACTCCACCCTGGGTGACAGCGCAAGACTGTCTCAAAAAAATAAAAGAAAGAAACATCAGCTACCATTGTTTTTATTGTTACTGAGGCTGTCAGTGCCGCCTGGAAGCACTAACACTTTTTCCCATTTCCTGCCTCAGCCCATTTCACAGGTGAGGAAATCTGAGGCTCAGTGAGGGACTTCATTCCCTTCATCTGGTAAATTCCATTTACAGGGGTGGGGCTGGGTGCTCTATCGGTGCCTGGCTTCCTCTCCCAGGGGTGCAGTAGGGGAGAGTCCATTCCCCTGTACCTCATTTAGCCCCAGGATTGCCCTGCCCAAAAGATGACACTCCTGCCCCCAGTGTCCTGGATGGGAGGCCTCCCAGCCTTCCCAAGCAATGGCTGTAATCCTGTGGGTACAGAGTCTGGCTGGGGATCCTGCTGCTCTGCTGGGAGGAGGAGTCTGCCTTCATGGGAGACTCGGTCCCTGCCCCATCGGTACCGGGTGCCTGGAGTCCACCTGCCCCTCACGGAGAGATTTCTGGCCTCTTGTCCTTGAACTCTATTCTGTCCTGCTCCTGGCTCTCCAGCGGCTCCAGGTGGCTGTGCTTGTCCTGGACCATCTTTCCCGGAGTCTTTAGAAATCTAGAATTCAGGCCCCAACTGCAAATCAGCTCCTGCCCCAGCTGCAGGGGGATTCCAGCCCACCCAACCCCAGTTCTGCTTCCCCTTTCACCACATCCCCTAGGCCACTCACCTGAACAGGAGTTTCTGCCCCGGTTCCTTCTTAATGATATTAAGCTTATAATAGTGGCGCAGGGCACGAGACATCTTCTCGTAGGTCATGTTCACCCGGTTCTGGAAAGCAAAGCAGCCCCACATCAGCCCCACTCCCCATGTCCTGCTCCTTCCACACCTGGAAGGGAGTAGGGTGGACTGGACAGCTTCTTAAGCCTCTCATTCCAGGGATCTGTGAGGGTTTATGAGTGCTCACTTGAGTTTGGAAGGAAAAAGGCAGGGGAAGGTTGGGGAAGAAATGATGGGGCTGGGCAGGGTGGCTCACACCTGTAATCCCAACACTTTGGGAGGCCTAGGTGGGCAGATCGCTTGAGGTCAGGAGTTTGAGACCAGCCTGGCCAACATGGTGAAACCCTGTCTCTACTAAAAATACAAAAATTAGCCAGGCGTGATGGTGCGTGCCTGTAGTCCCAACTACTCAGGAGGCTGAGGCAGGAGAATCCCTTGAACCCAGGAGGCAGAGGTTGCAGTGAGCCGAGGTCATGTCACTAGACTACAGCCTGGGCAAAAGATTGAGACTCCATTACAAAAAGAAAGAAAGGAAGGAAGGAAGGAAGGCGAAAGGAAGGAAGGAAGGAAGGAAATGATGGAAAGGTTCTCCTGCCTACTTGGCTGAGAACATAGTGTGGGAGTGAACTGCATGTTACTTTTAAACAGCAAATGTCACAACAGTAACAAATAAATATATATATTTGTGGGAAATGCAATCAGAGAGACAGTATGGTGGGGTGGCATGGATGGCCTTGCCAGGCCACACCCTGGGTGACTTTGGCCAAGTCATTTCTTTCTCTCTCGGGGGTAGGCAGTGTGAGGTAGGGCCAAAGAGCCTGGGGTGTGGCATCAATTTAAGCCCCAGCTCCACCGCTTGTCAGCTGTGTCACCTTGGACAAGTTTCTTGACCTCTCTGAGTCTGCTTCCCCAGCTACATAATGAAAAGGAGAACACCCATCGCATAAGTCAAGGATTAAATTATTAATAGCTAATCCATGAAAGCAGTTAGCACAGTGTATGGCATGTAGTATATGCTCATTAAATGGGACTGCTGCTCTCTGGGCCTGTTTTCCTCCCTGTTCTATATGAGGATTAGACCAATAAGTCCTCCCGAACTTTAGTCATCTGCATCCTTCCAGCCACCAGCACTGCTAAGAGCAGTATAATATAGTGCAGCACATGGCCTGGGTTCAACTCCCTGTTCTGCCTCTTACATAGCAGGGGATGGGTAAACTTGGGGCAAGTTGTTAGCCCTCACTGAGCCTCAGTCTCCACATCCGACAACACCTACTTCACGAGCTTGGTATGAGGATTAAATGAATTAGTACAAGTGGAGCCCTCAGGGCAGTGCCTGGCAATCAGGCACATTACATCTTAGGAAAGGCTATAAATCGATGATTATCATTATCGTTAATAGTTTTCTTTAAAAGATTTTTTTTACTTAAAGAAACCTATTTATTTTAAAAGGCTACATTCCTTATATCACTGCTGTAAATCATGAGATGGTCATGGTAGTTACATTTTGTAATCCTAATTCAAAAATAATTATGAGGATATTAAACCACCTAAGATCATCTTACAGACACCCATTTAGGTATAGGCATTCCTCATCATGGGAATGCTGGCCTCAGTCATCCCCAGGCCTTTCCAGCCCTGACATCAGATGCTCCTGTTGGGCCTGAGACCTGGGTTTCTGTCCAGCTCCCCGCAGGAAAGCAGCTTCCTCATCTGGCCTAACTGTGCAGTTCATGTAAACATGCTTCTAAAGCCTGAAATACTAAGCAAAGGTAAGATTAAGCAATGAGAAGACACAATTGTTCAGTTTCAGAGACATTCCCCATCCATAAGAGGTAACTGCCTGTCCCTCAATAGCTCCCCAAATAAAATTATCCTGTCACTTTTGGGGCTGCTGATGAAGGCCCCATCAGCTGAGGATTGTCCCATAGTGCTAGGGGTCCACTCTGACCCCCAACTCTGTCCCCTTCTGGTTATGTTGAGACCATTCTGCTGGCCGAGGCTCACCTTGTGATTTCCCCAGAGTCTGGCGAGCCCATTTGGATCCACAACTCGGAAGATCTTGGCGTCCTTGTCTTCCCACTTGATGTAGGGCTCATATCGGGTATCAAGGAGCAGCTGATACACGTAATCCCACAGCAGGCGGCAGTCTGCAATTTAGCACAGGGAGTGCAGGCAGCGCAGCTTTACTGGAGCTGTGAGGACAGGTGTTAGAAAGGCACTCTTGGAAGCCTCCCGGCCAGAGCCCTAGGAGCACCAGCAGGAAGGTGAAAATGATGATATCAACAGAAACAGCCACTAATGGGGCTCCTCACGCATTGTCTCAGGCAGTCTTCCTGAGTCTGGGAAGTCGTTACCTTTATCCCCAGGAAGAGGTGAGGAAATGGGCTCAGAGGTGCAGAGGTATCTAAAGTTGCCAAGCTCCTAAGTGGCAGGTAGAGCAGGGAGTCTGACCGGCTCCACCCAGCATCAGAGCCATGTGAGGGCAGGTGCTGGGCCCACAGGCTGAGGGGCTGGGCCCCTGACCCCAGGTCCCTCTCTGCCCCTGGCCCACTCACTCAGCCCCCTGGACTTCTATTAATTATAACATCCACCCCTTCAAGCTCCCTAATGGTGAGGCTCAGGAAAACCAGGCATGCCATTGGGAGGGCAAGTGGGCATCCGGGAGCAACTGTGTGATCTGAAATCCCAGGACCTGGGCCTGTCGGCTGGGCCATTGCAGGCAAGTTACACAACCTTCTCTGAGCCAGCTTCCTTGTATGGGGTGGTGAGAGAATTAGGTAACATAATAGACCACAAAACCCTCAGCACAGTGCCTGGTATACTGTAAGTGCACGAAGAATGTTAAGCATTATAATTGAAGAATTCAGTAATTGCAAGAGGCTGAAGTGGGAGGATTCCTTGAGCCCAGGAATTTGAGGCAGCAGTGAGCTATGGTGGCATCACTGCACTCCAGCCTGGCAACAGAGTGAGACCCTGTCTCTTAAAAAAAAAAAAACCCAGTAATTGTGGATCATTGTGTTTGTTATTGATACATAATATTTATGCATGTTTCTGGCGTCCATGTGAGATCTTGTTGCATGCATAGAGTGTGTAACGATCAAGTCAGGGTACTTAGGGCATCCATCACCTCAAGTATTCATCATTTCTATGTGTTGGGCCAATTGTTTTTTAGTGACTTCTAGTCATTTCCAACCCAAAAGCCAGGCTTCTGCCCACTCTGTGGCTTCATAGAATAAATGTGGTGTGGACATAACAATGGGAACAATAGACACTGGGCACTGGGGACCACTACAGGGGAAGAGCCAGGGTGGAAAAAACTACCTATCACAGGCCGGCACGGTGGTTCACGCCTGTAATCCCAGCACCAAAGGAGGCCGAGGTGGGTGGATCACCTGAGGTCAGGAGTTCAAGACCAGCCTGTGGCCAACATGGTGAAACCGTCTCTACTAATAAAACAAAAATTAGCCAGGTGTGGTGGTGGGCGCCTGTAATCCCAGCTACCCAGGAGGCTGAGGCAGGAGAATCGCTTGAACCCGGGAGGCAGAGGATGCAGTGAGTTGAGATCATGCCACAGCTCTCCAGCCTGGGCAAAAGAGCCAGACTCCCGTCTCAAAAAAAGAAAAGAAAAGAAAAGAAAAACTTCCTATCAAGTACTATGCTGAGTACCTTGGTGACAGGATTATTCATACACCAAACCTCAGTGGCACGCAATTTACCCATGTAACAAACCTGCACATGCACCCCCTGAACCTAAAATAAAAGTTGAAAAAAAAAAAGAATAAATGCAGTGTCACTATTATGACTAGAAAAACACCCTTCAGCTTATCTGTCAGTCTGTCTGGTTGTCTGCCTGTTAATCCTTTAACAATGAATGCAGAGTGGAAGTGTATCATTTGGTTAGCGCTCAGGATCTGGAGCCAGACTGCCTGGGTTCACATCACACCTCAACCAGTGCTGTGTGATCTTGGAGAAGTTACTTAACCTTTCTGTGCCTCAATTTCCATATCTGTGAAATGGGGCTAATAATAGTACCAAACTCAAAAGGCCATTGTAGAATTAAATAAGGGCTTGGGAACCACGCCTGGCACATAGTGAATGCTCAATTATTTTAAAACAGATAAAGTTTTAAAAGGCAGGTGTGGCACTCCATGCTAATGTGAGTGTCAGAATATGACTGGGTAAATTGTCCCTGTGTGGGAGACAGGGTGAGGCTTGGTGATCCCAGGTATCACTGCCCTCTGTGACCAGATTGTGGCTAGCACACAGGACAGTCAACGCTACCCTGCAATCCCCCAGCCACAGACCTCCCATCACCAGGTCAAAATAGCCCTGTCCTCATCACTCGTGACTCTGAGACTCAGACTCAGTGCACCTTCCATGGCCAGAGGAACAGCCTCCCACTCACCAGCGATCCTGCCGTCAATGGGGGCCTGCGGCATCGCGGGGAAGGAACAGACCCCCTGGGTCCTGCAGCCGAGCTCTGCACAGTGACATAAGTTGAGGGACTCCTCCTTGCCAGGGGTCCACCTTGCCAGGCCAGGGTCATCCAGGTGGCCGAAGTTGCTGGTAAGCCCTGGGTCTGGTGGCTGCAGCAGGTGGCCCCTTCGGGTGTCCATCTGAGAGGGGCCAGTCACCTCTGCAAGCAGATGAGCACCAGTGGTAGCAGGCAGTGGGCCCCAAGCCTCCCCAACTCAATCCCTCAATGGTGAGCCTGGGAGCCCTGTGGGGCAGCACTCCTGATGCTCTTTCTCCAACCAGCCCCTGGTTAGAAGGTCAGGGAGGCAGTGGGGGGCAGTGGGTGAGGGCCAGACAGCCTAAGTGCTAACCCCAGCTCCCACACAAGTAACAACCTGTCAAGCCTGTTCCCTCATCTATGAAAATGGCTGCAAAGCCAAGCAGTGACAGAGCCAGGTCTAGAACCCAGGGGCCCTGTATCCCATGTCCTCTCCATTTGCCCAACGAGTATTTATTGAGAGCCTTCTATGAACCAGGCATTGTTCTAAGAATCTTGAGCATATATCGCTGAGCTCCCAAAGCCCCTGCCCTCAGGGAGCTTATATGCTAGTTGAGAGCAGGGGAGATGGACGATTAAAATAAAAAGGAAACAGAAACAGTATACAATATGAGGTGAAAAAAATAAATCACCCTAAGGCAGATAGGGAAATCTGGGAAAGGAGCAGGGGTTGCCACTTTAGAGAGGCTGCTCAGGCCTCCCTGACATTAGCATTTGAACAGACCTGAAGGAGGTAGAGGAGTGAGCTCTGTGGGTATCTAGAGCAGAGAGGGGATGCCAGGCAGAGGGAACAGTAAGTGCAAAGGCCCTGGGGCAGGAGCATCTCAGACTTGTCCAGTGAACAAGAAGGCCCGAAGGCCCGTGTGTCTGGAGCAGCAGGAGCACGGGGGAGAAGGCTGGGAGGGGAAGGCAAGGGCAGGAGTCAGCGGAAGAACTGCACTTGGACTCCGAGTGAGAAGGGAGCTGCTGGAAGATGCTGAGCAGACAAGTGACGTGACCTGACTTCTGAAACTCTCTGTGCTGTGGAGAATAGATCATAGGAGGTCAAGAGCAGAAGCAAGGAGACCAGTGAGGACGTTCTCCAGAGGCAATGGGGGCTGGAATGGGGCAGCAGGAGAGGAGTGAGAAGAGGTTGGATTCTGGACAGATTTGAAGGTAGGGCTGACAGGATTTATGGACAGTTGGGATGAGTGGGGGTGGGGGTAGAAATCTAAGATGACATCTGAGCAATTGGAAGGGTGGAGGTGGGGTTTGTGGGGCTGGGGAAGACTGGAAAGGGCAGGATATCAGGCATTTGGTTTAGGGGCTGGGGGTGTTGAGAGGCCTACTAGATGCCCCAGTGGAGGGGTGGGGCAGGCAGCGTGGGTGCACATATCTGGAATTTGGAGAGGTTGAGGAAGACATATATTGGAATCCTTGGCACCACATGGTGTTTAAGACCCAGGATCAGATGAGATTGCCCAGCATCTGAATGCAGATAGAGAAGCAGAGAGGGGTACCCCAACATCTAGAAGCAGGGGAGAAGAGTAGAAACCAGAAGAGGAGGTCGAGGAGACACCAGTGGGGTAGAGGAGACCAGGTGAGTGGGGTGTTCTGGAAGCCAAGGGAAGAAAGAGTTTTGGGGGAAGGAAGGAGAGGTGACCCCCAGGGTCAAAGGCTGCGAGAGACCACAGTAAATCAGGACTGAGAGTGGCCATGGAATGGACATCCTTATTTTCAGGTTTCTGGAGACCTTGACAAGTGGTTTCCACGGAGGGCTGCAGAGAGGAAATTGAGACATGATACAAACAACTCTTTGCTGGAGAGAGCAGAGAATGGGGAGGTGGGAGGCATGGAGGGTGCAGCACAGAGGAAGGGCGGCCAGGAACGCCCCAGAGCAGGAGGTGGGGGTGGGGCGGGAGGGGAGCTTGCCCACACTGGCCACCTCTTTCATTGCTTCGCCTTGAGGATGTCCTGCCCTCCCAGTGAGGCTGATTTGAGGGAGGTACTCCGAGCACCACAGAGAGCTTCCTCACCTTCCGGGGGGACTGGAGAGTGCTGGGTGGGCGTCTTCAGCCTGAAGATCCCTCCAAAAAAGGGCCCACACACCAGGGCTCGCCGCTGGGTCTTGATGTACTGGAGCAGCTCATACAGGACGTCACCTGGAGGTGGGTGGGAGGGAGGGCAGGCTGCTGAACAGGCCACGTGGGGAGGGCCAGCCTCATCCCCCTGCAGCCACCTGCCTCAGGGCAAGGGCTGGCATGTCTTGTCACAGCTTCATGCCGATGGCAAAGGGGTTCCTGCTGCAGCTAACAGGAGGCTGGGCTGGCAATGGGCAGAGATGCTGCTGCTCCCGTGGTGGATGAATTTTAGAAAGACATCCTTTCCTGCCGGTACACGCAGCCGCCTCCAGGGCATGCAGCTTGCAAGGTCAGGCTGTTTCTCAACCCTCGCACACACCCTTGGCTGAGGGCTTGTGCACAGTGCATAAACTGTGCAACTGTACCTCACGTTCCTGGGAGCAGAGACAGTTCTAAGGCTCATGGGATTCCAAGCTTTATTGAAAGTCTGCCCTGCCTTCTAAGGAGCAAAGCTGTCTTAGCCTCTTCCTAAAAGGCAGAATGAGTAGCTGCTTCAATAAATGGTTGAAGAAAGGAAAAGCCAGGTGCGGTGGCTCACACCTGTAATCCCAACACTTTAGGAGGCTAAGGCAGGAGGATTGCTTGAACCCAGGAGTTTGAGACCAGCCTGGGCAACATGGATAGACCCTGTCTCTACAAAAATTTTAAAAATCAGCTGGGTATGGTGCGCATATCTGTGGTCCCAGCTACTTGGGAGGCTGAGGCAGGAGAATCACTGGAACCCAGGAGGTTGAGGCACAAGTGAGCTGTGTTCACGCCACCAAACTCTAGCCTGGGCAATAGAGTGAGACCCTGTCTCAAAAAAAAAAAGCCAGAATTGGGCTCTGTCCTTGGTCCCAGAAATCTTCTTTGACTCATACCTTGGGCTAAGGTGCTGATAGTAGGGCAGGAAAGAGGGGATCTGTGGGTAGAGAGCCAATCTGGGGATCCCAGGCAGCCAGAGGGATACAATGTAGACAGTGGGCACTCGAGGACCAGGAGTGCTTGTAGGAAGGTGGAGAGACGAACAAGGGCATGAAGGGGACCAGCCCCAAGCTCACCTGCTTCCCCGCTTTGCCTCAGTGCAGGACCATCAGGGCTGTGGGGAAGCTGGAAGCCTTGTCTCTCTGTCCCTGCCCTCCCCTCACCTCCCACTAGAGCTCTTGAATCCAAGCTCTTAGAGAGACGAAAGTTCCAGCAGCTGCTACAGGAGGCTCACAGTGGGAAGTGGGTGATAGAACTTGGGATGTCAGCTGGGAGCAGTGGCTCATGCCTGTAATCCCAGCACTTTGGGAAGCCAAGGTGGGCAAATCACCTGAGGTTGGGAGTTTGAGACCAGCCTGGCCAACATGGTAAAACTCCATCTCTACCAAAAATACAAAATTAGCCGGGCGTGGTGGCAGGCGCCTGTAATCCCAGCTACTCAGAATGCTGAGGCAGGGGAATCGCTTGAACCTGGGAGGCAGAGGTTGCAGTGAGCCAGGATCGCGCCACTACACTCCAGCCTGGGCGACAAAGTGAGACTCCATCTCAAAAAAAAAAAAAAAAGAACTTGGGATGTGACATGAGACTGGGCTGTATGTGTTAGGTATAAACAGGCAAATCAGCAGATTTCAGAACGTCTCTTTGCCAAATACACTGTGGGCTTGCTTGGCCAAAAGACAAGGAACACAGAAAACATGAGCGAATTCTTAAGAAAAAGACACCAAATCAGCACAAACAAAAGAGCCACTGAAAACAAGCCACACAAGACTCAGATGCGATTCTAGAGGTTCCTGGAAGGCCCTGCTGCCCGCTACCACTGGCCACCCTCCCTCCCACCACCAGTCCCTCCCCACAAACTCCGTGCTGCTGGAACACCATCATCTGACATTCATTCCTTTGCCCTCAGACCTAGTTTCTGGTTAAAATCAAAAGTCATATTGGAAGTCAAGGATTTTGCTGTTACCACCCATTTATACCTCAGTGTGAATGAATATTTGATCTTTCTCTAGTTGGTTTTTTGTTCAGTAGGGGTAGCGGGTGGGAGGCAACAGGATGGAAGTGGATAGAGGAGACAAGGGCCACAGATAAAGGGAAGAGAAAGCGAGAGAGCAGAACAGGCCCCTACAGCTCTGAAAACAAGTGGTCAAATGGACTCCCTTGCTGAAGGCCTGCTCTAGCTAGGAACCACCAGATACACACGTATGCAGAGGGGCATCTGCAGTGCTGGAAATGAGCATGATTCCCCAAGGAAGACCCCTCCATCTCCCTCCCTGGGCCCCCCGGGGGTACTTGGGCCATCCTGGCCTACCAGGGTTCCCGCTTAGAGGAAAGCCTGTGCGTTTCCCTGACCTGAGCTGGGCGCACGGTGCCGGAAGTCGTCCTTGGTGAGGATGCAGAGGGCGCGTCCGTTCATCTCGAACCCGTGCTCCGCGGTGCATGGCAGAGAGTACTCCTGCTCTGCCCAGCGCAGCCAGTGCAGCACGTCCTCCCTGCTCCACAGTGCGGGCTGGATGCCTGCAACCAGCAAGGACCAGTCCCATCACTCCCCGTCGGGCCTCCTCAAAGAAGCCCACCCTGAACACTTCATCTGAGCAGATGCTCCCCTGTCCTGGCCCCCAACCCCCATCATCTTCTGTCGCTGCCACCTGTTTCTTTCCTTCCTAGCATGTTACGTTCTTTGTAATTACATTTTACATTGGATAGAATTATGTGTTCGTGTTTGTCATTATGTATGTAGCATGTATTTATTCACTTATTTATTGTTGGTACCTCCCCACCACCTGTTTTCCAATCATTCATTCAACAAGTGTTTAACGAGAACCTACTATGTGCCAGCACTGGACTAGGCGTGCTGGAGCACACTGTTATGTGTATTCAGCACCTAGAACAGTGCCTGGAACACAGTAGGTGCTCAGAAAACACATGTTGAGTGAGTACTTGAATGACTGAACAACCCAATGAAAGGGGTGTTACTGGCCAGGCGCGGTGGCTCATGCCTGTAATCTCAGCATTTTGGGAGGCCGAGGCGGGTGGATCACAAAGTCAGGAGATTCAAACCATCCTGGCCAACACGGTGAAACCCCATCTCTACTAAAAATACAAAAATTAGCTGGGCATGGTGGCATGCACCTGTAGTCCCAGCTGCTCGGGAGGCTGAAGCAGGTGAATCGCTCGAACCCGGGAAGCAGAGGTTGCAGTGAGCCGAGATCATGCGACTGCACTCCAGCCTGGGCGACAGAGCGAGACTCCCTCTAAAGAAAAAAAAAAAAAAAAAAGGAAGGGATGTTATTGTTTCCCAAATGAGGCAGTGAGGCTCCCAGAGGTTAAGTGACTAGCCCACACGCATACAGGCAGCATGGGGCACAGCCGGGCTGTCTGGCTATTGAACTTTTCTGCTCCATTGTGCCAACTTGGAATCAGGTTTGCTCAGGGAACAGCCCAGGGGACAAAGGGAGCCTCCTACACTCACCTTCAGTGCATGTGTTTTTATTTCTGGCAGTAGCCAGACAAGTGGCTGCTTATTCTCCCCACGTTTCCACTTTGCCTGGGACTGCTACGCTCCTAATGCCAAGTTTTGGATAGTGTTCAGCAGGGCTACGTTACGACTTCATGAGCCCTTGACACATTTGCCTTTGTGGGCAAAAAATATTTAAAATACACTGAGCGTGGTGGCTCCCACCCGTAATCCCAGCACTTTGGGAGGCCAAAGTGGGCAGATCACTTGAGCCCAGGAGTTTGAGACCAGCCTGAGCAACTTGGTAAAACCCCGTCTCTCCAAAAATACAAAAAAGAAAATTTAGCCGGGCATAGTGATGCACACTTGTGGTCCCAGCTACTTGGGAAGCTGAGGTGGGAGGATCGCTTGAGCCCGGGAGGTCACAGTGAACCATCATTGCGCCACTGCACTCCAGCCTGGGTGACAGAGTGAGACCCTGTATCAAAAAAATACATAAATTTAAATCCTATTTTATGACTGCACTGGTGTAAAGACTCAGAGCTCACTGGGTTCAGTTCTACAGGTAAGAAAGTTGAGGCAGAAGAGAGAAGCAACTGTCCAAGGCCACACCTTGGCAATGATAAAGACCAGACCAGCCTCTGCTCCCTTATACTCAAAGCAACACAGGAAATGAACTTAATTTTAACATTTAAAACAAAGGAGATCTGCATCTTTCCTTGTTCATTCATTCAGCCAATATCTAATGAGTACCAGCTTGTGTCAGTCACTGTGCAGGGCTAGGGACACGGCACAGAACCAGGCTGGCAGGAGGGAGGAGCCCCACCACCAATAACTCTAACGATAGTCCTCCCGACGGCACACAGGGAACGTTCACTGTGCTGAGAAAACAGAAAGCAAGGAGCTAGAGCCCAGTTTAAGAGTGAGGAAAGGTTTCCTTTACTTCTATTTTGGGACCTAAAAATGAGTAAGAGAAAAGAGTACATGTCTGAAATTGCCAAAAAAATTATTTAAGGCAGGAAAAAAGAATACATGTGAGAACTGGCCTCTGTGGTACTGCATGTGACAAAGCCATGTAACTAAGATCAAATGGTCTTATGCTAAGATTGGCAAGTATCATTGGAAAAGAAGGTGGAGCCCAGGAGCAAGTAAGTGTTCATGCACGCACACACGCGTGCCTATGTGTGTATGTATATTTTGTAAAGTTAATACATGACAGAGGCAGGATTTTAATTCAGAGGGAAAGGATAGTTAATCTAATATGGAAAAAAAAAAAAAAAACCTGACTCTCCACCTGGAAAAAAATACATTTGGGTCCTCACCTCCCACCATTCACATTCACAAAAATCAATTGTAGGTAGATTAAAGGCATAAAGAATAGAAAAATACAAATCTTAATAGAAGTAGAAATCAAAAACCAAATGCACTCAATAAGAGCAGAGAGGACCTCAACCATGACAGGAAACGCAGAGGCTGTAATAAAAACGAAACACACATTTGACTACATTAATTTTCTGTGTTTGCTGCAAAAGATACCATAAACAAAACTAAAAGAGGGTAGATTTCAGGGAAATATTTGCAATGCAGATGACAGATAAAAGGTTAATGCCTACCATAGGTCAAGAGCATCTGTAAATTGATTTTTTTAAAGACAAAAAAAATCTTTCCAGCAATCCCAGCAAAGCAGGATTTCTCAACCTCAGCACTATTGACTCTTTGGGACTGATAATTTTTTGCTGTGAAGGCCTATCCTGTGTGTTGCAGGATGTTTAGGAATACCCTGGTCACTATCCACTCAATGCCAGCCTAGTTCTAACAACTAAAAATGTCTCCAGACACGGCCAAATGTCCCCGGGGGGAAAGGAGCAGCAAAATTGCTGCCAGGTGAGATCCCCTGTGGCACAGCAAATCCACCAATAAGCATGTGACAAGACATGTCACCTCAATAGTCAGGGAAATGTACCATCAGAGAAGAATAAGATATTTAATAGCAGGAGTGCAGGGAAAAGGATGCTTTGCTGGTGAAGATAGGAATTTAGAGCCGCGATGGGAGATGAGTCTGGTGATACATGAGACGCCGAAAGCTGACTTAGTGTAAAATGTGGAGGCCACACGATGGGCAGATTCCTGAGGGGTCGAGGGCAGGCCTCCACAGCCAGCCAGGGCTTCCGCGGCTAGGGTGTCAACCGCCAATTGCATTGTACCTGAACTCATATTTTTTGTGTAGTTCCCCTAGTTCACCATATTGGAGGCGTCAGCCTGAAAATTCAAAACTGTGATTCCTGGCCTGTTGTGGTGGCTGAGGCCTATAATTCCCAGCAGTTTGGGAGGCAGAGGAGGGAGGATCATTTGAAACCAGGAGTTTGAGACCAACCTGGACAACATAGTTAGACCCTTGACTCTACAAACAAAAAAATTTTTTTTAATTAGCCAGGCATGGTGGTGCATGCTTATAGTCTCAGCTACTCAGAAGGCTGAGGAGGGAGGGATTGAGCCCAAGAGTTCACGGATGCAATGAGCTATGATATTGCCACTGCACTCCAGCCTGGGCAACAGAGTGGGACCCTGTCTCTTAAAAAAAAAAAAAGAAGAAGAAGAAGAAGAAGAAGAAAAAGAAGAAGGCCGGGCGTGGTGGCTCATGCCTGTAATCCCAGCACTTTGGGAGGCCAAGGCAGGCAGATCATAAGGTCAGGAGTTTGAGACCAGCCTGGCCAACATGGTGAAACCCCATCTCTACTAAAAATAAAAAAATTAGCCAGGCACAGTGGCACGTGCCTGTAATCCCAACTACTTGGGAGGCTGAGACGGGAGAATCACTTGAACCCCAGAGGTGGAGGTTGCAGTGAGCTGAGATCAAGCTACCGCACTCCAGCCTGGGTGACTGAGCAAGACGCCATCTCAAAAAAAAAAAAAAAAGTAAAAACATACAACAACAACAGAAAGCATAGATGATGTTGCCAGGCCAGCTGTAAATAATGTGACCTAAATGACAGTACCTCAGTTTCATCATCAGTGAAACCAAGGATGATGAAAAAAATTGTACTGTCCACACAGGGCTGTCACAAGGATGCTTTCAGATAACCCATTTAAAAGCAGCATCTGGCATGTGGCATGTGCTTTTTGACACACATAGAGCTATAAATGTCAATTAGGTAATACACGTAAAATGCGTGGCACAGGGTCCAACACCTGGTGGGTATTATCTAGGGCGTCAATCACCCTCAAGAAGTCTCCCTGACCCAGTTGCCAGGATGAGAGTAACTGGGGCTCCCCTTCCCAATGTAAGGTGAATGTGGGACTTCACCTGCAGATCAGCCCCCGGCCTCTCCCTCTCTTGGCAATAATCCATTGCATTTTCAGTTCTTTCCCATTAACCATCTTTGTCTCTCAAGACTCCAGGCAAATGTCACCTCACTCTCCCGGCCCAGTGGCCTGCTAACTGAGGATTTCCAGCTTGGCCAGCTCCCGACTCCCAGCTCCCAAGGCAGATATGGACAGAGTCCCCTGGCTGGGGCAGCAAGAGGAGCTGCCTGTCCAGGACACAATTGGAGGGCTCAGGTGTCTCCCTGAAGAGTCAACACTGTTGTCCCCTACCTCCTCCCAGAGCAGGGCTACATGTGGGGGCTCCCCTCCACCTCCCAGCTATATCACGTCCACTGCCCTTATCTGTGGACATAGCGCTTCTTTACATAGTCACTGAATCCCCAACTAGAATGTAAGCTCCAGGAGGCACAGACTTTGCCTGTCTCAGTCACTGTGGTCTCTCCAGCCCCTATAGCAATGCTTGGCACATAGTAGCTGCTCAATAAAAATAAATTGCTTAAATAAGTGAGTTGAGCAAAGCAGTGTGGGGTCACCCCCAGGGCCTCCTTGCCTGCCCCTTCTCCAGCCCCTGACTCCCACCCCGACCCCGACTGGACCTCTCTTCCCACAGCATCCCTTTTACTCTCTTGCTGAAGAAACTATTGTTCCCAACTACCAAGCCCATCAAGTCAAAACCCCTCTGTCCTGGTTTCAAGACCCCTCAAAGTGCCCCTCCCCACCTGACCAAAGCTATTTCCCACCACTTCCCACCACACCCCTGCAGTTTACTGGGTCTAGTGAGCTCCAGGAGCCACAGAGCCTGACCAGCCTTTAGCAACCAAATCAGAATGAACAGCTGGCTTCTCCCTACCTTGCAGGATCCCCTTGCAGGAAGAATGCAGGAGGCAGTTAAAGTGCTTGGCCAGTACCCTAAAAATGGGAGCTATCATCATCTGAGGCTAGAGGCAGTTTCTCAAAGCAAATGACAGCTGTGGGGTCTGAGGGATGCCGGTTCAAATCCCAGCTCCACCATTTTACTGGTAGGTGGCTTTGGACAAGATAATTCACCTATGGCCCAGTTTACACAACTGTAAGGCGGAGATAACAAAAAAAGCTACTTTCCATGCCTACTGAATATATTCAATCAGATAATAAATACGGTATGCTCATCACAATACCTCGTCAAGAATAAAAACTCAACGAATGAATGGCCTTTATTCTGATGATCAGGATGCTGATCATCAGACCCCAGCCTGAAAACAGAGAGACTAGCTTGCTTCTCTGCCATGATGACTACGTTTTATCAATTATCATGTCCTTAGTTTATTGTGTGTCATGGTGTCTTCAGAGACTCCTTAAATCTGTCACCCCATTGCTTGGCCCCATTGTCTTGGTCGATAATCCTTTTCTTGGTAATCACACCAAGCTTTACGGTCATCACCACACTGTGGGGGCAGGGCCAGTGCATACAGTTCACGTTGTGTACTGCACAAAGATACCATCAGAGGAGGGGAATGGGAGGATGGAGGTGAAATCCAGCTGGGACTTTGATTGGCTTCTCCCCAAAGGAGGAGTCTTTCCAATTTGCACAAAGATGCATATGGTCTAGCCCAGACCCTGCATTTAGGGAGGGGAGAGGTTCTTTATCCTCATATTAATAGTTCTTGGAATTCCCCATCTGCTTGTTTGGGTCCTCACCGCCACATTCCTTTTCATTGCCAGGTGATGTCACTGTCAGTACTCACACGTTCCAGTGAATTAGAACACTCGCTTTTAATCTCCATCCTCCCATTCCACCCCACCTCTCTGGTGTTTTACACCCACATCCATCTAATCTCCTGCTTCTCATAGGCCATGATCTAGGGCAGCATTTCTCAAACCATTTTTGACCTCAACCCATGGTAAACAAATAATATTTTGTACCCACACACATATATAAAAATAGCCTAAACAAAGTAGTCACGAATCTCAGCTACCTTTACTATTTATAATGCGCTCTGATGTGTTGTTCTATTTCAATTTTTAAAAATATTTATCTTGGTCCACTAAGTGGATTTCACTTCCTTAGTAAGTCTTGACCAGCACTTTGAAAATAAATAAAATGTGGTTCTCAAGCCAGCAGCATCAGCATTACCCAGGAGTTTATTAGAAATCTGCAGAATCTCAGGCCCCATCCCAGACCTACTGCTGAACCAGCATCTGCATTTCAACACGGTTCCCAGCAGATTCATGTGCACATTAAAATCTGAGAAGCCCTGGTCTGGAATACCGGGAAGCCACAACTGTTAGCGCTGATCTATTAAATGAAGTGCCCAGGAACTCTCTCACATGTGAAGGATGTGAACTTCAGCATGGGCACCCAAAATCTGTTCAAGCTTCCCAAAGGCCCATTTCTCCTGCTTTACACCTCCAGGGAGTCACAGAGAGGTGTTATCCCTCTCCTTGCAACTCTGAATATAGGACACGGCACTCTACGTCTCTTCCCATGGCTTATTTACAGCTAGGAGCTTTGAAAGTCAATTTCAAAACACAAAGAAGTCTCATTTCCTTTGCATCCAAAGTGAGAAGTTCACAGACCTTTTCTCTGGGGAATAAGCTCCAGGGAAAAGAAGAGACGCAGGACCGAGAAGTAAGAGTCCTGGGTTGGAGGCCTAGTCTGGCCATTAGCATCACAGTTGACCCTTGCCCTCCCTGAGTCTCAGTTTCTCTGTCACTGAAGAGGCCATGGTGGTGACCATCTCTGAACTGCCTCCTCTCAGAATTCTCCCAAGTTGTCCCTTGAGGGTGCATCACCTCCTCCCAGTCCCCTGTGATATCAGCCCAGTTCTGAAAATGGTCCTAGAGTCTGCACTGCCAGCTGTCCCTGCCCTGCAGCTGCGTCCCCCCATAGCTCCTGACTCACTCTGGCCTTGGGCAGACCCTCATGGCCATGGACCGGGGATGGGGAGGTGAGAATCCTCTTTTGTTCCCCATTTCCATACAGGGAAGCATAGTTGTGAATCTCCGTGAATCCCACTCCTCCATCCCAGTAGACCTCCTGACCCTTGCCACAACCCTGGACATCACGGTTGTCCTCAGAGTGGACTTTCCACTGCTTTACTACACATCTTTGTCAGGAAAATCAACACAAAAAAAGTGAGCTCTACAGGAAAATAACTTCCGTGCTCCTCTTAGCATCAACTCACAAGGCTAAACAAGATCTGTTTTGTTTATTCACTTCCTGCTGAGGCAAATCAGTCCTGACTACTAAAATGGAGGTTGGAGGTAGGGGAGGGAATGGGGTGGGTGACGGGGAATAAACATCAGAGAGATGGGCAGAGATGGAAACCCAGCTTCCAGAAATTTAGGAAACTGGGCTGAGATCACCCCCAACAGGGCTGAAAAGTCGAATCTTCATTTGGTGTCAGCAGTTTGCTTGTTTGGGATGCTGTTGACAGGAAAATGAGTCATTTGTCATCCCCTATCTTTTAAAACTGTCAGGTATTTACTAAGGGCCAGAACTGTATTGTCTGAATATTTGCAGATGTTCCAATAAATATGAGTCATGGAATCTAAGATGACAGGTATAGAAGATGCTGCTGGGGCCCTGCCCATAGGCCCTGCCTCTCACCTCCACACTCTGAAGGCTGCCGAATGCCCCATCTGACTCTGCCTTGGGCTTTTTCTGGCTGCAGGAACCCCTTAGCCAGTGTACAGGGTAACTTGGAAATGCTGGAGAGCCAATACCCCTGGAAACAGCATTCATGCTGTCATGGAAGGGAAGTGAGTGGATAATCCCCTTACCCACTGGTTGGAATAACTTAGGATTCACTGTCCCCAGAGATCCCCGTGGTGCTAACTGGACCAAAAGAACACCTTTGGGATTTCCTTCTCTTCTCTGTCTTTCCTCCCTACTCCTCACCAGTGTTTTAGGGTCTGCTCCTGGGGAAATCTAACCCAAGGCAACAGAACTGGTAGCTCAGGAGTTCTAATCTAGGAGAAAATAGGCCACGGTGACCTGCACCCTGAGTTATGCAATCAGAGAATAGGCTGCCTCAAGAGGGGAGGAAATGCCTGTCCCTAGAAGTGTGCAGGAAGATCTGGTGACCATCTCAGAAGGGCCCACAGAAGTGATCCTGCATTGTTTGGAGGTCCTGGTGTTCTTGATGAAGATCCCTAGTCATTCATTCATTAATTCATTCAATAGATATTTAGTGAGCCTCTGAGCTTAGGAAGTTTGGTCTTAGGGAAATAGGATTTCCCAGGGCTCAGAGGAGAGTTGTGGGTCTTGTGTTTGAACCTCACTATTAGAAAGTGTTTCTTAGAAGTTGTGTTAAAATTTCTAACCTTGGCCGGGTGCGGTGGCCCACACCTGTCATCCCAGCATTTTGGGAGGCCGAGGCGGGTGGATCACAAGGTCAGGAGTTCAAAACCAGCCAGGCCAATATGGTGAAACCCCATCTCTACTAAAAAATACAAAAATTAGCCAGGTGTGGTGGCACACACCTGTAGTTCCAGCTACTCAGGAGGCTGAGGCAGGAGAATCGCTTGAACCAGGGAGGCGGAGGTTGCAGTGAGCTGAGGTCACATCACTGCACTCCAGCTTGGGCAAGAGTGAGACTCCATCACAAACAAAAAGCTAAAGAAAACTCAGCAAAGAAACAGCAAACAGAGGGAAGGTAAGTTAATCTTGGCACCTGGCAAAAATTAAATTTTTAATTGACAAATTATAAATAATAATTGTATATATTTATGCAATACAAAGTTATGGTATGAGATATATATAAAATTTTGGCCAGACACAGTGGCTCATGCCTGTGATCCCAGCACTTTGGGAAGCCGAGATGGGAGGATTACTTGAGCCCAGGAGTTTGAGAACAACCTGGGCAACATAGAGCAACCCTGTCTCTTATTTAAAAAAAAATTTAATTTTAAGGGCCAGGTATAGTGGTTCAGACCTGTAATCCCAGCACTTTGAGAGGCAGAGGCGAGAGGATAGCTTGAGCCCAAGAGTTCAAGACCAACCTGGGCAACATACTGAGATTCCCATTTCTACTAAAAATTTTAAAATTAGCCAGTGTGCCTGTAGTCCCAGCTATTGGAGAGGCTGAGGTGGGAGGATTACTTGAACCCAGGAGCTGGAAGTTGAAGGTGCAGTGAGCTATGATTACACCACTGCACTCTAGCCTAAGTAAGCAACAGAGCAAGACCCTGGATCTAAAACAAAATAAAAATTTACTTTTAAAAACTCAGCTTTTCTCCTCCCCTCTACTTACGGAGTCTTCCTGGCAGCTTGCAGATCCCCCCTTCACCCAGCAGGTTAATTTGAGCTTCACATCTGGCTTGCACGTGGGTGCCTAGGGGAGGCATGGCTGCCACAGGGCTTATAGGAGAAATAGCCAATTCTCCCTCCTAGAGAGAGAAAAACCAGGACAGTCAAAGAAGAGCATCTTGGTGAAGGCTCAGCCATCTTTAAATGTCTTAAGAATTTTTTTGGAAGGGAAAGAGTGTTTATCTCCACCAGAAGACTGCATCAACCTTAAAGGTAGGAACCATGTATATCTTCAACTCAGTACCATCAACATTTTGTACCCAGTGGACACAATAAATGACATCCTTCCAATTCAAGCTTTCCATGCATGTGCCTAACTCCAAGAGGGATCCCCTGCCAAGACTTGTATGATTGAAATCTGAAAGCCTAGGAATCCTCACTGGATCCCTGGTGAGGACAACACAGGAAACCTGAGGGGCCAGGATCAAAAGACCTTAAATCAGAAATAAACAAATAGACCAGGTGCGGTGGCTCACACCTATAATCTCAACACTTTGGGAGTCTGGGGCGGGTGGATTACTTGAGGTCAGGAGTTTGAGACCAGCCTGACCAACATAGTGAAACATTATCTCTACGAAAAATACAAAAATTAGCCGTGCGTGGTGACCGGCGCCTGTAATCCCAGCTACTCAGGAGGCTGAGGCAGGAGAATCACTTGAACCCGGGAAGCGGAAGTTGGAGTGAGCCAAGATCACGCCACTGCACTCCAGCCTGGGCAAGAGAGCAAGACTCCGTCTCAGAACAAACAAACACTATTTTCAAAAGAGAAAAAGAAAGGATAAGGATACATTTCTGAATCCTAAGGTCTCACCACGGGAAGCCTGTATCTTTACAATTCAACAATCAGCATGGCCCCCAGAGATGACGGGGTTCATCCATTCAGATGAGAAAATGAAGAAAGTGGCAGGATTTTGTAGGAATAGGAAGCTCCTTCGGGCTCATGCCCAGCCACAGGCTGCCACAGCACGGAAAGGAAAAGTGAAACCAGCTCCATCAAGTCATTTTTCACTCTAGGATTGTCAAAAGCTTTACATTCATCTCTTGGGATCCGAGGAGAGATATCTGCCGAGAGAGAATTTGGATCGGAGCCAGCAAAGCAAACTCCAGAAGCCTTGGCTGCTGCGAAAGGGGATTCAACACCTTTCCGGGTCGTTCTCACTTCATTTCCAGCCGGTCCCCCTTTGGTGCTGTTTCCCAAGTAATCAGACCTCAGGGGTTGCCTCCTGGTGGGGAAAGGGAAGCTTGCCTTGCTGGAGAAGGGGCTCAAGGCACAGGACTTGCCTCGGACTTGCCAAGGAGGCTTGCAGGAGGCTCTTTGTCTACTCCTCTGTCCTCATCCAAGTAAGAGGAGCGGGGAATTCCGAGGCTGTAACTGCCTGGGAAACGCCAGCCACGGAGCTGCTGAGGATCAGACTCCTGGGTTTCAGCATGGAGGCCAGGGAAGGGTCTGATAATGGGTATGGGTCCTGGCGAGAGGGGAGTGGAGAAAGGCCTTGGAGTGGGACGGGGCGCCAGCTCTGGGGGCAGTCTCGAGGCACCTAGAAAACCGGCGAGTGGGGAGAGGCTGCTAAAGAGGGGCTCCCTGCGAGAATGCGTTCACCAGCTGTGAGGACCTGGCTGGCGCACGAACTTCCAAAGACCTCACATCTGGTTGGTGTAGGGGCGACCAGTGGTAAGGGGGCTGCGGAAAGGGCCCGCAGGGGCTGTGCGTGATGCCTTCAGAGCTGTGTATGACACCGAGAGAGTCAGGGGCGGTGACCCGCGTCTGGAGGTGGAAGGGGAAGTGAGTGAGGGATGGATGTGAGGTTTAGGAATGTGTTGGAAAGAGAGATTCCCGCCAGGTAAAAGGTCTGATAAAATAGGTTTGGAAATCTAGGTGGTGAGGAAAGGATGCGGGAGCAGGTGGCTCTGCGTGCGCGCTGCGTGTTCAGCCGCCAGGCTCTTACCTGCATTACAGGTGGAGGTGAGGAAGCCACCGGCTTTCTGTCTTGAGCGCTCCCCTGGCTGTGGCTGCTGGGGCCCTAGGCCCGCGCCCCGCAGTCCTCCTCCGCCAAACCCCTAACCTGGCTCCGAGAACTGGAAGGTCGCGTGGGAGGAAATCTCTTTCGAGAAGCGCCAAGGCGTGTGCGCCCGGGTCCTCCGCAGGCGGGCAGGCGCGCGAGGCGCTCCGGTAATCGCTATCCTTCCGGGAAACGAAAACGAAAGAGCGGGATGCGGTTCCACTTGCGCCGCTGCGGGCTAGGAGCAGGGCAGGGCAGGGCAGGGGCCGGCCCCGTGGGAGCGCAGCACCGGGGCGCTGCCCGCTCGCTAGCCTGGGAGGCGTGGGTCCTGCACACAGCCTCCAGCCGGCGGACAGTCCCTCTGGCGACCTGGCCTTGGCTCCCACTGGGGCAGAGCCGGGATTCTGCAGGATCTGAGGATCTAAGGGGACCCCTAGTCCTGAACTCGGAACCAACTGCGTCTCTCACGGTCCCGAGCCCAGGACCAGGAAGGACCCTGTGAGTCTCCGCACATAGGATAGGAAGGGGCCTCGCATGGTGCCTCTCCCTTTAGGGGTGAGTGACCTTCCCGGCCCCGATACTGTCTCGGCCTGCCGTTTGGCCCCGCTGAGGCCCCACAGGTCCGGAACCGTCGCACCACCATCAGAGCGGCTGTGCTCTCCTGAGCAGGGCCAGACTACTCGGAGATCCCGACTGACACCTTTTCCTGGGCCTCTGGGTGCTCCGGGGTTGGTGCCTGCCCACCCATCACCCTTTCCATCTGTCTCAGCTCCCCCTGTCTCAAGAGAGGTTGTGCGCATAAAAACAAACCAGAAGACACCGAAGAAAAGGAAAGAAAAGCATTAACAACCTTCTGCTGAAAATCTGAGGGTGTAGACGCTGTTACAAAGTAGGCTTAGCACTGGTATATCATCACAAGCTCTAGGCCAGCAATAAGAAACCAGTAAGAACAAGGCCAGAAACCCAGTAGGAAAAAAAAATGAGCAAAGGATATGAATAAACAGTCCACATAAAAGGAAATGCCAAATGGCTCCTGAATATACAAAAAGATGCCCAGGGTGCAGTGGCTCATGCCTGTAATCCCAGCACTTTGGGATGCCAAGGTGGGAGGATCGCTTGAGCCCAGGAGTTGGACACCAGTCTGAACAACATGGTGAGATCCTGTCTTTACTGAAAATTTAAAAAATTAGCCGGGCATGGTGGGGCTACACCTGTAGCCCCAGCTATTCAGGAGGCTGAGGATGGAAGATCGCTTGAGCCTGAGAGTTGGAGGCTGCAGTGAGCCGTGACTGTGCCACTGCACTCCAGCCTGGGCAGCAGAGAAAGAAAAAGATGCTCAGACAAACTCACTATTTTAAATGTGCAAATTAAAGTTATTCTGAGATAGAAATTTTTACCCATAAATTTGGCAAAAATTTAAAAGTTTACTAACATAATCTGCTGGAAAAGCTGAGGTAAAGTGGTGCAACCCCACAGCGGGGTCTGGCAAATTTACAAATGCATTTTCCTTTCACCCAGCAATCTGCCTACCAGAAATTTATTCAACAAATATCCAAAGTATACATAGTTACTTATTTAATCATGGTTTATAATAGCAAAGTATGAGAAATAACTCAGGTGTCCACAAAAGGAGGCTTGATAAACTAATGCACATTCATTTCTTTTAATTTTAATTTTCTATTTTTTTTTTTTTTTTAGAGACAGGGTCTCACTCTGTCGCCCAGGCTGGAGTGCAGTGGTGCCATCAAAGCCCACCTTAACCTCCAACTCCTGGGCTCCAGTGATCTCCCACCTCAGCTCCCAAATCACTGGGATTACAGATGTGAGCCACCACACCCAGCCAAATTATGTACATTCATTTAACTGAATACAATACAACACTTTATGGAGTTCTCTGTGGATCATGGCAAGCTCTCCAAGAGGCAGTATGGCATAGTGGATAATAATCTAGACTTAGGAACACCTGCCTGGTTTGGAATCCCAGCCATGTCATTTACTGGCTGTGTGCCCTTGAGCAAGTTTGTGTTAACCACTCTACTGCCTCCCTCTACTAACTACTGCCTCAATTTTTTAACAGTAAAAAAGAGCAAATAATAATACCTATCCCATAAGGTTGTTATGAATAAGTAAGTTAACTTTTATAAAACACCCAGAACAGTGCCTGAACACCCACGCTAAGTAAAAAAATCAAGGTACAAAACAGTGTGTATTACATGCTACCTCTTGTATGTAAATATACGTGTGTGTGTGTGTGTGTGTGTATGTATGTATGTATGTATTAATTAGTATTTATACAAAGAACCTCTGGAAGGATACATAAAAACTAATAAGCATAACTGGAATTTAGAGTAGAAAATAATAGAAAGGGTTTTTGTTGTAAACCTTTTCACATGGTTGTGATTTTTTTTTTTTTTTCTGAGATGGGGTCTTGCTCTGTCGCCAGGCTGGAGTGCAGTGGCATGATCTCGGCTCACTGCAACCTCCGCCTCCTGGGTTCAAGCGATTCTCCTGCCTCAGCCTCCCGAGTAGCTGGGACTACAGGTGCGTGCTACCACACCCACCTAATTTTTGTATTTTTAGTAGAGACAGGGTTTCACCATGCTGGCCACAATGGTCTCAATCTCTTGACCTCGTGATCTGCCCACCTCGGCCTCCCAAAGTGCTGGGATTACAGGCGTGAGCCACTGTGCCTGGCCTTGTTTTGATTTTTGAATCATATAAATAAAAACCTATTCAAAATAAATTTTAAAAAGACAGTTTTAGGGCTAGTCAGCCAGAACCTAAGTAATAATAGAAATAAATATGCACTGCCTGCGACAGACTAAAAAATGGAGACATTTCCCTTTGGAAGGACAAAGTCAATGCTATGTATAATCAAAGTCTACAAACCAATATGAGCAGGAATAAGTGGCTAGACCCTGCTGTGGGGTTCCTCCTTCAAAAAAGAAATATGCACAGGGGTTTCATGCTCAATAAAATAACAATATTTATTTCATTTTTAGAATTTTTTAAAATAACACTTCCCCTATGAAGAACTCAAGATACATATGTAAACTTTTAATTTATAACAACAAGCTTTCCTAATATTTATAATTCTTTTAAAGGAGGGGAGAGAGGGACTATGAGGTAGACAAAAAGGTAAAAGAAGAAGCATGCAGGTGAAAGAACTGCCTAACAGCGTGCAGGAGAGAATGAGTGAAATACATTCCACAGGCAAAGGGCCCACCAACCAATAATAGCAAAACCATCCAGCAATAGGAAAAGAGAAGTTTTTGCCTAGTGATAGATTCATAACTCTTTCAGGTCTTACATTCTTCTAGAAGGCAGGACTGTTGGCCAAGGACTAAGCACTCCCGATTTTAAGCAGGCATGCCTAAAAGAGGATGACAGAGCAGGGAAAGATACCTTCGAGCAGGGTCGAGTGGTATGGGAAAACACTGGAGTGGTGAAGGAAGACTTGAAGGGGGTCACAGAGGAGTGAGGGGATCAAAGGTGAGAAAAGAACGTAAATGTTGTAGAATCAGAGCCTGAGAAGGAAACACCCAACGGTGCTAGTGGTAGTAGTGGGGCCTCTAGGCATGGAAATGGGAAGGTAGATGAGATGAGCCATATGTTGAATTTGAGTATTAGAGACAAATGTTTCACTTCGATTTTCCAGAGAGGGTTGGAGCCAGGATTGGGGCAGGGAGGTGACATGTCACCGAGAAGGAGAAGCTGGCACTGCAGATCTGGACATGAGTGACAAGAGTGGAGCCAACAGGTCACCAGAGGGCATGGTGCCCAGGGAGTGGGCCAGGAGGTAGTGCCCATTTCTGTGGCCTTTAGTTTGAGGACGAGGTTCTCTTTCATTCCTGGAAGGAAATGTTCAAGGTTTCCTCACAAGGAGCCCTGGGACCATCCACAGCGCTGGTGTTTTCTGGGCAGCAAGGCTTCCTGGGGTCCTAATTACTCCTTGGGCTTTACCGTGATGTGATCGCAGACATCTCATAGCTAGCTCCTCCGAAGAGACAAATGGCTCGTGAACCCGCAGTTCTTCAACAAACTGGGTGTAGACCAACAGTGATGGGTACAAAAAGAGGGAGACGGAGAAGGGTGTTCTTCCCATCTGTCCCAGTGGGATTCATGTTTCTCAGAGGGTAAAAAGAAAACAGAACTTGACCACTTGACCTTTACTTTCCTTTTACAGCAAATGGTTGTTCCAGAAAAAATGCAGCAACACCTGAACTCTTCTAAAGAAAAAGAAGACAAAATGATCTAGTGCATCTCTGCCATCCTGTTGAAGATCCTATTTGAAAAAAGGGAGACACAGAGAAAGGTTTTTTTTTTTTTTTAAAAGTGATAGAATAATCCAAAGTTAAAAATTCAACACAATGGAAAATATTAATTCAATCCATGCTGCAAACAAGCTTCTTGGGTTGCTTTATGAATTGTATGAGCTGAAGGACAGTACCTTCCATATGGTCATATCCTCACAACGCCTCTGGACATATTTTCCTATCTGACCGTCTTTCCCACCTGGCCTCAAACTCCTGGGCTCAAGTGATTCTCCCACCTCGGCCTCCCCAGTAGCTAGGACCACAGATGCATGCCACCATGTCTGGCTAATTTTTAAAAATATTTTGTGCAGACAGGGTCTCACTATGTTGCCTTGGCTGGTCTCAACAAACTGGGGCTCATCAGTAAATTGGGGCACTCTTTTCAGGGCTGATAACCTATTCCCCTGGATTCCCAAAACACTTTCTTAGTTCTTTCAAAGAGGTGAGCAAGTTTGCCTTGAGGCTAGAAGAATGGAGAGAAGACTGGGCATGGTGGCTCCTGCCTGTAGTCCCAGCACTTTGGGAGGCCAAGGCAGGTGAATGGCTTGAGTTCAGGAATTTGAGACCAGCCTAGGCAACATGGTGAAACCTCATCTCTAGAAAAACTGAGCCAGGCATGGTGGCACACACCTGTAGTCCCAGCTACTCAGGAGGCTGAGGTGGGAGGATCACCTGAGCCTGGGAAGTTGAGGCTGCAGTGAGCTGTGATTGTGCCACAGCACTCCAGCCTGGGCAACAGAGGGAGATCCTGTCTCAATAATAATAATAATAATTAATAATGTCTAGGACTTAGATGGGCAAAGAGGTGAGGTGAATATTAAGTATTTTGGAGCAGAAAGTAACAACTGTTTATGTCGGAACATCAGAAAAAGAAGACCATGGGTCAGACACAAATGCTCCCCCGCCTGCCCCCTGCAGTCTGTTCTCAGCACAGCCCCCTCTGTGGACTGTTGAAATGCGGCTTCTCTGCTCAGTGCCCTCCGATGGCACCACCTCACTTAGAAAAAAAGTCCTTGCAGTGACCTCAAGGCCCTACCTAATCTGCCCACCACCCACCCTTCTGACCATATCTTTTTTTTTTTTGAGACAGAATTTCGCTCTTGTTGACCAGGCTGGAGTGCAATGACACGATCTCGGCTCACCACAACCTCCACCTCCCAGGTTCAAGTGATTCTCCTGCCTCAGCCTCCCGAGTAGCCGGGATTACAGGCATGCACCACCAAGCCCGGCTAATTTTTTTTGTATTTTTAGTAGAGACAGGGTTTCTCCATGTTGGTCAGCCTAGTCTCGAACTCCCGACCTCAAGTGATCCGGCCTCCCAAAGTGCCGGGATTACAGGCGTGAGCCACTACGCCTGGCCCTGACCATATCTTTTATGACCTTCTCCCTCACTCAGCTTCAGCCACACTGGCCTCCTTGCCATTCTTCAAACACACGAGATGCACTCCTGCCCCAAGCGCTTTGCTGTCCTCCTGCCTCCAATCCTCTGCCTCCTCCCCAATATCCACAGCTCAGTCCCACACTTCTTTCAAGGTTTTCCTCAGAAGTCACCTTCTTGGTGGCTCATGCCTGTAAGCACTTTGGGAGGCCAAGGCTGGTGGATCACTTGAGCCCAGGAGTTTGAGACCAGCCTGACCAACATGGTGAAACACCCCCTCTACTAAAAATACAAAAATAGCCAGGTGTGGTGGTGCATGCCTGTAATCCCAGCTACTCGGGAGGCTGAGGCATGATAATTGCTTGCACCTGGGAGCAGAGGTTGCGGTGACAACTTTGTGCCATGGCATTCTAGCCTGGATGACAGAGTGAGACTATGCCTCAAAAAAAAAAAAAAGTCACCTTCTCAATGAGGCCTTCCCTTAACATCTCTACTTAAAATTGCAAACCCCAACACTCCTTATCCCTTTCCTTGCTTTATTTTTCTCCAAAGCATGTATCTCTATCTGATAAACTACATACTTTATTTGTGTAGATACTGTTTGTCTCCCTTAAAAACTCCGTGAGATCAGTAATATTGTCTCTTTGATCACTCCCATATCTCCGGTACTTAAACAGAGCCTGACATACAGCAGGTGCTCAATATAAGTTGAAGAAATGAATTCAGGAAGGAATGAAAAACCATTAGCAGTAGGCTAAGGAACTTAGACTTTGTCCTGCTAGTAACCGAAAATCATTAAAGGATTTTTCTCCCCCTCTTATAGTCGATATCAGCTAGGAAAACGGAATGAGTTTCCTTTCAGCATGGCAGACAAGAAAAAGTATAGAACACTGAGTCAGATGCTCATATATTTAAATTCTAGTTTTGCCACTTAGAAGCTAAGTGACCTTTGATAAGTTTTGTAATCTCTCTGAAACTCCATTGCTTCTCCTGAAATACCTATGACAGTAATTCATAGGGTTATTGGGGGAATTAAATGAAACATGTAGAAGTGTCTCAAACAGTACCTGGAAAAAATGTTTTAATAAATGTTTGTTTCCCTCCCTTCTTTCTAACAAACTGAGAAATTCCCTATGCATTATGATATCAGTCAGATTCCCAGAGGAAACAGATGGCACACCCAAATTAGGCTAATTCGAGGTGAGTTAAATAAAGAGACTCTAAAAGGTGTGGAGAAACCACAGAGGATGGTGTAGTACCTAGACCCGGTGACAACTCTGTTGGGGCATAGAGACAGGGGCGTAGGGACAGGGAGGGAGGAGTTTCCAGAACCCAGAAGGAGAGAAAAATTTCAAAGGCATATTTAAAATTCTAAAAGTGATGAGAAGCCTAACTATTTTAAAACATGCTTTATATCTAGAAAAAGCATATGTCCCGGGTTTAAAAAAAAAACTGAATTAAAAAAAAAAGCAGATACTTGAACCAAAACCCCACACAACTCAATGGCAAAATAGAAGATTTTTTTTTTCTTTTTCAGATTCAGGGTCTCCCTCTGTCACCCATGTTGAAGTGCAGTGACACAATCATAGCTCACTACGGCCTCGAATTCCTGGGCTCAAGCAATCCTCCCACTTCAGCCTCCCAAGTAGCTGGACTACAGGCACACACCACCACACCTGGCTAATTTTTTTAAAAATTGTTTTGTAGAGACAGGGATCTCAAACAAAAAAAAGAGAGAGAGAGAGACAGGGGTCTCACTATGTTGCCCAGGCTGGTCTCAAACTCCTGGCCTCAGCCTCCCAACGTGCTGGGATTACAGGTGTGAGCCACTGTGCCCGGCCTAAAAGATGTTATTTTGAGAAACACAGAACACTTTTGAAAAGACAGAGCACTTGCTTAAGTAAAAAGAACAAGAGAGCAAAAAATTTGGCAGCTCAACAACAATCCATTTAGCAGATAAAAATATAAATTGATGAGCTGCTTGATAGGCAGTTCCAAGAGCAAGAATAAAAGTTTCTTTAAATACATCAATGGCAGGAAGGCATCTAGAGAATCGATGTGACTGCTTGATTAAACAGAGTACAAAAGGTAAATAAATGATGACTATATAGGAAAGAAAGTTACCATGCCAGACTTGAAATTCTGTTAAAGTTCCTTGATTTGAACTTTGAAGCAGCAAAGCCTTCAGCATTTCAGAGCCAAACTTAGGATTTTTTTTTTTTTTTTTTTTTTTTTTTGAGACAGGGTCTCACTCTGTTACCCAGGCTGGAGTGCAGTGGCACGATCACAGCTCACTGCAGCCTTGACTTCCCAGGTTCAAGCGATCCTCCTACCTCAGCCTTACGAGTAGCTGGGACTGTGGCCACCACACTCGGCTGGAATTTTTCAAACTATTATTTTTTAAATGTGTTGTGGTCTATTTAAAGGTGTTCTAGGCTGAGCGCGGTGGCTCACGCCTGTAATCCTAGCACTTTGGGAGGCCGAGGCAGGCAGATTGCTTGAGCCCAGGAGTTTGAGACCAGGCTGGGCAACATGGTGAAATCCTGTCTCTACAAAAAAATACAAAAAAATTACCCAGGTGTGGTGGTGGGCAACTGTGGTCCCAGCTACTCTGGAGGCCTACGTGGGAGGATTCCTTGAACCTGGGAAGTTGAGGCTGCAGTGAGATAGTGCCACTGTACTCCAAATTGGGCAACAGAGTGGGACCCTGTCTCAAAAAACAAACAAACAAAAGAAGGTATTCTAAAGTACAAGTTTACAGGTTTATAGTACAGAACAAATGTCTAGGTCAAAACCAGCTTTATAAAGTTCTGCAAGAAAAGCTGGAGCAGGCATAAGGATAGCTATACAGATCAGCGGAACAGAATTGAGAGTACAGAAAGAAACCCTCATATTTACAGCCCACTGGTTTTCAACAAGGGTGCCAATGATGGCAATGGCTGCTGTCCTCATGCTGGCTGCAGCAGGAAGGTGCAGCTGGGGCCACATGCTCCATGGAGCCAGTAGGAGCCCAGCCCCTTCTGAGTTGGGGCAGGAGCTCCCTGGGTGCCACTGTGGCCACCCTCCCAGTTGCAGGACCCAGGCATCTCTGCAGCTTGCACCCTCAGGGGCCCCAGGAAGCACCCTACCCCTACCCCTGAAGGCTCAGGGGTGTCTGCTGCCACTGCCTGGCCTCTCTCTGCTCCCAGAGCCTGCTCCAATCTCTGAGCAGGGGTTGGGGCTGAGTCCCGCATGGCGCCGGAGGCAGATTGATTCCTGGGTGGAAGGGGGTGGGTCCCCAGTGAGACCCCACCTTCAGGCCAGGGAAGGCCTAAAGGCTGGGGGCTAGGCTGCCAGTCCTGTGGACCAGAGTGAGGACTGGTGGTGCCTCTTCCAGGCCCACCCATGGCCACCCATCGACCAATCAGCATGCACTGCCTCCCCTCTGAGGTCCATATAAGCCTTGGGCTCAGCCAGAGCAGGGCAGATGATGTCCTCAGGACAAAGAGGGTAGAGAGACAATGGAATGATCAGCTGCAGAGAGGAGCTACCCTCCCTGCTGATAGCTGGAGATGAGGAAACAACAAGTTGCAGAGAGGAACTGCCCTCTCTGCTAAGAGCTGCAGAGATGACCTGCTGGCAGAGAGGAGCCACCCTTCCCAGGGCCGCCTCTCCACTGACAGCTGCAGACATTGGGACGACTAGTTGCAAAGAGGAGCTACTCTCTCCAGGGCCTCCTCTCTGCTGAGAACTGAACACTCAATGGATAACCTGCCTACAGAGAGGAGCTACCCACTGCGGATCTCCTCTGAGCTGTTGTAACACTCAATAAAGCTCATCTTTGTCTTGTTTACCCTTCACTTGTCTGCATACCTCATTCTTCCTGGATGCATTCTTACTGGGTGCAGGAAAAGAACTTGGGCAAAAGATGCCATGGCCACAGAGGTTTCCGGCCAGAAAATTGACACCCCAAAGATCCCATAACACCAAGACAATTTATAGGGAAACAATAGTCTTTTCAACAAATGGTACTCCAGGCACAGTGAGATGTACCTATAGTCCCAGCTACTTAGGAGGTTGAGGTGGGACGATCTCTGGAGCCCAGGAGTTTGAGGCCAGTCTGGGCAGCATAACAAGACCCCGTCTCAAAGAAATAAACAAACAACAACAAAATCCAAATGGTGTTGGGACAACAACCCATATGCAAAAAAATGAAGATAGACTCTTAACTAAAATGTATGTAAAAATTAACTTCAAATGGATCAAAGATCTAAATTTAACAATTAAAACTAAAAAGCCTTTAGAAGAAAACATAAGTGTGACACCCAAAGCAAAAGCACTAGCAACAAAAAGAAAAGTAGATAAATTGAACTTCATCAAAATTCAAAACTTTTGTACTTCAAAGTACACTATCAATAAAGTAAAAGGACAACCTACAGAATGGGATACGATATTTGCAAATCATATATCTGATAAGGAACTTACATCTAGAATATACAAATGACTCCTAGGCCAAGGCAGGAGCCCAGGAATCCAGGACCAGCCTGGGCAACATAGTGAGGGCCTGTCTCTACAAAAAATAAAATAAAATAAAAATTAAAAAATTAGCCAGGTGTGGTGACATGTGCCTGTGGTCTCAGCTACTCAGGAGGCTGAGGTGGGAGGATCAATTGAACCCAGGAGTTCAAGGCTGTGTGAGCTATGATCACAGCACTGCACTCCAGATTAGGCAACAGAGCAAGACTCTGTCTCAAAAAAAAAAGACTCCTACAATAATAAAAAGATAAGTAGTCAATTATAAATGGACAAGGATATGAATAGACATTTCTCCAAAGAGAAAAATGACCAATAAGCATATGAAAAGATGCACATTATTCATCAGGGAAATGCAAATCAAAAGCACAATGAGATACACTTCATACTCACTAGGATGGCTACAATCAAAAAGATAGTTAATAACAAATGTTGGCAAGGATGTGAAGAAACTGGAACCCTCATACACTGCTGGTGGGCCACAGTGTATAATAGTGCAGCCACTTTGGAAAACAGTCTGGAAGTTCCTCAAAAAGTGAAACATAGAGATTTCACATGACCCAGCAATTCCATTCCTAGGTATGTACCCCAAAAAAATAAAAACATGTCTACACAAAAAGTTATATACAAACATTCACAGCATCATTATACATGATAGCCACAAAGTGGAAACAACCCAAATGTCCAACCACTGGTGAATGGATAAGCAAAATGTGGTATATCGTACAATAGAATATTCAACTGTAAAAAGAAGTAAAATACTGATACATGCTACAATGTGGATAAGCCTTGAAAAAAGTATGTTAAGTGAAAGAAGCCATACACAAAGTTCCATGTTGTGTTATTCTACTTATATAAAATGTCCAGAATAGGCAAATCCACAGAGACACAAAGTAGATTGGTGGGGCTGGGCTTTGCACTGGCTGTTCCCTCTGCCTGGAACACTTTCCCACTCCAGGTGTTCTCATGGCTAGCTCCTTCATTTCCAGGCTCTGCTTAAATATCACCTTCCCAGAGATGCCTTCCCTGACAGCCCATTGGAAGTCACTCTCCATCAGTCAGTGTGCCCTGATCCTGCTTGGAGCTTGCATCCCTGTCTGACTTGGCTATTTATTGTTCATCTGCCTTGTTATCTGCCCCCTCCCCACATCATTTCTATGAGCCCTGCTGCTCACTGCTGTAGCCACCAATGCCTGGAACTGAGTCTGGCATATAGTAGGCATTCAATAAATATTTGTTGGAATGAAATTGGCTTATCAAATAGTTTATTTGATTGCCTATGTTCTCTATGTTTATTTTCTCTTTATTTCTCTCTTGCTTTATTTTATTTTATTTTATTTCATTTCATTTCATTTCATTTCATTTTTTGGGACAGAGTCTCACTCTGTCATCCAGACTGGAGTACAGTGGCATAATCTCAGCTCACTGCAACCTCTGCCTCCCAGGTTTAAGAGATTGTCCTGCCTCAGCCTCCCGAGTAGCTGGGACTACAGGTGTGTGCCACCATGCCTGACTAATTTTTGTGTTTTTCAGTAGAGACGGGGTTTCACCAGGTTGGCCAGGATGGTCACGAACTCCTGACCTCAAGTGATCTGCCCGCCTTGGCCTCCCAAAGTGCTGGGATTACAGGCGTGAGCCACCGCACCTGGCCCCCTCTTGCTTTTATAGCATTATTGTTGGGATCTCCCATTCATGTTTTGTCTCCAGGATGTTTTATTTGAGGGAAAGGCTGTGTGTTGTCCACATTTGGACCTGAGTATAAAAGAGTACACGGCACTCCCTGTGGCATGCATGGTGGAGGACAGCATGGTGGAAGCTGCACCAAGAAAGCTTCACAGGATAGTTGAATCTAAGGGCAAGAAGTTGGGCTCTGAGAGGTCTGCCACCCCGTCTGTCACAAAGCCCATGTAATCATTCTCTCCTGCCAAATACAGGTTGTTTCGGAGGAAAACTAAGTTAGCTGTGGATTTCATCACCCCCAAAATTTCAAACAGTAATCATTAGTCTTTCCTATTTTCCCTTATCATCTGTTATAATAATCAGGAGATTCTAAGAAACCGGCCAGGGTAGGGCCTGCATCCTACCCTTCGGGCTGATTCAGGGAGGATAACCACAGTCCAAGGCATAGGTTCTCCTCCCTGACTGTGCATTAGATTCACTGAGGCAGTTTTTAAAATGCCAGGTTCCCAGGCCTTACCTTGTGCCAATTAAATCAGAATTTCTCCAGGTTGGGCCCAGGCATCTGTCGTTTTTAAAACTCAACAGGTGATTCTAATTGCATCCAGTTTTGAGGGTGTGAAACAGTTTGTTACACTTCAATGTGCACACAAATCCCCTGGGGAATGTGTAAAAAGGTAGATTCTGATTCTGACTGTGTGGGCTGGTCTGACTGTGTGGGCTGGAGTCTCAGATCTTGCACATCTAATCAAGTGATGCTGATGCTGCCAGTCCACAGACCACAGTCTGAGTAGCAAGTATGAGATTAAATGCCAGCTTTGGCTCAGGTTCACAATGTTTAGATCTAACATTTGGTAATCCAGACAGCATTATTCCATTAATTCTGATAATTCCTGGGCATCTCAGACACTTGGCAGCCGTAGTTTTGTTTGCTCTTTCCTCCTACCTGACAGGCCCTGGCTGGGGAAACTGAAGCCTCACCTCTCGAACCATCCTATGATCAATGTTGTCCCCAATGTGTCTCAGCTGCATGGCCAACTTGTGAATTATTTCCTCCTGGTGATGCTTCTGAACAATGCTATGCTCCTTGGGCTGAGAAAGTAGATTATGATCTGCATTGAGAAAAAAGAGTTCAAAAGAGATAATCCCACTTAATTATCTGTAAAATCACTTACCACTAGTTACTAAAAACTGTCTTAGAAAATGAGAGGGTTGGCCAGATGCAGTGGCTCACGCCTGTAATCCCAGCACTTTAGGAGGCCGAGGTGGGTGGATCACTTGAGGTCAAGAGTTCAAAACCAGCCTGGTCAACACAGTGAAACCCTGTTTCTACTAAAAATACAAAAAATTAGCTGGATGTGGTGACGGGTGCCTGTAATCCCTGCTACTCAGGAGGCTGAGGCAGGAGAATCACCTGAACCCAGGAGGCAGAGGTTGCAGTGAGCCAAGATTGCACCATTGCACTCCAGTCTGGGTGACAAGAGCAAAACTCCATCTCAAAAAAAAAAAGAGTTGAAATTCAGTTATTATAATAATTATCAAAAAGCAAAGCCTATCTATTGGAATAGATCAGCTCTCTCCAATAGAAATATAATTCAAGCCACATATGTAATTTTAAAGTTTCAAGTAGTAAAATCAGGTAAAATTAATTTTAGTAATTTATTTTACCTAAATCAATATATCCAAAATATTATTATAACATTAATAAATATAAAATTATTAATGATATATTTTACATTTTTAAATTATACCTAAGTCTTTGAAATTTGGTGTTTATTTTGTACTTATAGGACACCTCAATTTAGATGCTAACTTTTCACTGGAAAACCTTGATCTATACTTAGATTTCATGAAGTTGACAGTTTAAAACGTAGATTCAGGCCAGATGCAATGGCTCACATCTATAATCCCAAAACTTTGGGAGGCCAAACTGGGAGGATCACTTGAGCCAGGGCAACATAGTAAGACCTTGTCTCTACAGAAAATTTAAAAATTAGCTAAGTGTGGTGGCTCACACCTGTAGTCCCACCTACTCGACTGAAGCTGACATGGGAGAATTGCTTGAGCCCGGGAGGGGAGGCTGGAGCGAGCTATGATCACACCACTGCGCTCCAGCCTGAGCAACAGAGCAAGACCCTGTCTCAAAAAAAAAAAAAAAAAATAGATTCACATATCCAGGTCATTTCAAACATACTTAAAAGGGCTCTAACAATTAAATCAATGATCAGTTTTCAAATTTAAATTAATTAAAATTAATTAAAACTTAAAATTCAGTTCCTCAATTGCACCAGCCACATTTCAAGTGCTAATAACCAAATGTGGTTAGTAGCTATTGTATTGGACAAGCAGTAATAGATCTTTATAGTTTTTCAAAATAGATTTTTCCACTATATATATAACATATATATTATATATGTGTGTGTATATATATATAATGGAAAATCTATTTTGAATAACTATATATAAAAAATGTGTGTATACATGCATATATATATATATATGTATATATATATTTTTTAATAGACACAGGGTCTTTGTTTGTTTCCCAAGCTGGTCTTGGTTTTAAACTCCTGGGCTCAAGTGATTTTCACACCTTGATATTCCAAAGTACTGGGATTATAGGAATGAGCCACTATGCCCAGCCCCATTTAATATTTTTACCCACTCTCCTTGATGAGCTCTCCAAACTTTATTTGCTTCCAGCAACCAATGAGCGTTTTTAAGCAACACTATAAGTTAACACTTGTTAGGTGCTTTGGGGAAGGTCTAAAGAATACAGACAAGGTTTCTGTCCTTCAGTCACTTAGAAACCATGGGTTAGAGATGATATATTCCCAAGTGCTTTAGGACTACAGAAGAGAAGGAAATGAATTTGGGCTAACATAGACATAAGTATGGCTTCATAGAGAAAGCAAGAGTTGTGTTGAACCTATTTCATTTCAATAAAATTGGAGGACCTTTGATTTTCAGCCTTGAACTCAAAGAGTCCAGTGGGAGAGAGACATAAACTACAATTCAACATGTTAGAGTAAGAACGAGGTTTGCACAGATGGGTCAGGAAGACATCTGAAACGAAGTAGGTGATATCTGAGTTAAGTCTTGAAGGATAAAGGATGACTAAGAATTAGCCTGGAGAAGACACAGACTGGGGAAGAGCCAGCTGAGAGAGTGCAAACAGGACATTCCAGGCAGAAGGATCAAGTGAGCAAAAGCTTGGGGGTGACAGACAGGGAGGTTTTATGCATAAACTCTAAGCAGTGCTGTTGTTGAAAGGGAGGGACATAGGAGACAAAGCTAATAGAGAAGACACAAGAAGAGGCTTGAACTTTATCCAGTAGAGATAAAGGAGAGCTCCCGGAGGGGAGGTTTTTTAAACTCCCAATGCTCAGGCCTCTCTCCACTCCAGTGAAATCAGGAGCCTTGCAGTTGGACCAAGCATCAGTATTTTTCTTTTTATTTTTCTTTTCTTTCTTTCTTTCTTTTTTTTTTTTTTGACACAGTTTCACTCTGTCACCCAGCAATGGTGCTATCTCAGCACCACCACGCCCAGCTGATTTTTGTATTATTAGTAAAGATGGGGTTTCACCATGTTGGCCGGAGTGGTCTCAAACTCGTGACCTCAAGTGATCTGCCCACTTCGGCCTCCCAAATGGTGGGATTACAGGCATGAGCCACTGCACCTGGCCAGTATTTTCTTTAAGCTCCACGGGTGGTTCCCATGTGCAGGCAAGTTTGAGGATTGATGGTTTAGAGCAGTTGAGTAACTTGCCTAGGGTTTGAAAGCCAGTGAATGTGAGTCAGGATTTAAACTCAAGTATGTCTGGCTGCAAAGCCCATGCAATTAACCTTAGCACGGACCCTGAACTAAAGCAGTACTAATAGGGATGTAATAGTGGAAACAGATTATATATTTAAGAAACAGAATAGGCTGGGATTTAGTATTAGATAGAGACAGGGAGGAAAAAAACTCCCACTTTTCAGGCTTGGGGGATTGAAATGGCAAAGGCAGCATCAGCCTGTACAGAGAACGTGATGGAGAGAGGGCAGGTGTGGAAGGCAGAGGAGGCCAGTAGAAAAGGAAAGAAGAAAACTTGAGTTCATTTATAAATTTTAGGTACTGACTAGGCATGATGGCTCACACCTGTAATCCCAGCACTTCGGGAGGCCAAGGCAGGCAGATTGCCTGAGCTCAGGAGACCACTCTGGGCAACATGGCAGAACCCCATCTCTACCAAAAATACAAAAAATTAGCTGGGCATGGTGGTACATGCCTGTGGTCCCAGCTACTTGGGAAGCTGAGGTGGGAGGATCACTGAGCCCAGGAGGTCAAGGCTACAGTGAGCTGAGATTGTGCCACTGCACTCCAGCCTGGGTGACAGAGAGAGAACCTGTCTCAAAATAAATAAATAAATTGTAGGTACCTTTATGATGTTTTAGCCAGCATTTGGATAACATTTGAAGCACAGGGGATGTAGAACTTAAGATAAAGATTTAAGAGTCATTATTCCTTCATTTATTCAATAACAATGTAGGCGAGAGGTTGTGATTGAAGGAGAGTTTATAAGGGTGATGACAGGACCTCTGGATAAGACAGATGGTTAACAAGATAGGCAAAGGAACAAAAGTCCACAGAAATGACTGAGAAGAAATCAAAGAGGTAAAAAGGGAACCAGGAAAATGATGTCAGGAAAGGCATATTTCAAGTCTTGTTGAAAATTTACTTTTAAAATGTATTAATGGGCACTGTTACTTGGTTAACTACAGTATAAGAACACAGCCATGGGTCGCATAACTGTGTTTCAGTCAACCACGGATCACGTATACAATGGTGGTCTCATAAGATTACAATAAAGCTGAAAAATTCCTATCACCTAGTGACATCATCAACACATTACTTAGGTGTTTGATGATGTTGATGTAAACAAACCTACTGTGCCGCCAATCACTCAAGTGATCCTCCCACCTTAGCCTCTTGAGTAGCTGGGACCACAGGTGCATGCCACCATGCCCAGCTAAATTTTGTGTTTTTTGTAGAGATGGACTCTTGCCATGTTGCCCACACTGGTCTCAAACTCCTGAGCTCAAACAATTCACCTGCCTTGGCCTTCCTAAGTGCTGAGATTACAGGTGTGCACCACCGTGCCCGGACTGTTATTTTAGAGTATACTCCTTCTACTTACTAAAAAAAAAAAAAGATGGGGGGAGCTGGGCGCAGTGGCTCACGCCTGTAATCCCAGCACTTTGGGAGGCCAAGGTGGGTGGATCACCTGAGGTCAGGAGTTTGAGACCAGCCTTACCAACATGGTGAAACCCTGTCTCTATTAAAAATACAAAAATTAGCCGGGCGTGGTGGCATGCACTTGTAATCCCAGCTACTAAGGAGGCCGAGGCAGAGAACTGCTTGAAACTGGGAGGGAGAGGTTGCAGTGAGCCACGATTGCGCCACTGGACTCTAGCCTGGGCAACAGAGTGAGACTCTGGCTCCAAAAAAAAGAAAAAAGTTAACTGAAAACAGCCTCAGGCAGGTCCTTCAGGAGGTATTCCAGAAGAAGGCATTGTTATTATAGGAGATGACAGCTCCATGCATATATTGCCCCCAAAGACCTTCCCATGGGACAAGATATGGAGGTGGAAAAGAGTGATATTGATGATCCTGACCCTGTGTAGGCCTAGGCTAATATATGTGTTTGTGTCTCCGTTTTTAACAAAAAGTTAACAAAGTAAAACATAAAAAAATTTTAATAGAAAAAATCTTATAGAATAAAGATATAAAGAAAATAATTTTGTACAGCTATAGAATGTGTTTGTGTTTAAGCCATGTTATTACAAAAGAGTTCAAAATGTAAAAGTTTCAAAATAAAAAGTTACAGTAAGCTAAGGTTAATTTATTATTGAAGAAAAACTGTTTTTTTTTTTTTATTTTGAGATGGAGTTTTGCTCTTGTTGCCCAGGCTGCAGTACAATGTCGCGATCTCAGCTCACTGCAACCTTTGCCTCCCGGGTTCAAGTGATTCTCCTGCCTCAGCCTCTCAAGTGGCTGGGACTACAGGCACGTGCCACCACGCCTGGCTTTTTGTAGTTTTTTAGTAGAGACGAGGTTTCACCATGTTAGCCAGGATGGTCTGAAGAAAAACTTTTAAAAGTAAATTTGGTGTAGCCTAAGTATAGTGTTTATAAAATCTACAGTAGTGTACAGTAACATCCTAGGCTTTCACATTCACTCACCACTCACTCAGTGACTTGCCCAGAGCAACTTTCAGTCCTGCAGGCTCAATTTATGGTATAAAAGATAACCACTTTTTACTTTTTATACCATATTTTTACTCTACCTTTTCTATGTTTAGATACACAAACACCATTGTGTTACAATTGCCTACAATATTCAGTACGGTAACATGCCGTACAGGTTTGTAGCCTAGGAGCAACAGGCTATACCGTCTAGCCTAGGTGTGTAGTAGGCTATACTATCTGGGTTTGTGTAAGTGCACTCTCTGATGTGCACACAATGATGAAATCACCTAACAATGGATTTCTCAGAACCTGTCCCCATCATTGACACATGACTAGTGTAATGATTTGAGTGTATGTGTGATAATAATGATGATCCAGATTCCTAAAACACAACTTAAGGTCCTTGTTTTAAAGATGCCAATCACTATCTGATTTGCCCACACCCCCTTCCAGGAGAATCTATCTTGTTGCCTAAGCAATCAGGTTCTTTCCTACATGTTCCCACCACAACCTCAGGCCAAAGTGGATTGGATCAGAGGTGGACACTTGACCCAAGAACAAATAATCCATTGCCTGGCCAAGTACTCAGAACCTAGTCCCAAAAGGAACAGGGTCACTCAGGTTCCTCTCTGCTCAATAGACTCAGGAGACTAAGGGCATGGGTGGCATTGGGATCACAAATGCCACAGGACTATGTTGGGGCCATGATGAGTTGAAGCCACTTGTAAGTAAAAATTATGAAGAGGAAGAAAATATTGAAAGGACAGGGGATGTTGGCTAATAAAGGAAAACTGAACAGGTAATCAGAAAGAAACCAAGACTCAAGAGGTCGGGTGTGGTGGCTCACACCTGTAATCCCAGCACTTTGGGAGGCTGAGGTGGGTGGATCACGAGGTCAGGAGTTCGAGACCAGCCTGGCCAACATGGTGAAACCCCGTCTCTACTAAAAATACAAAAATCAGCTGGGTGTGGCGGTGCATGTCTGTAATCCTAGTTACTTGGGAGGCTGAGGCAGGAGAATCGCTTGAACCCGGGAGGTAGAGGTCGCAGTGGGCCAAGATGGCACCACTGTACTCTAGCCTGGGCGACAGAGTGAGACTCCATTTCAAAAAAAAAAAAAAAAGACTCAAGAAAGACTGGGCCCCAGCGCCAGCCTGCCTCAGAGCCCAAGCCCTCCAAGTTCAGTTCCTTTTCATAAGCATCCTCACCAGAAACCACATCTTTCTGGAGGTGACTGAAGTAGATTTCTCTTCCCTGCAGCTAAACAAATAATCTTAAATATCTATATCCATTATTTCCATTGTCCAGAGCTGTCGAATGTACATAAAACTGTAGGAGTATATGTTGGCTATAAATCAGCTTCAGCACAGACTCTGGAAGTGGAATTTAAAAATTAAGTTCGTGATACTAGTAGGTTGTGTTTTTAGTTCTGGTCATTTACTACTCCTCACAAAAGTTCAATGTAAAACAGATTGAGAGCTGTGCAGTACTCAACCTATATATGACATTATTTGCTAGCTAAAGAGAGTTGGTGCACCTGCCTTACAGACATTTATACACTAAGATAGCTATACCACCATATTGTAAGAAACATTGTAACAGGGAAGAAATCATTAGATCACAGCTCTAAACTAGTTATATATTGGAGGCAAAAAAATTCCTTTAACAAGATTCAAAATGAATGAAAAAAGTAAAACTCTGTATTATTTTCCAAGTATTAAAATTTTAATATCTAGGAGAAAAAAGTTGCTCATTTTATGTAATATTTGTTACTGAAAAGTTGTGGGAATATGTATACATCCACACACAAGTCTCAAGATAAAGTCATAGTCTAAATGGCCCAGTAAGGAATTTGGAAAAACTTCATGGTTAATCTTTTTTTTTTTTTTGAGATGGAGTCTCATGTTGCCCAGGCTGGACTTGAACTTCTGGGCTCAAGCAATCCTCCTGCCTCCGCGTCCAAAGTGTGTGATAATAATGATGATTCAGAATCCTAAAACACAACTTAAGGTCCTTGTATTAAAGGTATAGCCTATTTAAAGGTATAGCCTATTGCTCCTAGATAGAGATTTTCCCTCCAGGAGAATCTATCCTGTTGCCTAAGCAATCAGTTTCCTTCCTACATTTTCCCACCACAACCCCAGGCCAAAGTGGATTGGATCAGAAGTGGACACCTGACCCAAGAACAAATAGCTGGGACTTCAACATGTGTCGCTACCAAGCCCAGCTGGTTAATCCTTTTTCTTTTTCTTTCTTTTTTTTTTTTTTTGAGATGGAGTATTGAGTATTGCTCTGTTGCCCAGGCTGGAGTGCCTTGGCGCGATCTTGGCTCACCGCAACCTCCACCTCCCGAGTTCAAGTGATTCTCCTGCCTCAGCCTCCCGAGTAGCTGGGATTACAGGAGCCTGCCACCACACCCGGCTAATTTTTGTATTTTTAGTAGAAATAGGGTTTCACTATGTTGGTCAGGCTGGTTTCAAACTCCTGACCTCAGGTGTTCCACCCGCCTCAGGCTCCCAAAGTGCTTGGATTACACATGTGAGCCACCACGCCCAGCCTTTTTTTTTTTTTTTTAATACAGGGTCTCTCTCTATTGCCTCTCTCTGCTTCTCTCTGTTGCAGTGGCACAATCACAGCTCACTGCAACCTGCTAGGCTCAAGCAATCCTCCCACCTCAGCCTCCCAAGTAGCTGGGACTACAGGCATGTACCACCATGCCCAGCTAATTTTTTATTTTTTGTAGAGACAGTCTTACCATGTTGCCCAGGCTGGTCTAGAACTCCTGGCTCAAGTGATCCTCCCTCGTTAGCCTCTCAAAGTACTGAGATTACAGGAGTGAGCCACCATGCCTGGACTTGGTTAATCTTTTCTCAAAAAAGAAAAAAAAATTTTTTGTAGGTCAGGTGCTTTGCAGCATTTTGGGAGGCTGTTGGGGGAGGATCCCTTGAGCCCAGGAGTTCAGGACCAGCCTAGGCAACACAGGGAGAGCCTGTCTCTACCAAAAAAAAAAAAAAAAAAAAAAATTGTTTTAATTAGCTGGGCATGGTAGTGCCTGTAGTCCCAGCTACTTGGGAAGCCAAGGTGAGAGGATTGCTTGAGCCTGGGAGGTTGAGGCTGCAGTGACCCATGATCATGCCACTGCACCCCAGCCTGGGTGACAAAGACCATGTTTCAAAAAAAAAAATACTTTGTAAAGGAAATAATCAGCCTCAATGTGTCGGAACTTTAAAAAATACTATTGTACTTTGAGAATCCTACGTAAGGACCTCCCATCACCTGTCCCTCGAGTTGTATTTAGGAAAGCTTTTAAGCAAACATGGTGTGAAGGTTTTATAAGTGCCTTTCCACTGCCAGGCATAATGTTAATATTTTATTTTCTCACGTAGTGGTCATCCATTTATACTCCTGATTTTGTTCACTAAAAATAGGGGTCTAGGGGCTTCTGGTTCAAGACTGAGCACAAGCATTGGCTTCTCCATCTCTCCTAATCTCCCCCAAGACCTCACCAAAATCAAAGTATGAAAAAGAACAAGGCCAGAACACTGAAGAGAATGGGAGGCAGGTCAACAACAGATGAGAGACCTATGTGTGTTTCTGGAAGGCAGAAAGCAGATGAGACAAGATGCAAATAAACAAACCAGGACAGAAAGCACAGAGAACCCACCACAGGGGCTCCTGATGCTTGGAAGCCCATCTACCCCACCAAGACGCAGAGACTGGGAGAGGGAGACGCACCCTTAACTGGAAGTCTGATGGGGATCAACTGCACCACTTGGTGCCCCCAGCTCACTGTACCTAGCACAGAGTTCAGGCAAATAAAAAGAAAGAAAAGAGAATTCAGACCAGGTAAGGTGGCTCAGGCCTGTAATCCTAGCACCTTGGGAAGCTGAGGTGGGAGGATCACTTGAGGCCAGGAGTCTGAGGCCAGCCTGGGTAACATGACGAAACCGCGTCTCTAGAAAAAATACAAAAAATTAGCCAGGTGTGGTGGTGTGTGCCTGTAGTCTCAGATCTCGGGAGGCTGAGGTGGGAGGATCACTTAAGCCTAGAAGTTTGAGGCTGCAGTGAGCCATAATTGTTCCACTGTACTCCAGCCTGGGTGACAGAGCAAGACCCTGTCTGGAAGGAAGGAAGGAAGGAAGGAAGGAAGGAAGGAAGGAGAAAGAAAAGAAAAGAAGGAAGGAAGGAAGGAAAGAAGGAAGGAAGGAAGGGAGAAAGGAAGAAAGGACGAAGGAAAGAAAGAAAGAGAAAGGAAGAAAGAGAAAAAAGAAAGAAAGAAAGAAAGAAAAAGAAAAGGAAGGAAGGAAAGAGAAAGAAAGGAAGGAAGGGAGGGTGGCTGGGGGACTCGGTGGCTCGTGCCTGTAATCCCAGCACTTTGGGGGGCCAAGGCAGGTGGCTCACCTGAGGTCGGGAGTTCGAGACCAGGAAGGAAGGAAGGAAGGAGAGAGAGAGAGAGAGAGAGAAAGGCCAGGTGCAGTGGCTCATGCCTGTAATCCCAGCACTTTGGGAGGCCGAGGCGGGTGGATCACCTGACATTGGGAGTTCGAGACCAGCCTGACCAACACGGAAAAACCCTGTCTCTACTAAAAATACAAAATTAGCCTGGCATGGTGGTGCATGCCTGTAATCTCAGCTACTTGGGAGGCTGAGGCAGGAGAATCGCTTGAATCCGGGAGGCGGAGGTTGCAGTGAGCCGAGATAGCGCCATTGCTCGCCAGCCAGGGCAACAAGAGTGAAAAAAAAAAAGAAATGAAGGAAGGAAGGAAATGGGAGGAAGAAAGGAAGGGAGGAAGAGAGGAAGGAAGAAAGAGAGAGAAAGAGAAGGGAGAAGGGAGGGAAAGACAAACAGAAAGAAAAGGAAGAGAAGAAAGGAAGAAATAAAAAAGGAAGAAAAGAAAGCAAGAAGAAAGAAGAAAAGGAAGGAGGGAAGGAAGGAAGGAATCCAGACCACTCTTCTTTAATGGAAGAGGTCAAACCCTGTGGTGAAAGCAGAAGCTTCTTGATGGACGTTGGCACCTCAAATTAAAGGTCTCTTTGTTCTGGCATTTGCGGGACATGGAGCCAGAAACTAACTCATCTCCCTAAAGCCCAGACAGCTCAAAACCCTCCTATGCACCATCTGAGTCTCCATTTGGGAGAGTCCTGGAGAGGCACTTAGGCATAGTGGTAGAATTCTGAAGCCAGAAAGCTTGGATTCAAATATAAAATCTGCTACATATTAACTATGTAACCTGCCACAAGTTATCCATTCTCTCCATGCCTCAGCTTCTTCATTTGTAAAATGGCAATAGTAATGTATTATTTTATTCATTCTAAGATCTTGAATACCTGCATAATCAGTATGTGTCTTATAATCTCATAATGGCATGTCATATTTCAACAGCATTATTTACCTTTTTAGTAGTAAACAAAATAATGGTTCATCTTACAATTGATGGAATATTGAACTTAATGAAATACCATGGCTGGGCACAGTGGCTCAATGCCTGTAATCCCAGCATTTTGGGAGGCCAAGGTGGGTGGATCACCTGAGGTCAGGAGTTCGAGACCAGCCTGACCAACATAGTGAAACCCCCGTCTCTACTAAAAATACAAAAATTAGCTGGGCATGGTGGTGCACACCTGTAATCCCAGCTACTCGGGAGGCTGAGGCAGGAGAATCGCTTGAACCCAGGAGGTGGAGGTTGCAATGAGCTGAGATCCCGCCACTGCACTTCAGCCTGGGCAACAAGAGTGAAACTCCATCTCAAAAAAGAAAAAAGAAATACCATAGTAACTACCTCATAGAGGGGTTGTTGAGATGACTTGATGAGTTACACAGAACAGTGCCTAGAACACAGGTAAACACTATATAAATGTTAGTTATTACTACCCATCTGGGGGAACAGTTCTCACATAACAGCAGAAAAAACCCACACTAGCTATCCAGTGTATCTTTCACTAAAATAACAAAGAATTACCTACAAGGTGGCTCATGCCTGTAACCCCAGCACTGTGGGAGGCCAAGGCAGGAGGATTACTTGAGGCCAAGAGTTCAAAAGCAACCTGGGCAACATAGTGAGACCCCATCTCTACAAAATAAAAACAAACAAAAAATTAGCCAGGCGTGGTGATGTGTGTCTGTAGTCCCACCTACTCAGAGGCCGAGGTGAGAGGATCATTTGAGCCCAAGATGTTGAGGCTGCACTGAGCCAAGATCTTGCCACTGCTCTCCAGCCTGGGTAATAGAGTAAGACCTTGCCAAAAAAACAAATACCAGATAATCAAAACAGTAATCCTGAAGAAAACACATAATTCAGTGAAAGAAAATAATGTTTTGCAAATTCTAATGTATGTGTTTAGAGAGGTTTTTAAAAATAAGAATGGAGCCAGGCGCGGTGGCTCATGCCTGTAGTCCCAGCACTTTGGGAGGCCAAGGCAGGTGGATCACCTGAGGTCAGGAGTTCAAGACCAGCCTGGCCAACATGGTGAAACCCCGTCTCTACCAAAAACACAAAAATTAGCCAGGCGTGGTGGCGTGCACCTGTAATCCCAGCTACTCGGGAAGCTGAGGCAGGAGAATCGCTTGAACCTGGGAGGTCGAGGTTGCAATGAGCCGAGATTGTGCCACTGCACTCCAGCCTGGGTGACAGAGTGAGACTCTGTCTCAAAAATAAAAACAAAAATAAAAAAAATAGGCTGGCCGCAGTGGCTCATGCCTGTAATCCCAGTACTTCGGGAGGCCGAGGTGGGCGGATCACGAGGTCAAGAAATCGAGACCATCCTGGCCAACATGGTGAAACCCCGTCTCTACTAAAAATGCAAAATTTAGCTGGGTGTGGTGGTGCACACCTGTAGTCCCAGCTACTCGGGAGGCTGAGGCCAGAGAATCACTTGAACCTGGAAGGCGGAGGTTGCAGTGAGCCAAGATCATGCCACTGCACTCCAGCCTGGCAAGAGAGCAAGACTCCGTCTCAAAAAAAAAAAAATGGAGTCTTGAACTCCTGGATTCAAGCGATCCTTTCATCTTGGCCTCCCAAAGTGCTGGGATTACAGGCATGAGCCACTGCACCTGGCCTGTTCAGAGAGAGATTTAAGACAATATTACATTCATAAAACAAAAGAGAATGCTATGAAAAAAGAAAAATCCTAGAACAAAATCTTTCAGATTTAAAAAATATGATCGCCAAAATTAAAAATACAATTGATAGCCTGAAAAAAAGTTAAGTCAAAAAAAAAAAGAAAAAATGTTAAGTCAAGGAAATCTCAAAGAAAGAAAATCAGAAGTTGAAAACATGAGAGAAAAGATAGGTAATACAGAGAAACAATATGAAAGGACCAGCATCTGATTAATGGGAATTCCAGGGAGGGTGAAACAGAGGAGGAAATGATCAAAACAAAGCAAAACAGCTTCCCAGAAATAAAGGGCACAAACATTCATATTAGAAAATCCTGGCCGGACACGGTGGCTCACGCCGGTAATCCCAGCACTTTGGGAGGCCGAGGTGGGCGGATCACGAGGTCAGGAGATCAAGACCATCCTGGCTAACATGGTGAAACCCCATCTCTACTAAAGATACAAAAATTAGCTGGGTGTGGTGGTGGACGCCTGTAGTCCCAGCTACTCGGGAGGCTGAGGCAGGAGAATGGCGTGAACCCAGGAGGCGGAGCTTGCAGTGAGCAGAGATGTCTCCACTGCACTCCAGCCTAGGTGACAGAGCGAGACTCCATCTCAAAAAAAATAAGAAAGAAAGAAACTCCTACCAAGTTCTCAGGACAGCAAATGGCGAAATAAAAACTTCACCCTTTGAACATACTGAAATTTCAAAACACCAAGGATAAATAGAAGGAGACTCTTTAAAACCTTTGAGGAGACACATGAATTCATTTGGCAACTGACTTCCCATCAATAACAATGGATATTATAATATAGTGGGAGAAATTTTTTAATGCCCTCAAAGATGTTATAAACAATTATTTTCAATCTAGAATTCTATGCCCAGCTAAACTGTCAATAATATGTGAGAGGCGGGGCCAGGCACAGTGGCTCACGCCTGTAATCCCAACACTTTGGGAGGCTGATATGAGTGGACTGCTTGAGCCCAGGAGTTTGAGACCAGCCTGGGCAATATAGTGAGACTCCCATCTGTACAAAAAAATTTAAAAATTAGCCAGATGTGATGGCATGAGCCTATAGTCCTTGATACTCAAGAGGCTGAGGCAGAAGGACAGGTTGAGCCCAGGACTTCAAGGCTACAGTGAGCTAAGATTACGTCACTGCACTCAAGCCTGGGAAACAGGGTGAGATCTTGTCTCTAAAAACATAAAAATAAAAATTAAAAATATGGGAGCGTTTAATGAAGACATTTGCACACATGCAAGGACTCAGGAATTTTTCTTCCATACACCATTTGTTAGGAAGCCTCTTGAGGAAGTATTCCAGTAAAACACAATAAATAGAGTAAGACTAAATTAAGAAGAAAAAACCACAAGATTTAACAAAAGGTGGCTCCAACCCATGTGTAGGGAAGTCCCAGAATCTCAGTGATGCAGTGTGCCTAGAGAGTAACCAGATTGGAGCAAGATAACAACTCTCAAAGGGAAGTTCCCAGTGGAAAGGGAGACTTGGTGGAAGTGATTGTATGGTTTAGAACTTAGGGAAGTTTGAGGATGTAATAATTACAAATCACATGGAGGAGGGGAGGAAAGGAAATGAGAAAGTCCAGAAAACAATAAAAGATCATATAGGAAGCTTATGGTCCAAATATGAAGCAAATTAAAATGTGGTTTAAGTTTAAACTGAAGGGATTGTTTTATACTTCCTTCCAAAAAGATATTCCTCTGTGTTAAACCTGGCAGGGCTTTATCTGTATAACTAGGCATAATTTTAGGTGATTTTTCTCAAGGTAAAGTCATTCCAGGACAGAGTCTTCGTTGCTGGTAGCCACCACCCCTAAGTCCCAGACTGTTAAAGGAATTTCAAGGAAGTATTTGAACATTACCTTTGGAATGCTGACACAACATGGAAAAAAAATGAGGTTGAAAGTACTGGAAGTCTTGGCCTCTCCACATTCTGGGCCATCTGCTGCCAGATTGGAAAATACATGTCTCCCTTTCTCAGAGATAAACCACCTCACCAGAGCTCAAGGCTTCATCTCAAACTCAAAGTGACCTCTTCTTTTAGTTGGGGAAAGTGGTTTCTTTTATGAGGATTTTAGAGCATTAGCTAGTGCTTTAAATTCAATCGCTTTGAAGATGCAAATATTTCAAGTACAAAATCAATAGTTATGGCACCAACTCAAAGGGCATGCCCTTTCATAATCAAATTTATCATAGTTAAATGTTTAATTCTTAACAATCTTTGGTCTGAATAATAATTTCGAAATAATTTGCTTAAATTTAGCAGGCCTACAAATCAATCTCAGGAAGGCTCAAAGTCTCTTGCCAAGGACAAATTGATCCTTTAAAAAGAATTGCCGGCCAGGCGCGGGGGCTCATGCTTGTAATCCCAGCACTTTGGGAGGCTGAGGCAAGTGGATCATCTGAGGTCAGGAGTTCGAGACCAGCCTGGCCAACATGGTGAAACCCTGCCTCTACTAAAAATACAAAAATTAGCCAGACATGGTGGCGCGTGCCTGTAATCCCAGCTACTAGGGGGTGCTGAGGTAGAAGAATTACTTGAACCTGGGAGGCGGAGGCTGCAGTGAGCCGAGATCGCACCACTGCACTCCAGCCTAGGCGATGTAGTTAGACTCTGTCTCAAAAAATTAATTAATTAATTAATTAAATAAAACAAAAAGAATTGCTGGTATAACCCAGGTTCTAAGTATAAGAAAAGAGAACTGGTCTTGTAGTGGGGATGAATGGAAATTTTCATGACGGTGAGTATGAATTTGAGTTACCAAACTGGACTTGGCATCAATATGTGTAGACTGCTCTTCTAAGAAGTGTCCTGATGAAGGAATGAGACAATTGGCAGTAGCTGGAGGAGGTGTGTTGGAGGAACTTTCTTAGTTGAGTCTTGAGCAGGTTTGCAGATTGAGGAGAGAAATTAGATCAGGAGCAACAGAAAATGGGAGATACAGTAGGGCAAATTGTTGAGGTGAAGTCCCAGAAGTTAAGAAGGAATGTAAATACAAATATGAGGATTAGTTTTGAACAGGAGGAGGGTTCCCCCTTCCTTTGAGACAGGACAGGAGATAAGATATGATGCTCATTTAAGGAAGTCTGGAAGAAGTGAGAGGAAGATTCAGGTATTTACCCCTGAAGACATCAATTTTGTATATGAAACAGGAGACTGGTCCATCTGCTAAGAAGGAAAGAGATCCTGAAGTGTTTGAAATTAGTCACTACCAGAAATAAAAAAAAGTGGCAGGGCAGGGTGGCTCACGTCTGCAATCCCAGCACTTTGGGAGGCTGAGGCAGGAGGATCACTTGAGCCCAAGAATTTGAAACCAGCCTGGGCAATATAGACCAAGACCCTGTCTCTACCAAAAAGAAAAGAAAAGAAAAGAAAAATAGCCGGGTGTGATGGAGTGCACCTGTGGTCCTAACTACTCAGAAGGCTGAAGTGGGAGGATCGCTTGAGCCCAGGAGCTGGCGGCTGCAGTGAGCTATGATCATGCCACTGCACTCCTGCCTGGGCAACAGACAAAGACCCAGACCCTATCTCTAAAAAGAATAAACAGAAATGGAAAAAAGAAAACTGACTGGACCCAAAGACCACCCTTATTCCTCCCCAAAACAGAGAAGAGAAAAATATGTATTTGACCTTGATGTGCATTGTCTTTCCAGCTGGCAAGGGTCCTAAACTTGTACCTAAAGAAAAAAAAATTCATCCTATCCTTCTGTAGGAAATGGTTCAAGTTCTGTCTCAGTCACTTTCTGACTTCCTGTTCTTAGGTAAGCCTCAACTTCTCTGTGCCTCAGTTTCCCCATTTTTAAAAAGGGACCTTCTGATCATTATGACTATTAAACAACGATGTTCATAAAGTACCTACTATACAATAAATCCTGTATTATATAAATGTCAGCTACTATCACTAGACCTGGTGATAGACACTATATAGATACTATAATGTAAACCAAGTTTATTGGTTTGTAACTTTTAGAAACAACTTACGGATAGCATGGAAGAGCTGACTGTGGCTGGAGGCCAGAATGCAAATGGTAACAACTTCAAAAATGTAAGAATTAAAAAATATAGGGAACAAATAGAAGGCTCCAGAAGACTGGGTGAGAAGAAGACATGGAAGTTAGTATCTTCATCCTACAAAATGGGAGTTCATGTGATATTGCTGAACATGGATCAAATAAGAAATAGGAGTGCAAATTATTTAAGTTTATGAAGACAACAGAGAGAAGTATTAAAATAACTTAACGGCCGGGCACAGTGGCTCACGCCTGTAATCCCAGCACTTTGGGAGGCCGAGGCGGGCAGATCACCTGAGGTCAGGAGTTCGAGATCAGCCTGGCCAACAATGATGAAACCCCATCTCTACTAAAAATACAAAAATTAGCCAGGCGTGGTGGCGGGCACCTGTAATCCCAGCTACTCAGGAGGCTGAGGCAGGAAAATCGCTTGAACCCGGGAGGCAGAGGCTGCAGTGAGCCGAGATTGCGCCACTACAATTCAGCCTGGGCAACAAAGCAAGACTCCGTCTCAAAATAATAATAATAATTTAACATCAAATATGAGAAAAAGAGAGGGTGCAGTATGCGCTAAACCTCATCTGCCATGTCACGGAGTCAATGAATGATATGAGTTTGATTAACCAAGAGATAGCAGCAGGCCAGGCATGGTGGCCCACTCCTGCAATCCCAGCACTTCGAGAGGCAGTGGCAGGAGGATCGCTTGAGCCCAGGAGTTTCGGACTAGTCTGGGCAACATAGTGAGACTTCGTCTCTACAAAAAAAAAAAAAAAAAAATCAAAAACTTAGCCGGGCGTGGTGGTGTACGCCTGCAGTCCTAGCTACTTGGGAGGCTGAGGTGGGAGGATCGCTTGAGCCCAGGAGGTCAAGGCTGCAGTGAGCTGAGATTGCACCAATGCACTCCAGCCTCGGAGACACAGTGAGATCCTGTCTCAAAAAAAAAAAAAAAGAAAGAAAGAAAAAGAAAAGAAAAAAAGAGAGAGAGGAATAAATGTAAATGCACATTATTTAGAACACTGGTTTGGTTCTGAATTCTGGCTGCACAAGACAATCAGCTTGGAGGCTTAAAAAGTAATTTTGTGGGCAGGGCGCGGTGGTCATGCCTGTAATCCCAGCACTCTGGGAGGCTGAGGCGGGCGGATCACAAGGTCAGGAGATCGAGACCATCCTGGCTAACATGGTAAAACCCCGTCTCTACTAAAAATATAAAAAATTAGCCGGGCGTGGTGGCGGGCGCCTGTGGTCCCAGCTACTTGGGAGACTGAGGCAGGAGAATGGCGTGAACCCAGGAGGCGGAGGTTGCAGTGAGCTGAGATCGCACCTCTGCACTCCAGCCTGGGCGACAGAGCGAGACTCCGTCTCAAAAAAAAAAAAAAGTAAATTTGTTAGTCTGGGAATGAGAATACACATAGGTTTGTTGTTGTTGTTTGTTTTTTAAGCTCCCCAGATAATTCTAACATGCACCCAGGGTTAAGAATCACGGATCTAGAAAACTGGAAAACATGACCAATTAAGGAATTTCACTGCTAGTAATGGAATGGTGGGATGGGGTGGAGGTGAAAAGGACAGGCTGGACACTGACTTTGTATTCATTCATTTATTCATTCATTCAACAAATAGAGGGCTTTCTATGTGCCAGGTGCTGGTCCAAGCCCCTTTTCAACATAAGCTCTCTGTACTAGTTGATTTGTTTCCATGAACCTGAGTTGCTTTGATTTAAAAAAAATTAATGCAACAAAAATACAGCATCAGTATACAAATCCACACTTTTAAATACATTGGGCAACTAGTGAGAACCACTTCTGCTGAGTGGAAAAGGCAGCCACCTACACAGAGTGATAGAGATTGAAAAAAAATCACCTTTCACCATGGGCAGCGAGGCTGCAAGCTGACTGGGAGAAGATAAAGGGAAGAGTGCCTGAGGGCACTGGAGAGTACCGACTCACTTCCACCGTTACACTCCCACTCTCCTCCAGAGGCCACTGAGCCACAGCTGCCAGCTGGGTTCAAAGTTCTCTGACAGTAATGGTCCCCAAAACTGCAGGATCCCATGACAGAGTAAAGAGTGGCAGGGGGGAGATAGTGTGGGGCAGGGAGGGCCAGGGCATTAATTCACCACAGCCAAGGGTAAGTCCCTAAGTCGGTGGCTTACGGCCTTCTGATCAAAATTGCAACCCTATTGCCTGTAATTTCAGTTTTCTATAAAATTGTATCTTGAAACATACACATACTCCTGAGATCCTCACTTCAAACCATTTTGAAATAACACCCTAATGATTAGTTGACAATCACCTGAAAAAAAGTGAGGACATCAATGAGGGTTGAGAGCTCACCCAGGAGAGAAGGTGCCCAGACAGGAATCAAATGGGAAGACTGAACAAATTTCACCTACTTCCAAATGGGCTAGGCCTGCCTGTGCCAATCAAAAGCATATTGATTTGTAACTATTAGTTTAACAGAATAACTAATCATAACTAATTATCACTTGAGAAATACAAACCCTAATATCTGCATCAGGAAAGTGAAATACAAGTTGGGTAAGTTTCAATAATGGACACTGGGAGAAATGAAGGAGCTACAAGGAAACCAACAAGCCTTGGGCAGCTCAGTGATCAGGGCAGTTAGGTAGGCAAAGGGGCAGAGGAGGAAGGAGACAGGAAGGAAAGCAGTGAGTACGCCAAAAGCAAAAGCATGTTGAAACTTGACATAATGATTATTTATATTTTGTGCCTGTCTAAACAACTAAATGGTGAAATCCTTGAGGGCATGTATCTATTTCATAACTCTAAGACCTAGCTCAGTGCCCTATACATAGGAAGTACTCAATAGATATTTGTTGATTAGGTTAGGGTTGTATGAAAAAGGCTGGCTACTCTGTAGCTTTATCTAAAAACAGCATTACCTTTCCATTTGTCTTGAAGTCAGCTCTCCTTTCATTTAAAGTTGTAAAACAGCAACAATAATGCACATTCATGTATTTAAAGCTCCCGGTTTAGAACCAGGCGAAATATTTGGCCTTTGATCAGCAATGGTCCCCAAATCTCCAAGACCCTACAACAGAGTCAAGAGTGGGAGGGAGAAGATAGTGTGGGAAGAGAGGGCCAGGGTCTCAATGCATTGATTCACCTCAGCCAAGAGTAAGCTCCTAAGTAGGTGGGTTTAGGGCTAGGCTTTTCACTGTACATCTTTTCATTTATTTATTTTTCTAAACAAGAAAATCTATTTTTTAAGCAAACACTTATATAGCACTTACAACATGTCAGCCACTGTTGTAAAAGCCTGGAGATACTCTCACAATTGCTGGTGGGAATTTAGATTGGTACAACCTATGTAGGGAGCAATGTTATCTATCTATCTATCAATCAAATTTTACAAACAGAAATATGTTTAAGGTTATCTGTTGCAGCATTGGTTTCAATATTAAGTAATTGGAAACAGCCCAAGTGTAAGTCAGTAGGGAACAGTTTAAATAAATTATGGTATATCCACACAATGGAATACTATGCCACTGTAAAAAACAATGAGGAAGTTATTTAAGCATTAATGCAGAAGGATCTCCAAATCATATTAAGTGACAAAGCAAGTAAGAATCATGTGCTTAATATGATACTTTTCATCCAAAAATAGGAACAAAAGTCCATATTCACAATTGTCCATGCTTGTATAAAGAAATTCTGGAAAGATACCTGAGAATCTAAGAACAATAGTTGCCTAAGATAGGGAACTGGGGGAGTGAGAACTGAGCAGATGGGGGACAAGAATGAAAGAGAGAGTCTTCACTGTATGCCTTTTCATATTCTTTATTTTTCTAGCCAAGAAAATATATTTTTTAAGCAAACATATAGCACTTACAACGTGCTATAAAATTAAAATTGGTAAGTCACTTATTATTAATTCATAAATACTTATTCAAAATTTAAATTTAAAAGTATCTCAGGGCCAGGCGTGGTGACTCACACTTGTAATCCCAGCACTTTGGGAGTCCAAGGTGGGCGGATCACCTGAGGTCAGGAGTTTGAGAATAGCCTGGCCAACATGGTGAAACCCCATCCCTACTAAAAATACAAAAAAATTAGCCGGGCATGGTGGTGTGCGCCTGTAATCCCAGCTACTGGGAAGGCTGAGGCAAGAGGATCGCTTGAACCCGGGAGGCGGAGGTTGCAGCGAGCCAAGATTGTGCCACTGCACTCCAGCTTGGGCGACAGATAGAGACTCCGTCTCAAAAAAAAAAAAAAAAGTATCTCGGAAGTGTCATAATTGTATTGTGGTTATGCAGAAAAATATCCTTGTTCTTAGGATAAAGCAAATGGGGCAAAATTAAAAAACAACAACAACAACGACAAAAAAAAACCAAGGCCAGGTGTGGCTGACGCCTGTAACCCCAACACTTTGGAAGGACAAGGCAGGATCATTGAGCCCAGGAGTTAAGATGAGCCTGGGTAACAAAGTGAGATGCTGTCTCTACAAAAAACAAAAAATTAGCTGGGCCTGATGATGCATACCTATGGTCCCAGCTACTTGGGAGGCTGAGGCAGGAAGACCACTTGAGCCCAGGAGTTCGAGGCTGCCATGAGCTATGATCGCGCCACTGCACTTCAGCCTGAGCAACTGAGTAAGACCCTGTCTCAAAAAAAGCAAAGCAAAACAAAACTGATTAATCTGTGGGAAGGGTTTACGAATAACCACAGAGTTAATTTTGCCACTTTTCTGTAGATTTAAAATTTTCCAAGACAAATATTAGGGGAGAAAAAGTATCTCAGGAAAGTTTTTAAAACTTAAATAGAACTTTTTAATTTCTACAAACTTTTAAAAATATTTTAGAGAGTGTGTTTTGCTACATTGCCCAGGCTGATCTCAAACTCCTGGGCTCAAGCAATCCTCCCATCTCAGCCTCTGGAATAGCTGGGATTACAGAGGCAAGCCGCTGCACTAGCTTAGTTTCTACAAACTTTTTAGACTGGTTTTCAAAGCCCTTGGAATGTATTTCAACTGATTGGTCCAACCTCCTTACTCTTCTTTTAGAACCCTATGCTCTAACTAAATTGTATCTTTATCTGACCAAATCTTACCTCAATGATTTTTGAAAATTACTTTCTCTAAGATGCCTTTTTTGAGTCTTCCAAAATCATGTGATCTCTCACTACTTTGTCTACAGCACTTTTAGTTCTATTGAGATATATCATATCCTACGATTTGTTACAGTCATTGTATATTTTTCTTATACAAAACAACAGAGATAATGCATATTAGACTGTATATTAATATGTATTGTATATTAAATGTATATTGATATGTATATTAGATATGTATACTTACCTATTGAATAACACTGTCTTTAACAATCATTGTAGGTTACAACCAGGCACTCCCTAAGAACTTGGAATTAAGAGAACAAATGTCTCCTGAGAACTAAGGGGCAAGATTAATGTATGTATAGTGGAAATGGGTGAGATGGGCAGTAATTGGAAGGGGAGAGGCTCCCAGTTCTCCCTTGCACAAGCTGCTCCCTCTGTCTGCAACCTCCATCCCCCTTAACCCCTTCAGGTCTCATGTCAGGGGTTGCATCTTGAGGGAAGCCTTCTCTGATCTCCCTGCTAGGTCAAATCCCCCATTATGACATCTAGACCTCTCCTTAGCACTTATCACATTATATTTAACATTGATATGTGCAATTAACTACTGTCTGCTTCCTTTACCAGACCATACGCTCCATGACTGAAGGAACTGGTACTGTTTTTATTTATCACTGTCATCTCAGTACCTAGCACAGTGCCTGGAATATAGTAGGTTCTAGAATTTCTGGAATGAATGAACGAATTAAAAAAGAAAATGTATATCTAGAGGAGGAAGGGTTGGTGAGCCATCGAGGCAAAAAATTAAAAAAAGCAAAAGCAAAGCTTCCAAGCACTCTTAAAGAGAAAAATAAGCTAAACTGTACTCTCTATTGAATTCTACAATTATATTTCCCATTTATACTACTTACACACACATGCACACGCATTTATTTATTTAGCCCTTTCCCATCAGTAATTATTACACTTCTGCCCCTTGTCAAATCACTCCATTCCCGCACAGCAATGGTGGGCAGGGCCTCCTTTTGCTTTTACTCATCTTTGTTTCCCCAGGAGTTTCTAATTTCCCTTAAATGATGTGTATCAGGATGGTTGCTCTGGACTTCCCACGACCCTCAACTCTTCTAAGAAAATGTGGCTTTGAATTCCCCATACAAAAATTATGTATTTTCCCCCGAAGAGTTATGTTTGTATGTGTAGAGCGCCCCCAAAGAGATAAATCTTGGCTTCAGCGAGTCACATTCCTGCCTTGTGGTTTCCATTTTCAGTCTGTCTGTGTCACAGCCCCGGACAGAAGCCACTGAGGGGAGAGGTGGACCTCCTCAATCTCCTGCTTCCTCAGTAAGAGTTTTCCTCTGGACAGTACTTAGGCATTTTCTCAGGCTCCCCGCCAGAGAGCGCCGCCAGGTCCTCGGAACCACCTCGCGCACTTTAGCTGGGCGCGCGACCCGCGCAACCAGTGAGAACCCCGCTCCCGCCCTAGGCTTTCTGTGGTGGAAAAAGCGCGCGCGCGGACGAGCAGGTTAGGCGATAGAGGTCACGTGGGCCAGCTGTGGCCAATGGGGAGCGCACATGGCGACGCGGCCGGCGGCGGCGCGCGCGTAGCTCGCCTCGGGCTCCTGGCGGGAGCGGGAGTTAGGGAGGCCGGGTTCCCGAATTACACACACCAGCGTTATTTATTCTATCAGTCTTTGGTTACTCTATCTGGCGTTCTCGACGCCGTAATAACAA